>NC_000007.14:117658294-117961324 GCF_000001405.40 Homo sapiens | reverse complement strand
GTTTGGGAGCTAACTTAAAAGGTTAATGTTACTGGCCATCCGTAGTTATCGTTACTTAGGGTCGTGCTGGATGCCTAAATGATACAGTCAGGTTTTGGCTTTGATGGTGTGAGGGACAAAGACAATCATCTAAGCATCTGAATGAGCATAAGACCTGATAAAGTCCCCCAAGGATAGTGGACTGTGATTGCATATCAAGTATCTAGAGAGTACAATTTTTTCCCCCTTAAAAAGGTCTTTCTTACTTCTTTTTAAAAGGAAATACATGACAAGATAAACAATTCAGTGCAATGATCTTTCTAGAGTAACAATAACATGGTTTCTTTGGACTTTGTTCATATTCTCACTCATGTCAATAAACACGAGTTTATTGACTAAGAGATGGTGATCGGAAAGGTGCTGCTTAAGATGTCAAAAAGGCTGAGAAAATTATGAAACAAGGCTCATCACCATAACTATTCGAAGAGGAATTTTTTTTCCCATGGAAAGGTTATTCCTCTTCTTTCTGAAGTTGATATTTCTTCTCTTTGATTGAGGAAAATAAGAAACTTTTGATAACAATAAGGAGCTGCTTTTTATAGAGTGCCTACTTTATGCTAAGCACTTTATATACTTCATTGAATTATTAGATCTACTGTACAACATTATCTTCATTTTGCAGATGAGGAAATAGAAACTCAGAGAATGAGTGTCTCAGTTCAGAGAATAAATGCAGCTAGTAAGTGTTGGAGGCACCACTTGAAACCTGTCTCACTTAACACCTACACATGTTCCTGTAGGATGCCATGCCACAGAAACCCTTCAGGGGAACAGCTATACCTAGAATTTGCCTTGCCAGGAAGAGCATTCTCCCAGATCAAAATTCTGATAGCATTGTCTTTTGCCAAGTGTTTGTAATGGGATAATGGGATTAAGATATGATCACAGAGAGACATAAATTAAAGAATCAAAGAAATCCAGGCACAGTGGCTCACGCCTGTAATCCCAGCACTTTGGGAGTCCCAGGCAGGTGGATCACCTAGGTCAGGAGTTCAAGACTAGCCTGGCCAACATGGCGAAACCCCGTCTCTAATAAAAATGTAAAAATTAGCTGAGTGTGGTGGCACATGCCTGTAATCCCAGCTACTCGGGAGGCTGAGGCAGGAGAATCACTTGAACCCAGGAGGTGGAGGTTGCAGTGAGCTGAAATTGAGCCACTGCACTCCAGCCTGGGTGACAGAGTAAGACTCTGTCTCAAAAAATAAAAATAAAAAATGAAAAAAGAATCAAAGAAAATCAGGCCACCAAAAGTAGAAATAAAACCAAGGGAATGGCTTGCTAGCATACAATAACACTTAATTAGGTAGGAGATATTATACAGCATTTTTATGTTTTTATGCGCCTAAAATACACTGAAGTGTAGTGTTCATGACCTCCTATATTTTCCTGTGGCCTTATATATTTACTCTGGAAGCCTTCCAGGACAAGCTGAAGAGCATCAATATTTGTGATGTTTCTGAGGAGTTTGGGAAGGATACAGTTCATGAGCAGGCTGTTTCAGCTGTCCTTGCTCTGCTGACCTGCTTTTGTTCTGACTGGCTTTTGAATTTCCAGCCTTGAGTTCCATCTTCTCTGTGGTAGATGTGTAACTTTACACAAATCACTTACCCATTTGTGATTTCAACATCTAAATTATAAAACAGAATGAAAATTGTCCTTCAAAGTTTTTGAAGCTCTAATATTTGATTAATAACAACTTAAAGTTCTCTTTACATTTTTATAGAACAGATATATATGTATTAATTTCAGTTAAATAAAGTTTTTAAAAATTATTAGTGAAACTTCAGCAGCCATGGAGTCACTATGAAGATTCTTCAATTGGTTATTCATCAATTATCCAAAAATTATTTATTCAATGGATTTAAACTCAGTTTATTATTTTAAAATCAACTTGTATGACTACTAAGGATAAAATATTGTGTTAAAATTAAGGCATTGTTTTATGTCCAATAGAGATTTTTCTGCATACACAAATATACTTTTCTGAGGCTAAAATATAGCACACTCTAAATTACAATGTTATTTATTTAGGCTAAATAAAAAACCATGGGCAATTAAGAAACATAATATGAGAAAATCTTTATGTAAGGTTCTGTTTTTCATCCTACTGTCTTCCTTTTTATTATATTTCACTTTTCCTTGTAAATGAAAATAAAATATTAATAACATCTTACACATGCATGATTTTTAAGGTTTGCAAAAACACTTTCATAAGCAGCAGAGTTACATCTTACATGGGGATTGTATTGTGAAGCCATTTCATAAGGTAAAAATCACATATGGATAAAATTACCCATAGCCCATAAAGAATATCATGCATAGTTTTATACAAACAACCTTTTAAAATATGCATGTGTATGAAGACAATATCTACAGACTAAAGAAAGTATAGTATGCAACAAAGGATAGTTTGCAAATTTTATTTCTCAAAATATTAATTGTATAAAAGAGGATATATAGTTATGTATTTTAATTTCATGGGAGAATGCACATTATTTGTGTAACATAGATGCAAACATGATGCTATTCCACTGTATAGCTCTTACAACATCCTTGTGAGCTAGAATTATGATTTCCCTTTATAAGAGAAAATAATGCTTGAAGTAGTTTTAAAACTTGTCCAAAGCCTCAAAACTCATAAGCAGCAAAGCTAATTCAAACCTTCAGAACTGCAGGCTCAGTTGTCTTTCTACTTCCTCATAATTGGTTCTGACTTTATGCTTCTCTCCTGCCGAAGTATCTAAACATTTTTTCAACTTTACTAAATTGAGCAGTGTTTTTCAAAACAATTAGTTTTCCCAGATAAAATTATCTTCTTCAATTCATTGATAGAATGAGAGGAAAATGCTATTATGTTTGATTTAAAATATCTCTTAATTAAATGTAATCTGACCAGCTCATGAACTAATATTGTCAATCTGCTACTAAGCTGCTTTAAATGTGTGAGACTTTATTGGATAGAGGTTTTATTGATAATATCTCCATTTTAAGAGAAAGTGATATTTAACTGTCAATAAAAAGGTCACTATTTTTTTTGCTTGACTCTGGCCCAGAAACAAAGTTTAAAATTTCTAAGAGAATCTGCGTCAGTCGATATAGGTCAGCTTTAGGGGTGAACATTGTACTGAAAGACTCAGGAGAATGATGAATTTTAGTCTGCCCAAAGACCAAGACTTGGGATTACAAACCTTAACCTCATTCTCCAATTAACAGTCTGGATGTAAAACCAGATAGTTATAACCAAACCTCTTTAGCCATGTCTTCCACACAGGAACTAGCATAGTGACAGATTTAGACATGTAGAATAAATAAATAATGCAGCTAGAAGTATATTAATGTGGAAGTTATAGATACATACATTAATTGATTACATATTCAAAATTAAGAAGTTGTGCTTATATAATTTTTCCTATTCTAATGTTGCTTTTCCAAAGCAGAGAATGGTTGCTAGAAGTAAGCCCTTACCATCCTCTCAGCTCTTTCTCTTTTAAAATCTTTCTACACATTGAACTACGCAAACATTTTTAGACTTGATAGTTACCTCAACCCCATTATTCTTCAGAAGAGAAATTGAGGCCTCCCAATGTTAAATGATTTCCTCAGGAACATTTAGAACTGAGACTAGAATGAAATTTGTATTAATTCATTGATATATGAAGAGATATTGAGAACCTACTGCATGCCAGAAATTTTTGCACTTTTCACTACACT
Source organism: Homo sapiens (assembly GCF_000001405.40). Classification (NCBI taxonomy): domain Eukaryota; kingdom Metazoa; phylum Chordata; class Mammalia; order Primates; family Hominidae; genus Homo; species Homo sapiens. The sequence goes on along the minus strand of NC_000007.14, from coordinate 117,957,574 downwards.
CACTACTGCTGTTTTCACTACAACAATCAGATTGGAATACAGTTTTGTTAGAAAATATGAAATAAGGCCAGGCACGGTGGCTCATACCTGTAATCCTGACACTGGGAGGCCAAGGCAGGAAGACTGCTTCAGCCCAGCAGTTCAAGACCAGCCTGGACAATGTGGTGAAACTCCATCTCTAAAAAAATATACACACCCAAAAAAATTAGCCAGTCATGGTAGTATGCACCTGTAATACCAGCTACTTGGGAGGCTGAGGTGGGAAGATCGCTTAAGCCCAGGAGATCGAGGCTGCAGTGAGCCATGATTGTGCCACTGCACTCCAGCCTGGGTGATAGAGTGAGACCCTGACTCAATTAAAACAAAACAAAAAAAAAGAAACAAAAGAAAAGAAAATGTGACTGAAATAATAAGTTAATGGTATTTGAGTCCAGTATATGAGAGATTTCAGATCTCAGTCAATGTGAGTCTTGCTAACGGTGATTCTCAGGGAGAGAATTTGCAGAAGCTGCCTTCTAAGCTGCCTGGCTGAAGTAAGACAAAGATAAGTGGTAAGCAAAGAGATTTGGGGCAAGTAAGCCTTTATTGTCTCACTATATATTTCCTTTAGAAGAAAGGAGTCATTTTCCCCAAAAAGTCAGCACTAAAAGAAGAGAAAAATATGCAACAAGGCACAGGAATTATAGATTTTGTCCTCCTAGTCATGGGAATGTCATCTGGGCAGCCACACAGGATCCAGTGTTTAGAAGGGCCCCACACATGATTTAATGCTCTCCAGTTGCCATCTTGGAATTCTTAATAAGTCCTTAACAAGGGGTCCCTGATTTCCATTTTTCATGGGATCATATAGTCTTCCATGCCATTGCTTAGCAGGGTCTGTACGGCCTTCCTCCGCCACAACCCTGAATTTCCTCACCCTCTCCTGCATTCTTTCCACTTGGGCACCATTGCTAGGACCTGTTTCTTGTATCTGAACACATCCTTAATGTAGATCTGGTTTGTATAGTAAATTCTCCCTCTGGTATTTAACTTCCAGTGGACTTATTTGGAAAAAATGGGATACTGTTATACAACTTGCTTTTTCTATTTAATAGACATGTTTTTATATCAGTAAATACAAATCTGCCTTGTTTGTTTTTATAGCAGTAAAATCTATATGTAGCCCACATATCCCCACTGGGGGTCTCCTGGGCCCCTAGAAATCTGGGTAAACTTAGTCCAAACCCCAACTCCGCAGTCCCGTGAGAGAAATTCCATGGTTTCTGCTAGTTCCTATCCTGAATTCTCTAGGCTCCTCTGCTACCACGCATATGCCATCTGCACATGATCCTCTGTTTGCCCTGTATTAGTCAGGATGATGGTCTCAGCTGCTTCAACAGTTCCACAGGATATGTAATAATATGCATTTTTTGCTTTTTGTGTGTATTTTACTGAAGATTTGGAGATACCCAGGCTGAGGGGAGAAGTTCATATCAGGGATAGACAGTTCTCTACAACCTATCTGATCTCTATTCTCTTTCTCCCTCATCCTCCTTCTTTCTCCAAAGTAACAAGTACATTTTTATTATTGTTTTGCATAGACATTTTCAACAGTATTAAGGTCTTGTCAGGGTCTGATACTCTACCTGAAGCACTTTCCCAATCAAATGTAGTTCCCATCCTAAGATAAATGTTGATTACAACCATTTTATAACAATAGTTTAAATTGTTAGCAGCAGTTTTCCAAAAAAAAGGTAAAAATGCAGAGGCTTTTTTCTTATGATTACACTTCATGATTTTTGGAATTTTTATACAAAAGACAAAGTGGTATTAAAATGACCTACATTTTCAAACTGGGCACAATATATAGTCCAGATATTACTGCCTCATTCTGAAGTCCTTTGTTTTCCTTTGTCTCTAAAAATATTTGTTAGTTATAAAAGAAACTTCTTTTTTCTAGGTCACAGAGAAATTTATTTTCTATTTTTTTTAAGTGTGAATAAAATGCTGCATTTTTCAATCTTAGAAGCTTGGTGGGAAAATATATTGAAGTTCAAAACAATATTAGAAAGCCCTTTACCTGTCAGTTTCCATCATAACATGTATACTAATTAAATATTTTTCATAAATGTTATATTTTGAAGAGATGCTTTCATCAGCTGGTAGCATATTTTTAATTTACTAACCACCTCTGAACTGATTTATTTAGACCTCGTTGATACTTACTACTTAATTACAAATAAGACATGTGATAATATATGGGTTTGATCTCATTACGCAAGTAGCTTTTCCAACGCAGTTGTTAAGGAGAATCAGGCAGTCTGCTGAGAGTCAGAATGAATGATTTACATAACTGTTCTCCATTAGCCAGTACTTCATGCATGGCCAGTCATTTCCTTCTCTTAATTGGAAACTAGCCAATTAGCCTATATGTAATTAGTTTGCATATCAAACAAATGAACTATTGAATGAAGCACCGTGTAATGTAGTACCAATTAGGGTCAATTTTCTGGAGTAAACAAGCTCATAACCAGCCCCCCTCAGCTCCAAATAAAAGAGAAATACAACATTTTTAAATACTAAAAATATATGTTAACCTCACACCATATCTAAATTTTAACTTAAAATGAATCATAGACCTAACATTATCAGACATTTTGAAAATCATAAAATTTTTGTGACTTTAGGCTAGACAAAGATTTCTTAGATACAACATTAAAAACATACCTATAAACAAAAAAAAAGTAATTGGACTTCATCAGATTTTAAATTCTGTTTTCTGAAAGACATTAAGATAATGAAAAGACAAAGCCATACTTGGAGAAAAATATTTGCAAATCATATAGTTGATAATGGGCTAGTATATAGAATGTAAGAGAACTCTAAAATCAATAATAAGAAAACCAAATAAGCCAACTTTTAAGAATTGGGCAAAATATTTGAGCAGGCATTTCCCCTGCCCCAAAAAGGTGTATAGAATGCAAATAAGCACATGAAAAGATGCTTAACATCATTAGTTATTAGAAAATGCAAGTTAAAACCACAGTGAGCTGCTGCCATGCACTTATAAAAATGACTGAAATTAAAATGTGCCACTTATCTATGGCCCAAGCAAAAACCCTTCAAGATAATTATAACTGAAGCTGTACTGCAAGAGGGCTAAACATCTAGAGTTTTTGTACCCCCATAGTACAGAAACTCAATATTCCTCACTCAGAGTTCTTAACTAAAGGTCTAAGTACCCCTACAAGATGTATGACTGGGCTTTGAAATGCCCATAAACTTTCTAAGGGTATATATAGAAGGGTGTGTATATATGTGTATTTGTATTTCTTGGGGAAAAGGAAATAGGGATATCATCAAGTTTTCAATGGAGTAATTTAACAAAAATAGCAACAACAAAAAGTTTAAGAATCCACCCCAACCAATAGCTTAATTGAGCTAAACAACACAGAGAGCTCAATGAAGCAACCATGAGACCACTGGATAGGAAGAGGTGTAGGTAAAAATAAGCACCCTGGGAAGATTAAACCCATAATTGAAAATTATAAAGCATACAGGAAAATTTCTGCTATGTGAGATAGTCAAAAGACCATACGTTGGCAGAATACACAAAGGATAAAATATAAATAAGGCAGCATTCCTCACTTAAAACAAATGTTTAAATTTCTCAAAGAGATATTGCAGTAAATAGCATCCCAGAAACAGGAACATAAAGTTATCAAACAAGAGCAGGAATGCATGAAAATGGGCCAACTGGAAATCAGACAAATGAAAAAAAATAACTGAAAGAAAAAGGGATCTTAATAGATGAAATAAACTAGACATATTCTTTAATACTGCACACCAAACTGTCTTAGAGTCTGCTTCTCAGGGAGCACAACCTGTGACAGACAGCAATCACCAAACATGCCTGTTTGCTCAACAATCATAGGACATAAGGAAGGTTGTAAGAAAGGAGTACACTCAGAATAGTCCATGGGAAATAAAGAGAGAAGAGGAAGACAGAGCACATTAATTGCTAGGATACACTTTTCTCCCACTGGTCAAAATCTGCTCCACTGGGCAACAACACCTCCACACTTCTAAGTCAGGTCTTTCAACCACTCTAGGTGGCCACTGGGGAAGGCAGATCCTTCTCTTGTTCAGTCAGCCCAGTACATAGGTACAGAGAGTTCTTGTCAGGCAGGAATTCACAAGGGGACTCCTAAATGGTGGTAGCAACAGCAGCCAGAATTTCTGACCATAGGAATAGCATGATTGATATTGTCACTCCAGTCAGAAAGAATAGCAAGTGACTGAATAGACAGGCCTGAATAGATGTAGAATGAAACCTAAGCTATGATTAGTACAATGAGTAAGAGTGTGCCTATGCATATACTGTTCTTTCTGAACAATTATATATTTATATATAGAGTTATATATAGACCTAATTACATATTTATCCTAACATGAAGTACTTGCATCTCCTATCCAATTGTGGGAGATGGAGAAAACAGAATAGTGAGAGTGGTAAGAAGAATCATAGTAAGAGTGACAAAAATTGTATACTTGTATAGTGCTTTGCAGCTAGCAAAAATGGAAAAAGATGCTTTCATAGAGGAAAAATGCGAGACATTTTCCTTCTATTCACCCCAAAGCATTTAAACTTATTCTTTCTCTCAGCAAACAGGAGAATTTGATGACTGGGATACATGATTTTCCCAGGCCAATGGAAAGCTAGGAAAAAGCCGTAGAAATCCAGATTTTGAAGACATCGGAAGGGAAACAATCTAACCACCTCATTTTACAAATTAGGAAGCAGATCCAGAGACAGAAAATGAGTTCTGTGTCAGCTTTTGATTTAGGAGGAAATGATTATGAAAGAAGTGATTGTATTTGTGTTAAAATTAAGTGGTGTCCTCATTAAAACTCTATCTCTTAGGACAGGACAGGCATGAGTGGAGACTTACATTTACTGAATACCTGTTATGTTCAATGGATTTCACATTCGTTATGTCCTCTAATTAACTTATTAATCTTCACAAAATCCTAGGAGGTAGATATCATTTTACCTATTAATTAAGAGGTTTAGTAGCTTGTACAAGCCCAGATTAATAATTAGCTGCTTCTGGAATCAAACCCTGATTAAGAACCTCACACTGACTCCAGAGGCGAAGCAGTTAAAGAATACTGAAGCTAAGAACAATGAAACCCTATTTTCATTTTAAAGTACTGTTTCCATTTCCCTTTCATTTTAAATGAGTTAGACACATCAAATATTATAGAATAATGGCTTGCCCCAAGTAAATAAAAGCTCAATTTTATGTTTGAGTCAGTAAAATGCTGACACATATACAAGCAAAAACATCCAGGAGAGACATATTTCTAAATTTCTTCGCCACTGCCTGGCTCAGAGGTACCAAAGTCCTCCTTCCTCAGTGTCTCTCTGTGTAAAATGAGGGCATTCTGCTCCTGGTCTTCAGGCTCTAAAAAACAAAACAAAACCCAACAAAACAAAAAACTCCACTACAGGCCTACATGGTCTCCCCCATCCACCCCTCAAGACAAACCTTTAAAATATCCAAGAATAGAAACACAAATAGGTAGTGGGTCACAGACGCACTGAAATATGACCCAATTCAAACATAGGAAGTGCAGTTGCTTCAGTGGGTTGGAGCAAGTCACAGTGAGCATTCTGACACATTTGCCTCTGGTGGTGAGATTAATTGATGTACACTGGCCGGTTGCACTGCCCATGGGGAGCTTGGATACTATTGTACAATTTAGTTATTGTACACTTGATAGTATTGTACAATTCAGTTATTGTACACTTGAGATCTAATTCTTTGCATAAATTCCGGGAGTCACTCCTTCAGGACACTGGTGCACTTCTTTTTCCAGAGGAAATTTAAAAAGAGAAAGTTAATAGGGTGAACTACAGCTCCACTGCTGCTGCTACTCAATTTACACTCATCATCTCCCTTCACGTTGTCCATTCTAGATCTCCTTCACCTTCAGCTAGCATCTCTGCTGGTCTCAGTGGCTCACCCAGTGGCATGACTCGGTCCCGCATGTTTTAGAAATCTGAGCCCCCTGAGCACTGTACCCTTTGCAGATCGTGGTTGCTGTCTAAAGAGACACTCAAGTGAATCATGTAAGAACAATTGTTTAGCATAGTCATAGCTCAGGTATTCCTTGGAAAAAGGATGAAACGATACCTTTAGTTATGACTGTCTGATCACTCACAGGGAATAATTTTTCTCCTTGCTAACTCATTGGCATTTCCATTCCTTCCATCTCCCATCTCTTCTCTTTTTCTCTCATGCTTAATATGTATCAAGCATAGTTCTAAGTACTTCACATATAGTAACTTACTTAGTTCTCACAACAACCCTGAGATAGGTATATGTTATCCTCATTTTAGAGATTAACAGTAGTGTGCAAATAAGTTAAAGAAGTATCCTTAGTCACACAGGAAGTACATCTGGGGACCAAGATTTGACCCGATGCAGCCTGCTCCAGAGTCCATGCCTGTAACCACAGATGCTATTCAGGTATCAGTTAAAGTCATAAACTACACATACTTCCTACTTCCCAGTCTTGGTTAACAATGTGCTTGCTTATTGATAAAGGTCGCTAAAAATACTTGGCTCAATCCAAAGCACCTTAGTCAGCTTTTAGCTAATTTGCAAGTCTGTAAGATAGTTGTGGCTGAAATTGCTAGTTCCAAACAGCACTGCTTTACTTTGGACTGAATTTCAGTTGCAGCTGGCATTGTGGGCCTATTTGATTGACTCATTTATTCTTCATCTCCAGCCTGAAGCTCATCTGCAGCCTTTCAGCACTCCGCGTTCCAGCCACACCCTGTAACCTGCTGCATGTTTCCGCCTCTGTGCTTGGCCTGTGCTATTCCCACTGCCCATAGTGCCCTTTTCTTCCTTCTGGACCTTGGAAACATATTCCCATTCTTCCAGCCCTACCATGCCAGCCACTGGGGAGTGATGGTAACGTTACAATAACTTACTTATGCATCCTTTGCCCCCTTCAGATTGAACTCCTGATGATATAACAATGCATTATTCTTTTAGTGTCATTTCCCTATTTAATACCCTAGCACTTTGGGAAGCTAAGGCAGGTGGATTGCCTGAGCTCAGAAGTTCGATACCAGCCTGGGCAACATGGTGAAACCCTGTCTCTACTAAAATACAAAAAATTAGCTGGGCATGGTGGCCTGTGCCTGTAATCCCAGCTACTCGGGAGGCTGAGGCACAAGAATTGCTTGAACCCGGGAGGTGGGGGTTGCAGTAAGTTGAGATGGCACCACTGCAGTCTGCACTCCAGCCTGGGCAACAGAGCAAGATTCTGTCTCCAAAAGAAAAAAAAAAATTAATACCGTAAAGACACCAGGTTAATGTATAAAAATTTTCCCACGATAATTTTAAATGTGACAAAAACCCTTTTGAAGGTATCTGGCATTAAAACACATTAATAATTCCTTTTATGAAAGAGTTGTCCTGAGCCGAGTTCATAATCCTCTTACTTTCACTGTAAGACCTTCAACCTCTAAGGAAAGAAGCAGTGTAAGCAGAGAAATTAGCTGGGTTGTGATACACTCTCAAGTGACACATCAGCCACACCCACAGGGATCTTTGCAGCTTTGACGGTCCTCCAGAATGATGCCAGGTTGGGGCACAGAGGCTGGATACTTTTTACTCCTTCATCAACCAGTCATTGGATGTAGGCTCTCCTTAGAAGGGAGCATGACATTGACAAGGGCAAATGCCGAACAAAGGTGACATCCAAGGCTGTTTTCTGATAATAATCCCAGCAGGTAAGGGAATAAGTCTGCATCATTCCTGAAGGGGGAGGTGGAGGGCACATCACAACATCTACTCCAATGTACCCCTGTACAGTTCAGATCTAATTCTTTGTATAAATTCTGGGAGTCACTCCTTCAGGACACTGGTGCACTTCTTTTTCTGGAGGAAATTTAAAAAGAGAAAGTTAATAGAGTGAACTACAGCTCCACTGCTGCTGCAACTCAATTTATACTCACCATCTCCCTTCACATTGTCCATTCTTGATCTCCTTCACCTTCAGCTAGCATCTCTGCTGGTCTCAGTGGCTCACCCAGTGGCATGACTCAGTCCTGCATCCTTTAGAAATCTGAGCTCCTTGAGCACTGTGCACTTTGCAGACCATGGTTGCTGTCTAAAGAGACACTCAACTGACTCATGTAAGAACAAACATATTTCTTCCTGCCCTCGTTGTGAAGCATTAGCCTAACTTCAGTTTCAGTTAACCCTGACAAGATGATTACTTCACAGTGCCCAGGTGGCAGTAGCAGTTAGAGTTCAGTGTGACTCTTGATGTGTCCTCTGGTGGAAGGGTTCCTCCTTTGGAACCGGGACCCCTAGACACACAGAGCTCAGAGTTGTCGGGATGGGAAGCACAAACTCCTCAAATGGGTGCTGGGGAGCGGTGGTAAACAAGCCACTCCTGCTTCCACCCCTCAGTCCTTGCCCATGCATTCTACCTGTTGAGAACACAATCTCCTATTATACTTGCTGATTCAGAGTGTGCGCTGCATCCTGGAGTATGGTCGTCTGTCCTCTGAGCTGGTGCTTCAGCAGGGTAATCCTCTCAGCTGTGCCTTCAGCAGGAGGGGCCATTGCTCTTCCAGGCCAGCACCTTCTAGGTGGTAAAGTATGTGATATGGCCTCACCCTCACACCTTTTTTGCTGTGAAGTAGGGCTCTTGGTCTGATGCAGTGTTCTCTGGAAACTTATGCTGGTGGATCAAACACTTTGTAAGACCTTGGATAGGTCCAGTGAGCAGGAAAAAGAAACCCATACCAGGAATATATGTCTACTCTTGTCAAAATGAATCGCCAGCCCATCCAGACTGAAGGAGCATAATGTAGTCAACTTGTCAACAAGTGGTTTATTTAGTGATGATGCTACGTAAAGATGTAGAGTTGTTCTCTGTTGCTGGAACATTTGGCAATGGCAATAATAGATTGGCCAAGGTAAGCAGAAGTGGATGCTATTGGATCCATGTTGTTAGGCCCTGCTACCATGGCAACTCCACTCCTGTCCTCCTTTTGCCAGTGTTACATGGCCAATGACAGTGGCTAGTTGGTGTCAACTGTCTGAATTGTTTTTGGCTACCTGGCTGTGAAGTGCCTCTTCAGTGATGGGTACTTTCCAGTAGATATTGCATGTGATAGAAAAGTCTTCACACAATGTGCTCACTCCCATATATTCATCCACATGCCTCCTTGTTTCCAACCTTACAATCTTTCTCTTTACAGACCCCTTTCAGCTGGCCAAAACATTTTCCACTGCCTGTGTGTCTTGTGCCCTTGCGACAGTTCTCTTTGCTTATAAAGTTAATAACCTGTTGCACCAAAGTGCGGCCCATTGGCCACACCCAAGTCAGGCTATAAAGCAACTACAATCCGCTTCTGACTTACACCTACATGCTGAGCCATTCCATCTTTGAACCTCTTCTATCAGCTGAGCATGAGATGCCCCCTACAGCTGTGAGAGTGAACTCGGGGGCCGGGCGCGGTGGCTCATGCCTGTAATCTCAGCACTTTGGGAGGCCGAGGTGGGTGAATCACGAGGTCATGAGTTCAAGACCAGCCTGACCAACATGGTGAAACCCCATCTCTACTAAAAATACAAAAAATTAGCTGGGCGTGGTGGCAGGCACCTGTAATCCCAGCTACTCAGAAGGCTGAGGCAGGAGAATCGCTTGAACCTGGGAGTTGGAGGTCGCAGTGAGCTGAGTTTGTGCCACTGCACTCCAGCCTGGGTGACAGTGCGAGACATCATCTCAAAAAAAAAAAAAAAAAAAAGAGTGAACTTGGGGAGAGGCACTGGAACACATTGATAGGTGACATGGGGGTTCTGAGCCACCTGCTGTACAGCTTGCTTATACACTCTGGTCTCGCTTGGGCTCAATTCAGGATGTATCATTTTTGTGTTAAGATAGATTGCTGTGGGACCTTCCTGAACCTTAGTAGGTTTGACAGGGTTCAGCTCATAATGACAATTCTAGCCATAGGATAAGTTAATGTTCCATGATTGGGTGTTCCAACTCTACCCCATAGTATGACAGGAGCTGTTTCTGGATAAGTGTTTAACTGTTCTCTGCACATGACATGGCATTAGGAATCTGCATTGCCATTTCCGTTGGGTCTTGTCATGAAAGGAATCATCAATTGTGGCCCCTTTCCCATGATTAATGACGTTAAGACAATAGGGTCTGCTAACTTGCATGACCCTCATAGCAGGCCACTTGCCTATATCATCTGAAGAGCCCGTTCCTACTCTGGGGCCCACTCAGCTCTGGCAGCCTCTCAGGTCCCCTGGAATACAGGTCAGAGTAGTATGCCCAGGTGTAGGATATGCTGGCTCAGACTCTGAGCAGGCCTGTCAAACATAACAATTCTTTCTTTGTAGTGGGAGATGAAAGATACAATAATTTCTCCTTTATTTGAAGGCAATATTTTAGACCCCTGGATCCTAAAAATGCTACTGATGTAATAGGTCCTTGAAATCTGTGTAGGGATTACCTCCCATCTGGTAGGGCCAAAGCCTCCAAAATATTTGAGCTTTTTGTTTTTCTGGTCGTATTGGAATGATGTCCTCAGTATACTGAACCAGTACAATGCTCTAGAGAATGTTCAGATGATCCAGATCTCTCTGGACTATATTATGAGGGCATAGGAGTTAACACAATCCTGGTACTGAATGTAAGTGTATATTTTTGTAAGTTGAGTGCCTTAGGAAGCAGACTGAGACAGATTAAGGTGCAAGAAGTTTATTAAGAAGCAATCTTGAGAAGGAATGAAAGCAAAGGCAGGCAAGAGGAGAAGTTGGGCCGTGATGAGCTATAACAAAGGCCTCAGCTGACTACACGGGACCTCTGGAATGCGGCTAGTCCTTAAAAGTTGTCTTGAATTCAGGCAAGGGGACCAGGACTGTATGCTGCTGTTTCGACAAGTCATTGGTTGAGGCTGCTCTGGAAAGTGCATGTTACCAGCATGAGGCATCTCTCTTCAGCCAAAGCAATTCCTGAAAAGGGCTAACAGCTTGTCTCCCAGCAGCAGTTCCTGTAGCTGAGTGAGTGATCCCATTACTCCCAAGGTGAGGCCTGAATGGTGAATCACAGAATCCACTAAGCTTTCCTTCCTTCCCTGCCTCACTCCTTCTTTCCTTTACTCTTAATTTCCTGGGGTTGCACCCCCATTAAAGCATTAGCATGTGAGGTTTTGCCTCAGGCTCTGTTTTCTAGAAGACTTGGGCTAAAATAACAAAGAGTTGCATATGTTTGTTTTGGCTTCTATTTCACAGCCTTAAATGAATGTGTGCCAAAATGGAACTCTCTACGAAAATGGAATGTATAGAATTAACACCCCCCCCCACCACACAAACACACACACACAGACTTAATGCAAGATGGATTTGGGCTAAGACACTTGATTTCTAGTGGAGCTCAACTATTCGTGGATATTAGGAACATGGCTTGGTCTCTCAGATTTAGTTTCTAACTTAATATAGTGGGCATAATAATGCCTGATCTTTCCAGCCCCCAAATAACATCAAGTCTGAAAGAATATAATGTATGTCACAGCACTATGCACAATCACAAGATCCCTACTAACAAATTCTCATCTCCCCCTCATATTCTCTAGCAAAGGTACCGAATGATGAAGCAGTGATGCCATGCTCCAAGAATCGTTGTCAGGACCTTATGGTGCACAGTCCCTTACAAATGTGTTGATACTAGAATAGCAGGAAGCTACTAATTCAAATGTCTCTCTTGTCCCCTGCCAAATTTCGTAATGCTCTACCACTGGACACTGAGGTTCTTCTTTCTTGTGATCTCTCAGTGAAAGCAACAAGGCCATAGTGTTGCCCAAGTCCAAGCACCATTGCACTTAAATCTCAGAATGAGGCCTTGTAGAGTTAGGCTGGTAGACAGATCCCTGAGAATGAGACAGGCATCTTCTCTGTGAGGAAGAGAAAAGAATGGAAGGAGAGATACTGGGAATCAAGGCAATGAAAGGGGAAAGTGAAATGTGAAGTCAGGGGAAAAGATTTCACGTACTTCTTGATTTCAACAAGGTCTCGTCCTGATTAAATATAGGTCGAGATCTCTACCAAAGACTGCAACAATATACATGGCTGCCACAGGATAGCTAAACCATAGCTGCATACTCCTGCCTATGGCCACTTGCCAATCTACTCTTTCCGTCTTCTTCCCTCTGAAATCATCAATGGCTTCCCTCAGTGGGGCTTTCACAGGTCTCTCTTTTGACCTGTGTATGAGAGGGTGATGCTCACAATTATTAGAATAAAAATTTTAGTCCCTTAACTTGAGCCCTACAATTAAAAAGACCTTCATTCTGACTAAGGACAGGAAATGAGAACATGACCCACTCTTGCTTAATTAGCCCCCTCTTTTTCTGACAAGATTTAATTCTACAAGTCTTTTGAAATGCAGCATGTTAGAAATAAAATAACACAGAGTCCTCGAGCACTCTCAGGGGAGGAATGGAGAAAAGTCTTTGAAAAATAGCAAAAGTAATGGGAAAATAATTAAAGGAAACATCTCTGACATATTAAAACTAAAACAAACCATATGCTATGATAGAAAATTATTTCCTATAGCCCTGGATGAAGGCTGAAAGGGGAGGTCCAGTGTGGACCTAGAGGGCTAGTCTGGGCTAGCTCAAATTGGAAACTCAGGGCCTTATTCCTCCTGACTCGAGGGCTCTAGATGGCTGTCCTGCTCCTCAGTATCTGCCACTGAGCCTGCCATAGCACTAGTAGCAATTACTGGAATGTTGGGCACTGACCTACTTTCCAGTTTTGTGAACCAGTAAAGCTAATTTAGTGCTCTCTTTTCAGTTGCACAGACTTCATTGATTCTTCAGATAGATCAACGCCAGCCACCCTAGACTTAGGCAGCATTGAACAGTCACTAAGCAGTTCTGCTGTGGTGAACTGAATTGCATAGACAACTACATATGTGCTTCTACAGTGTATCCTTTATTTGATCTATGCATTCACTCTGAAATGAAATATCTCTAGGCAAATCAACAGAGTTACAAATGCCATTTGTAATCCATCAACTGAAAGGAAATGGCAAGATGCCAAGGAGCCGAGCCTGGGGCCTATCAGTGCTGGCCAAGTAGGTGGCTGCAAACTTCAGGTAATTTGAAGAACACCTAAATATTAATTCTGCTCAAATCAGAGAATCATAAAATATTTTAAGTGGAAGGGACCATAGAAATGATAAGGTTCAGTGTCTTCAACTCTCAGGTAGCCTGAGGGGGCGGAGCTGTTCACTGTACTCACTAGGGAGCTTTTTCAACATGTAAACAGGCTACCGAGACCCTCCTGGCTCAATCTGAGAAGATATTAGAGTCTGGGAGCGTTGTGGGGTGGTCTCACAAGTGTTTTAGAAGTTCATTGAGTAATTCTGATAAATGATTTCCCTCACCTCCCTAAAAACCCCACTATTTTAGAGAGAAAGAAACTGAGCCCCAGCAAGGTATGGTTTAGCAAAAACCACACATCTAGTAAGATGTAGAATTGGGACTCCCTACCCAGATGTTCTGATTCTGAATCCAAAACTCCTTTTATAAATTTACTTCATTCTGCTTAGAACGTAATCTTTTGTTAAATTTAGGGACAGGCCAGGCGTGGTGGCTCACGCCTATAATCCTAGCACTTTGGGAGGCCGAGGCAGGCAAACTGCCTGAGCTCAGGAGTTTGAGACCAGCCTGGGGAACATGGCAAAACCCTGTCTCTACTAAAAATGCAAAAAAAATTAGCCAAGCCTGGTGGTGCACGCCTGTAGTCCCAGCTACTCGGGAGGCTGAGGTACAAGAATGGCTTGAACCCAGGAGATGGAGGTGCAGTAAGCCAAGATTGCACCACTGAAATCCAGCCAGGGTGACAGAGAAAGACTCCATATCAAAAAAAAAAAAAAAAAAAAATTAGGGACTACGTGCATTGAGTAACCATCTGTTAATCTGAAAAAATTGATTATAATGTTCTTTCAAATATTAAGATTTTATATGCAAAGTGTGTTTCTTTAAAGCAGCATATAGTTGGGTCCTTCTTTTAATGCACTCTGACAATCTCTACCTTATATTTGGAGTGGCTAGACTATTTGCATTTTATGCAATAATAATATGGTTGGGCTTAAATGTTCTACTTGCACTAAACATTTCATTTTTTCTTCTGTTCCTGCCTTTTTAGGGGGTAATGAAATTAGTTAATTCATTTACCAGTTCTATTTTCTGTCTATTTCTTTCTATTATTGTTTTATTATCTGTACCTCTTTGCTGCTGCTGTTGTTATTGTCATTGCTTTTTAGTGGTTGTCTAGGGTTTACAGTACACATTGTTATTATTTCCACTTTAGAAAGTCAATTATCTTTTAAAGTAAAACATCTTAAGTAGAAAAAGTATTTTATATTTGCCTACATATTTTCAATTTCTAGTGCTTTTTCTTTCTTTATGTAGATCCAAATTTTCTTCTGGTATCATTTTTCTTCTACCTGAAGGGCTTCCTTTCATGTTTCTCATGCTGCCAGCAGCACTGTGCTGGAGCCAGCTCACGGAGGTTTGCAGGAACATTGTGTGTGTCTCTTCCATACTCTGTCTTCAGAAATGACAGGTTGTTAGCATAAAATTAGCCACTGAAGGAATATTTACAGCATAGAAATCACAAAATGCTACAAATCTAGGTTTATTTTCCTGGAAAGCTACTTGTTAAACATTTGTCATTGTGCAACTTAATACAGGCCTATTTGGTAGTAGATTATCTCAGCTTTCACGTGTCTAAAAATGCCTTAATTTCGTATAAATGTTTTGAAAGAAGTTCATGAGAAGTTTAAAGAAAATAGCGTAACTGTACATCATACTCAAATTGCTAAAAACTACTAATGAAAGAAAATATTTAAAGTTCCCAAAGTAAAACAGATACAATATATATAGAGGAGCAAAGATAAAAATGACAGCAGACCTCTCAGCAGAAACATTGTAAGCCTGAAGAAAATGGAATGATATCTTTAAATTATTGAAAGAGATAAACTATCAATCTAGAGTTTTATACATAGCAAAAAATTCTTTTAAAAATGAAGGTGAAATAAGGACTTTTACATTTATAAAAACTGAGAAAGCATACTAATGTCTAAGGAGGAATTCAGAAATATGCTCATGAATTTGACCTGTTTGGGGGTAGGCCATCCAAAAGTCTATGTACAGGAGGAACTGAGGTATCTTTTGGTAGAAAAGACATCTCAAGAGAAAAGGGAAGCAGATCGATCCAGTAATAAAGTTTAATGGTAACGGGGGAAGGGAGAGTGCTATTTTATAAGTGAAGTATAAAGTCATTTAGATTTTGCACAAAGCCAGGCCCTGATGGGATTTATATATGAAGCCAATAATAAAAACACAGACCTAACTGTAATTAAAAACTGAAAGATATGTTTTCCCAAAAATTCTATGAGACTTTATGGAGTAATCAAGACCATGTTGACACTCCCTTAACAGACTATAGCACCAGAAGAATTGAGAAACACTCTGTCCAAATTTACACCCATGTGATTATATCTAGATTTGTTTAAGAACATGGAAAAGACTCATCTAGAAATCACCCAAAATATTAAAGGTATCTTTGCTGTGGACTGAAATTCTGTATTAGCTGAGGGGGAAAGGCAAGTAAGAGCATTTTATTTGCTATGGCCTTTTGTCATGGATGTGGCTCGCATCTTTTGAATTCTCCTCCCATTGCTTGGAGTCTATCCCTTATCATGTTTCACCTCTCTGGGGTTAGAAGTCAGAAACTCTTTTTTAGCCTTTCTTGCAGCTTGTGTGCAAACAGTCAGATAAGCCATTGTGAAACTTCTATATAGAAAGGAACCAACCTGCGAAGCATGTACCAAGAGTAATTCATTGTCTGGAATGAATGACCACAGAGACAGGTGGCTAACCAAGATAGCAGAGATGAAAGTTCTGGAATCAAATGCCAAGTAGCAGTGAGGCAAGTTGTGTATCTGTGCTAAGTAGCAGCAGCAGCAAGATCTCTGTTGGATTAACCTCAGTGTGTGGTTTAGTCATTGTTCCTGGTTCCAGAGCTTCCAAGGCCCATTCTCTAGGCCTCTCAGAGAATCTGTGAGTTGCCTAATATCCTTTAATAAATTCCTTTACTGTGTAAACCAATATGATAGGGTTCTGTTGTTTTCATCTTAGATGACCAGCTGATGCAATTGGTCGTAATCATCCTGATACTCATGGTCATAATCAGTACCTCCTGAAACATTCCAACCCTCTCTCATTCCCCCAAAGTGCTAAATTTTCAGGATTCTGACTCTGCATACTCACATGCAGTCAACTGGAAGATAAAATATTTTTCCAACGTATTCTTGACGCAGCTCCAAAGAGCCTTGTAAACCCCACAAGACCTCAACTTGGCAAAGACTGAGTATCTTTCAAGGGGCACAGAGGAATATTGGATAAAAGGACTTATTCAGGCATATCTTCAGGAATCAGATTGTTTCATTTCCTCTCCTTAATGGAAAGAGGACCTCTGATGGGAATTGTATCATTTTCTTGTACACCAGGATACTTGGTGAAACCCCCATTCTCCAACATGAAGACTCTGCCACAGGTACTTGGAAGAACAATTAATGTTTTGGTCATCTAAGCAGCCACCAACAGTCTTTTCTACAATGTGCACTCCACAAAAACAGGAGAATAATTTATCAAAAAGTCAATCTGGAGTCCTCACTACAGAGCAGGAAGGGATTTTGACCAATCAAGGAATTGTGTTGAAAAAATTTAGCTATTCACGTTTATGATGTGACTTACATTCCTCCTCTGTTTTTAGAAATATAAAAAGATGTGTTCAACATGCAGGTTTTTCTTATCATGTTGAAAATAAGTTTGTAATTGACCATGATTTTATATATGTAGTGGCACAATAACTGGAATTAACATAATTTTATCTTTTAATAGCTTTTATCTCCTAGTGCTCCTGAGATTGTCTTTCTGTGATCCTTCTCCCCTCCAGTCGCCCTCTTTCCCTTTTCCAGCACTCAGTAAACCTTCTGCTTTTCACTACATTAGGCTCTGGCAGGAGAGGAGCAGATGCCTTCATGCATACAAATGTGATTGATAATGCATAACAACTAACTCTTTGACAGGTGTTGGCTTTCAACTTTAAGCCAAGAGGATGGATTGATGAGAGTCTGCCTGTGGATTTCTTGTCACTTCTGGACTTATGTTTCTTGTGAAGCTGCCGACCCTACTCACAGCTAGTACACAGAGCAATACCGTAGGTTGGCCCTGCCTGTCTACCTCAGAAGTTGAGTGTACATCTGCAGGTGTACATTTCCTTCTCTATGGTTTTCTTACTAAGAAATGTGTACAAGAAATACAAAAGATTGAAAAACAACAAAAGCAAGTCTTAGAGG
This sequence comes from Homo sapiens, assembly GCF_000001405.40. Classification (NCBI taxonomy): domain Eukaryota; kingdom Metazoa; phylum Chordata; class Mammalia; order Primates; family Hominidae; genus Homo; species Homo sapiens. The sequence goes on along the minus strand of NC_000007.14, from coordinate 117,940,111 downwards.
TCATTATAATGTCTGTGGCGTACGCTATTTTGTACACAGTATGCTATTTTGTACACATGCACCTTGCTGTGATATTATCTGCCTCCTGTAGGAACTAGACCTGCTGCAAGGGGCATTTGCCTTCAGGAGTGGTCTGATAGCTCTCGTTGGTGAGGACAGTGGCACACTTAGTGGTCAAGAAGGTGCACCAAACAGGGCCAGGAGCAGAGCCATTTCACCCACTGTGACTCTAGGCATGCAAGAACAGTTATTTGCATTTGTTGTATTGCCTAACAATTTCAAACACTCTCGTATACAGCTGCTTTGGGAGGACAGCAGGAGAGGAACTTTTTCATAGGGAAGAATTCAGCCCTTCATCCCACAAATATTTATTGATATCACCTATTTTATATGAGGCATTAGAAGAAGTACTGGGATACAATAGTACATAGAGTTGATAGGATCCCAGCTTTCCTGGAGCTAATTTCACCATAAAGAAAATGCGAGCAGTTGATCATGTTACAGCAGCTAATGTTTAGGCTCACGTTTGCTTATGACCCCAGCTGATTCCTTGTACCACTCACCCGTCACCCATCACATTCTGCCTTAGCCGTAATTTTCTTATTAAAAGCCTGTTTTCTAGCTCATTATAAATCCTACAGGACAGAGGTCATAGATTTTTATAACCACCAAGTCAAGGGAGGGGAAGGGAGGATAATATGTGAAAAATTCCATGGACAGCTCCCTGTAAAGGGAGTTGATGGCCATTGAATGAAATGTTAGTTTTTACTTCTAAATCATTCCACCTGGTCCCTCTAGAGTCATATGTTTGCTTTATGTAAAAGAAAAGTTACCCTCAAAAATGTAGCGAATTTGGACCTTCAAAATGTGTTTGGGTCTATCAAAATTGTTTGAGCAAAACATTAGAGTTACTTGTTTAATGTAGGCAAGACATAGATATCTAGCAACTACTATCTAAAGAAAGATGTCTGCATGCTTCACTGTGGTATATATGGTACAAAACACATGCATGTGCAGACTTCATTTCTCTGTAAGCAGGTGATAGTGAACAGAGCACAGATGCTCCATCATGAGGGAGGGCTAGCTTGCCTTCTGCATCTTTTCCTCAGCTCTCTTTCTGGCATCTGCCATATTCGTGTTCTATAACAAATTAGGAAATAATCTGATAGGAGTATTTTACAGTTTAATATTTACATTCAACAAACATTTATGCATCTATACTATGTGCCAGTAGCCATGATGCTGGTCACTTTTCATAAAGAGCTTCTAATCTGTAAGGGAGTTAGGAGACCAGCACACAAAAGTATCACTAGAAAGTTATTAACAAAGTGACACAGAAGCACATAAGAAAGGGATGAGAACATTGTTAGAGGCAAGTAAATTGGGTAATTAATAGATAACTGATTAATTTTATCAAACAATAATATATAATTATACCATGCTTTAGGAACTTTGGAAGTTGCTGGGAATATGGAAGAAAATAAAATAAGCTAAGTCCTTGCCCTGATGAAATTTAAATTCTAGTGGAAGAGACAGGTAACAAATAAGCAATTAAGTAACTAATGTCATAATATATTTTGTTTCCAACCAACCCTAACATGTTCTCTATGCCACAGCCCTCCTGAATTACTAGTTATGCTACACATGAGCCATCTTCATTCACATCTCTCAGATGATGTGTCCTTACACACAAAGATTTCCTATACTTCTAGTTTGACTTAGATGGTTCCCTCCCACCCCTCAAGGCTCAGCTCAAAAGTCAGTTGTCCTTCCAAGCATTTCCTCATAATTCCAGGAAAAGTCAACACTCTCTCCTCTGGATTGCCGTGACACTCAATACATTGGGCCTTGATTTTTGCAGATGTAGCAATGAAGTGCAAATATTTGCTTATATGCCTTTCTCCCATTAGACAAGGAGTCTCCCAAGAGAAGGGGCCACGGGTAATTTATTCTTTCCATGCCCTGTGCCTTGAGATTACCTGCACATGGAGATGAACTATACTGTCAACCACAGTGACAACAGTGACACAAACTAAAAGTACCAACAATGCACTGGGCATTCTGCAAAGTGAGTAAATTCCAAACATTCCCCTGAGTTATACATTTTATTATTCTCTTTATTTTATAAATGAAAAAACTTAGACCCATGGAGGTTATGTGATTTGCCCAAGGCCAGAAAGCTAGTAAGGGATAAATACCTGATGAATGACTAAACAAATTGATTTTTAGTGTATTATTAACAAAGAGCTCTGTGCACATGTCTGATCCATAAAACTTAGATATTCATAAGGCATTAGTATCTGCTCAAATCATTTTTTAAATTTAAGAAATATTGATTATCATCATTATCATAGCTGCAAAATCCAGTTACCTAGAATGTTCCATGAACTTGAACAATGTATACAACTTTAAAACTTAGAGAATAAATGATCCACATGAAGGAACTCATGCATATAATTCCCAGAGGAGCAATTGAAGATCTTAGCCTTTATTTTTTCCTGGACATATATTTTCTCCAATTCTCCAATTTCTTGAAGACAGCTGTTAGAAGGAAATGAGGCAAGCGATTTAGGGGCAGTCATGAGACTTAAAAATAGAAACTTGCATTTTTTTTAAAGCATGCAGTGTCTTTTTCTCTTTCATAGCACAATGTACTATGTCTGTGACCATATAGCTGATACTCATTACATCTGGGACAATCATCGTGGACACGGTGGCTCATTTTCATAGTTTACACAGAAAAGTTGAATCAGAAATATTGACATTGTCTGACTTATTCGATTTGCCTGTATTACAGAGGCCCAGCGTTCATTGGATTATTGTGCACTCTTGTGCTCATGAGCTTCAGTAGGGACTATTAATAAAGACCAAGTCTGAACATGTTTATTCCCATTGGTCTGAAGTACTACACTCAATTTGTTTGTAGAAGCTTTGAGATCTGTATAGTAAGTATATCATGAAAAGGTAGGATGTTCTTTTTTTTTTTTTTTTTTTTTTTTGAGACCAAGTTTCATTCTCGTTGCCCAGGCTGGAGTGCAATGGCAGGATCTCCGCCCACTGCAACCTCTGCCTCCCAGATTCAAGTGATTCTCCTCCTTCAGCCTCCTGAGTAGCTGGGATTACAGGCGTCTGCCGCCACACCTGGCTAATTTTTTGTATTTTTAGTAGAGACAGGGGTTTTGCCATGTTTGCCAGGCTGGTCTTGAGCTCCTAACCTCAGGTGATCCACCTGCCTCGGCCTCCCGAAGTGCTGGAATTACAGGCGTGAGCCACCACACCCGGCTGGATGTTCTTTTTACCAGTGTCTTCCTGATATCTGTTCTTTGCCATAAAATTATCTTTCATGATAGAAAGATGGAGAATAAAGCAAATTTTGACCATTCTCTCCAGGGTCATTTTAATCAGCCTACTGCCTTAGTATTTACAATATCAACAGCATTCATTTGGAAAAGTTCCTTTTAGTCATCCTAAAGAAATGAACCATTAGAAACGCAATCAGGGATCATGAGCTTGGGTATTGTAAACAGCCATGCTTTCAGTCTTGATATTTTTAAGAATATTCATATTATTGAACTAGAAAAATATTACTTATTAGCAGTATTAAACTGGTTATCATTTAAAATTCATATAATTTTTCCTTTCAGCTAAAAATGTGAGGTAATAGGGACTGAGCCATCTCTTGCAGGAATGAGGACTGGCCACACAAGACAAAGAGGAATCCGTTGTTCTGCCTCGGGTCCAACTTCAAATTAGTAAGAAAGGGCCCTAGAGAAGGGAAAGGTTCTTAGAAGAGGCATTTATGAGCCCCTATCAAATCAATAGAAGCCTCACAGGATTCCTCTTTGTTTCGGACAAAGCCAGGACCTGTAAGTCAAGGGCCACGGTTGTTGAGATTTTGCAGCCTTCAGGAGAATGTTTGTAAAATATGTCAGTTACATTTGTTATCCCCTGTTCATTTCTTATTCTGAGTTGTAGTGAAACCCTTAAAACTAAATGGGAGGCATGAAGGATGCTGGAGGGCTATGGAAGAGCCTCCAAGAGCAAGTGATGGCAAGGAAAGAATGTAACTGAGATCTATAAGGCAGACCACCAGAAAGGGAGGCTGGAAATCGAGCATGGGCTGATGCTGTGGTCCACAGGTGGAATTTCTTCCTCCTCAGGGAAGCCTCGGTTCTGCTCTTAAGGCCTTTCAACTGACTATATCAGGACCATGTCAACTATTGAGGATAATCTGCTTTACTTAAAATCAGCTGATTATACATATCAATCACATCTACAACATACCTTCACAAAAACACCTTGTTTCATGTTTGATTGAGTAGCTGGGTATTACAGCATAGCCAAGTTGACACACAAAGTGTCCTTCAGTTGGGTGCAATGGCTCACTCCTGTAATCCCAGCACTTTGGGAGGCCAAGGAGGCTGGATCACCTGAGGTCAGGAGTTTGAGACCAGACTGGCCAACATGGCAAAACCCTGTCTCTACTAAAAATACAAAAATTAGCCCAACGTGGTGGTGCGCACCTGTAATCCCAGCTACTTGGGAGGCTGAGACAGGAAAATTGCTTGAACCGGGAGGCAGAGGTTGTAGTGAGCTGAGATTGTGCCACTACACTCCAGCTGTGTTGCTCTACGCAACAGAGCAAGACTCCGTCTCAAAAAAAAAAAAGAAGTGTCCTTCATAATGCACCCCTTGTCGTCTTGGCACCCATACATATCTCCTTAAACCATACCTGGCCTTCAAATAAAGATAATAACAAAGTCATTCTTCCACTTAACTTGATAAAACTATCCTACATAAAACTGAAAACATAATAATCTTTTTCCAGAAGAGGATGCAAAGTCCTTGGGTGATACTCACTTTCTCTTTGATATCCTGTTACTTAAATACAGAGATATAAAGTTAACTTATTAATATATCTTATGTTAGATGATAAGGGAGGGAAGAAACATATATACATATATATACACACACACATATATATATAACATAAGATATATTAATATATGTATTATATATACATATATGTATGTATATATGTATATGTATATATGTTTCTTCCCTCCCTTATCTATATACATATACATCTATATCGTTATACATATACATTATATATGTGTATATATATATGTATAATCTCCTACTGGTTTTGTTTCTCTGGTGAGATGCTAATCCAGATGTTGGTACAAGAGTAGGGTTCTGGTATTTAAAATGATATTACATTTCCTGTAGCCTGATAAAGTATATCTATTATTATAACTTATGTTTCTGAGAGCTTTAAACTACTTCCCTATTTTTATGCAATCATTTTAAAGATTATGGCTAGATCTAATTTAGGTTTGTTGATCATTGAATCTAAATTCAAGAGATGAAAGCAACATTAATTCCAAAGGAGAAATTTTGTATTTAGAGGTGGAGGTATGAGGGGTATTTTATTATAATGTCCTTGTTATCAAAAAGTGTCTTTATTCATGTGTGTGCTGCATTGAACAGCAGTGTCTCTCAAAGTTTGTCAACTGGAAAAAAAAACTGAAACCTATTTTTCTGGAGGAAATTTGGAGATGTCATTAATAATTTATGATTGGCAAAAGGTTTTGCTTATTTGTTGAGGATTTGAGCTCTCTTTAAAAGTTCGTTTCAAAGGAACAAATACTTTGAATAATAATTATCTTATTAAATATTATCTGGGTATGTTTAACTAAACCAGGTGAGGAAAACATGGTGTTGTTTAATTGTCAATAGATTGATACAAGATTGGATCAACATTTGATGTGTATAATTTTGGTAGCAGAGGTTTTGTGGGTTTTTTGAAGTTCAGTTTTTCTCTCCAAAAAATACCTAAAATTGTGGAAGTGCCTTTGGGTAGAGGCTGGAATAATTTTGAGGACCATGATAGGAAAAAACCTAGATGGTGGGGTGCAGCAGCTTACGCCTGTAATCCCAGCACTTTGGAAGCCCAAGGCAAGCAGATCACTTGAGGTCAGGAGTTTGAGACCAGCCTGGCCAACATGGCAAAACCCCATCTCTACCAAACAACACAAAAATTAGCCAGGTATGGTGGTGCATGCCTGCAGTCCCAGCTACTCAAGAGACTGAGGTGGGAGAATCTCTTGAAACTGGAAGGTGAAGGCTGCAGTGAGCTGAGATCGGGCCACTGCACTCCAGCCTGGGCAACAGAGTGAGACCATGTCTCAAAAAAAAAAAAAAAAAAAAAAAAAAAAAAAAAAAGAAAAGAAAAAGAAAAGAAAGAGAAAAGAAAAAAACCCTAGATCATATTGAACAAGACTATTGATAGAAATATGGATTTCAAAGATGACAATGGTGAGGCTCAGAAGGAAGTGAAGAACGTCGTAGAGAAAGTTTTTATTGTCTTATATAATACATATACAACCATGAACAGAATATTGGTAAAAATATGAAATTAAAGGCACTGCTAGTGAGAACTCAGTCAGAAATGAAGAATATATTATTAAAAACTGGAGGAAAAGAAATTTTTTTATATAGTGGCAGAAACTGTAAGTCTGAATTGTGTTCTATAGTTGTGTGGAAAGCATAACTTGTATGCGATAAACTTGGATATTTAGCTGAAATTTCCAAGAAAAGTGTTGACAATGTGACTTTGTTTATTCTTGCTGCTTTTAGTAAAATGTGTGAGGAAAGAGAAATTTGATGTAGGAACTATTAAGCAAAAAGGAACCAGCATTTGGTGATTTGAGAGGTACTCAGCCTATTCATATTGCAAAGGATGCTAAAATTAGGAGATTCACTGTTGAGAATGCATGCTCTGGAGAGAATTCTAAGAGTTTGGCTGGACAACCTTTTGCTGAAGAGATTAGATGTGTTACTCATGAATTCACTCAATCACTCAGAAAGAGCTAGGAATAGAAACAGGATTATCCAGGAAAGATCTGTGGAGTGCCATGCTCTCTAATGGCATAGATCTCCATAACATACACAGGAGACCCACAGGGTTTTTGATACTGTTGTATAAGCAGAAACCCTGCCAGCACCGACTGAAGGGAAGAGAGGTAGGGCAAGTGAAAGAGGGCTGATGGACTTTTAAAATCCTATACTCAGGAAATGAGTTGATAGAACTACTCAGCTTAACTTTGTTTAAACATGAATCCTTCAAAAAATAAAAAGGAAGGATGACTCTGAGTGCAGCAGCCTGAGTACAGAGGCAGAGGCCAGAGGTGTAGAATCAGAGACTAGAGCTATAGGCACAGAAGTCTGCAGAGCTTCTGAAGGTCCAGAGGACAAAGGCTTGAGCCACAGAAACTGAACAGAACTTACCCTGCTGGATTTCAAACTTGCTTGGGGTCAATTACCCCCTTTATTCCTTCTGTTTTTTTCCCTTTTGAAATGGGAATGTCTATTCTATGCCTGCCCCACCAATGTATTTTGGAAGCAGATAACTTGTGTCCTAGTTTCACAAGTCCACCGATGGTTAGGAATTTTGCCTCTAGATCAATAATACTCACCCATACCTGACTGGAGGATTTAGATGATGACATTTGGAACTGTTTGAGCTGATGATAATTAGATAGGATTTTGAACCTAGAGTAGATGCCATAATGGGTCCAGACATTTGGAAGTATTGGGATGAGATGAATGGATTTTGTACATAGGAAAGATGTAAATTTGGAGGGGGCCAGGAGTGTAGTGTAGTTTGGGGTTAAATGGTGGCTCCCCAAAAGTTATGCCCATACCATAATACCTGAAGTCTGGGAATGTGATTTTATTTGGAAAAAGTGTTTTTGCAGATGTAACTAAGATCCACCTGATTATCCAGATAGGACCTAAATTTATTGACAAGCGTCCTTATAAGAGGCACACATAAGAGAAACAGAAAAGAGGAGGAAAGCATGTGAAGATGGAGACAAAGTAGATGGTGGCACCACAAACCCAGGAGTGTCAACAGCCACCAGGAGCTGGAAGAGGCAAAGAATGGGAGCCTCTTCCTAGAGCCCCTGGTGGGGATCAGCCCTGCTGACATTTTGATCTCAGACTTCCTGCCTTCGTAAGTGTGACAGTGTACATTGTTGTTGTCTAGAGCCACCAAGCCTGTGGCAACTTGTTACAGCAACCCTAGGAAACTAAAAACTCATCACATAGTAGAAAATGTGTATGGGGTTCCCTGATGCAATTTTTCAATAACATTCCAGAATATAGACAAAACAGTGATTTCCTCTTTTCAAAAGTCACCTTGGATCTCAAAAGCATTATGCTAAGTAAAAGAAGCCAGGCTCACTTACAACATGCTGTATGATACCATTAAGGTAACAGTATGCATTTACTCTGGAGAAAGCTAGAAAAATTATAGTGCAATCAGGAAGGGGGACATCACACACCGGGGCCTGTTGTGGGGTGGGGAGAGGGGGGAGGGATAGCATTAGGAGATATACCTAAAGTAAATGACGAGTTAATGGGTGCAGCACACTAACATGGCACGTGTATACATATGTAACAAACCTGCACGTTGTGCACATGTACCCTAGAACTTAAAGTATAATGAAAAAAAAAAAAGAAAAATTATAGTGCAAGAAAAGAGATTAGTGGTGGTCAGGGGCTCAGAGAGGAGGGAAAGGATTCTCCACAGAGGGGCGCAAGGAATCTTTGAAATTGAGGATGATGAATGTGTTCTGTATTTTGACCATGATGGTAGTTACACACTTGTATAAGTTGGTCAAAACTTATAGAACTGTATGCCTACAAAGGGTATATTTTACTGTCTGTACATTATACTTCAATAAACCTGACCTTAAAAGTTTTTACCTCCTGCTGTTATACGCTTATGTAACTCTTGTTTTGACTGCTTGGAGCAAGTAATTTGAAAACATATAAATATAAGTCTCACATTGATATTTTTATATAAGTGCAACAGACTTGGTTTTACATGAATTTTTTAGTTTTCTGATATGAATCTACTCACTCCTAAAGGGCAATGATTTTCCTACCCTTGAGGATATACTAAGAAACATACACATATTCTGCCCTTAGTTCCTAAATAAGATTTAAAAAAAAATGTTTTGCTAATTAAGGATATAACATCCAACAGTGACTACTTTGTTTAGTTTAACTTAACAAAATTTTTTTAGTATTTTATGTAGAAGGCAGTATGCTAAGTGTAGGGCTGGAAGTAAAAGTGGTTACAGAGAAAATTAAGAAACAATTCTTCAATACTTAGATGTATAAAATAAGAAGCAAGTAACTCTTAAAAAAAAAAAAAAGATTCAGGACAGGCACGGTGGCTCATGCCTGTAATCCCGGCACTTTGGGAGGCCGAGGTGAGCAGATCACTTTAGGTCAGGAGTTTGAGACCAGCCTGGCCAACATGATGAAACCTTGTCTCTACTAAAAATATGAAAATTAGCTGGACGTGGTGGTGCATACCTGTAATCCCAGCTACTTAGGAAGCTGAGGCAGGAGAATTGCTTGAGCCCGGGAGGTGGAGGTTGCAGTGAGCGAAGATCAGGCCACTGCATTCCAGCCTGGGCAACAGAGTGAGACTCTATCTTAAAAATAAATAAATAAATAAATAAATAAAATAAAAACAGATTCAAACAAAATATTTTAGGGCCTTTGAAGAGAAAGCAATTATAATCAGTAAAAGTATTTCTTTTAAATAGGTGAAATGATTTTTAAAATGGATAATGGATGATGTGAATTTCAATAAGAGGGGGCATTTCAGGTAGAAGGAACTGCTTGGGCAAAGGTGCAGAAATAGCAACGTACTCTGGGAGCAGTGAATAGTCTCTTTGACCAGAAATTAGAGTACATGCAGAGGAGTTAGAGAAAAACTAGACAGTGGATTTAAAATAGTGTTCTTCATGTCTTAAATACCAAGTTGAGGCATTTATACTTAACTAGGTGGTCAGTGGGGAGTTATTAATGCATCTATTTAGAACTTGAGAATTTGAAGAATCTGATAAATGCTATAAGTATATTTCTCTTAAAAAATGCACAGGTATATAAAATGTTGCATACCATCTCAGGAGGTTCAGACACCTGGAGCTCCTCCAGACTCTCCCCTCCCTGGATACCCCTGGATTTAAAATTTTTTGAGAAGGAGCTGATATGAAGGGAACTGTCATTTCATGTTTTTTTATTTCATTCCTCCATACATTATCAGAATGGAAAATTAGAGACAGTGACACAACTTAAACTCAAGTTTGAGTTTAAAGGTGTGTACATTAGAATTACCTACAGGGCTTATAAAAACATCAATATCTCTAAGTCTCACCCCAAATATACTGAAAGTCTCCAGTGGCGGCGCCATCTGAGATACATTTTTAAGCACCTACCTGATTGTGAAGCACATTTAACTTAGAAAAATGCTGATTTTGTGATGAAGAGGGCATTGTAGTGGACAGCCGTGTCTTTTGACTTTCCAGCACCACATGGAAGGGACAGGAAGAACTAAAGCACAAAACTGTAAAAGATATTTTTTTCAACTCCACTGATTCTCAAGATAATCCTGCAATCAGTACTAATTTAGGCCAAGCATAGGAACATCTTCAGCTACAGTGTGTTAGGACTGAATTTACCCTGGAGAAAGCTGTCTCCTTTACATTAGCCAGAACATTTAAGAGGAACATTAGCATCATATATATTCATAGTGTTGAAAGCTACTGATGGGTCCCAGCAGACTAAGATAAACAGTAATCATCCTTAACCTTAAATGATCACCTGCCACAGCAGCCAGAGAAGCTTCTGCTCTGTGTCTTCATCTGAGAAAAAGATCCACAGTTACACTCATACATCAGTCTATCTTCACAGGAAGGATTTTGCAAACTGACAGTAATTGGCAAGGTCCTGGAAACAGTAGGGTCTGTTGCTTATCAGGGTTTTATGGGATTCTGTTATCTTTTCATTTTTATAAAATAATCACCATGACTGTATCTTAAAAATACTATTGATCCCTGACTTTTTTTTTCTTCCGACATTCCACACATTCATTTCTAGTCAGGAAGACAACATTTTATGATTTAATATTAAACTACCAAATCAATGTATTATGCATCCTGATTATTTTTTAACCAAAAAACCAAAATAAGTGTGAGAAATATGCTTATTAAGGAGTTAGTTGTTAAATGAAGCTGCCATTTTCATTTTCTAGAAATTCCAAGCTTGCTCACTGAATATTTACATAGCAAGCACATATACTAATGTCTGTACCTGAGTTTTCAGTTCATCCAACAATAGTCATAGTACCTGCATAAACAGGTACTTTTATTCCTGTTTTATTTTATTCCTGTTTACATTTTATTCAAGTGTACAGTAATTCTTCCTTGGGCATAGGAGAATGTATACATTTATTGTTTCAGAGTTCCCAGTACCTCTTTTCCTCTTCTTGTTACAGAAACCTTTCTTCTTTTGGAGAGCTCCTCATTCTCCACTCTAGTCATAAGGATTTTTTTTAAGCTGTCAGTCACAGAACCCCACTCTGTCCTACACTAGACCAATTATGTTACCTCGCCTCATTAATGGGCCATCTGATTGACCTGAAAATGGGCAGTCAGAGTTTTCTCCAAATAGTTTTTTGAACTGGAGCTGGAGTAGACAGGCAGAGCTTGTTGGGAAGATGAAGAGCTCTCTCCTCTCTGATAAAGCTGAGAATGTGATTCTAGACAGGCTAGCAGTCATGTGCCCAGGCACAGTGAGAAATCAGAAGTGTACAGTAATGAAACCATCTCACAGAAGCAGGGGTGGTTCTTCAGGAATTCTTTCAGTTCTAAGAGCCACCCTAATATGCTTTAATACTATGCTGTTTAATATCGTAGCCAATGGCTACAAGCAGCTACTGAGCACTTGAAATATGACTAGTTCAAATTAAATTGTTCTGTATACGTAAAATATCACTCGATTTTAAAGACAGTATGAAAAAAGGATGTAAAATGTCTAGTTATTATAATGAACATATATCGAGATTATATTTTTGATATACTATTTAAATAAACTAAATTTTAAGATTAATTCCACCTATTACTTTTTATTTTTTTATGTGGCTTCTGGAAATTTTCATATTACATATGAGTCTCAAATTTTATTTCTATTGAAACAGCACTACTCTCTGGTGAACTTGTGTTTTTTGTTTTTCTGTTTCTGTATTTGTTTAGCTACTTTGGATGGGGTTTCTGCCATTGGCAACCAACGGAGCCCTAATTGATGCCATAATTGGTAACAGGACCACAGGCATTGCTGGGGACAGATCCAAAATGTGGAATTGTCTATGTTCAGGTGTAAATAGGACAAGCAGGTTTCCTCCACTCTGAATTAGAGAACTCAGTAGCAAAGCAATTAGTTAATCATTGTTCATTGTTTATTGTTATTCGGATCCTGTGCCTATTCCCACTGAGTTTAGAACTTTATGGGACTTGGTAGAAAGAAAACAGGAATTTGGAAGTATTGGTTACTTCTTGCCAACAATAAGTATGGCTTCAATAAGATGTTGCAACAACAACAACAATAACAATAGCAACAACAACAAATGGACCAAGCAGAGCCATCTAAAAGTGGAGCAGGAGAAAGACACAGCTCTACTCAAAAGGCCATTTTCTGCTACTGGACATGCTCTGGATTTCAAAAGACAACTCACTGCACCCAATTCCAGTAAATGTTCAACCAGAATGGAGAAACCAGATTCCCTAGATGTTTCCAAAGCACTTGTCCCTGGCAAACATCATTCTCCTTTCCCCAGATTATAAAGCATATTGGGAGTACCTGGGGCAGAGGGTCCCTTAACCTTGCCTCATCCCCAATGCCATCATGCAGACAGAGACCAAATCAAGTCCCATAACGATGGGTAGCACCACTGAAGAGTCACCAAGAAACCAAAACCATGAAGGGGCAGAGGCCCAGATTCAAACATCTTGCTCTGACATCAGTTACTAGCAAAAGGAATTCCTAAACAAGCAAACCACTGGGATTTTAAGGAAGTTCCATTGTCACCATCATCACTCCCAAACAAATAAACAAAACACAAAACAAGTCTGGCTGAAAGAGATACAAGATAACTCATAACTCATTGTTTAGGGCAATTTTTGAACCTCTATGTCACTGCCAACAGGAAATGCACAGCTAAGAAGTTGTCAGTCCTATGGCAAAGATGCCTGGCTGTCCACCAGAATTGCTTCCCTTCTTCAGGCATACCTCTAGTCTCCCTTACACTTAGTTGTGGTCCTTTGACTATCTTCAATGGCATATGAGAAGAAGCAATGTCTCCCTCTTCCAATCCTAGCCCATGAAAACTTTGCACATATTCTTCCTCATGCTCTTCTCTCTTCTAGTTAACAGGACTTGAGAAGATCACCAGGTCAACCTTGGAAATCATGCGTTGAAGGTGGTAAATACTACAGCCTTCCTGGACTATGATGTAAGCAAGATATAAACTTCTATTTTGTTGAACATTTACATGTTTGCTGTCACAGCCCAACCAAATATATCTCCCAATACATAAATCCTCCCAAACATCCTTGATGACCAAATCATGTAGGACGCTGAGCAAATTAAACCTTTTTGGTAGATAACAGTCAAGCCAACCCAAAGTGACTAACCTACTGGATTATTTATTTCCATAAAGGAAAGTCTGCAAATAGAGGTAAATTACTTACCTAGCAAGATAAAGATAGTGTCAGTAGGGGCTGCTTCTCGGGCTCCTAATCCTAATTTTAATTTTTTTTCCCATGGGTTACTGGGGAGTAGGTGGAGTTTGGTTACATGAGTAAGTTAGTGGTGATTTGTGAGATTTTGGTGCACCCATCACCCAAGCATTATACACTGCACCTAATTTGTAGTCTTTTATCCCTCACCCCTTTTCCACCCTTCCCTCCTGAGTCCCCAAGGTTCATTGTGTCATTCTTACACCTTTGCATCCTCATGGCTTAGCTCCCACTTATGAGTGAGAACATACGATGTTTGGTTTTCCATATCAGAGATACTTCACTTAGAATAATAGTGTCCAGTCTCATCTAGGTCACTGCGAATGCCATTAATTCATTCCTTTTTATGGCTGAGGAGTATTCTATCATATATATATATATATAATATATATATATATATATATATCAGATATATATACCACAGTTTCTTTATCTGCTCATTGATTGGTGGGCATTTGGGTTGGTTCCACATTTTTGCAATTGCAAATGTGCTGCCATAAACATACATGTGCAATTATCTTTTTTGTATAATGACTTCTTTTCCTCTGGGTAGATACCCAGTAGTGATATCACTGGATCAAATGACAGTACTACTTTTAGGTGAGGAATCTCCATACTGTTTTCCATAGTGGTTGTATTAGTTTACATTCCCACAAGCTGTGTAGAAGTGTTCCTTTTTCACTGCATCCACACCAGCATCAATTATTTTTTTATTTTTTGACTATGGCCATTCTTGCAGGAGTAAAGTGGTATCGCATTGTGGTTTTGATTTGCATTTCCCTGATCACTAGTGATGTTGAGCATTTTTTCATATGTTTGTTGGACATTTGTATATCTTCTTTTAAGAATTGTCTATTCCTGTCCTTAGCCCAATTTTTGATGTAATTGTTTTTTCTTGCTCATTTGTTTGAGTTTGTTGTAGATTCTGGATATTAGTCCTTTTTCAGATGTATAGATTGTGAAGATTTTCTCTGGCTCTGTGGGTTGTCTGTTTACTCTGCTGACTGTTCCTTTTGCCATGCAAAAGCTCTTCAGTTTAATTAAGTCCAAGCTATTTATCTTTGTTTCTATTGAATTTGCTTTTGGGTTCTTGGTCATGAAATCCTTGCCTAGGGCAATGCCTAGAAGAGTTTTTCCAATGTTATCTTCTGGAATTTTTATAGTTTCAGGTTTTAGATTTAAATCCTTGATCCATCTTGAGTAGATTTTTGTATAAGGTGAGAGATGAGGATCCGGTTTCATTCTTCTACACATGGCTTGCCAATTATCCCAGCACTATTTGTTGAATAGGTGGCCTTTCCCCACTTTGTTTTCATTTGCTTTGTCGAAGATCAGTTGGCTGTAAGTAGTTGGGTTTATTTCTGAGTTCTCGATTCTGTTCCATTGGTCTATGTGCCTATTTTTATACCAGTACCATGCTGTTTTGGTGACTATGGTCTTATACTATAATTTGAAATCAGATAATGTGATCCCTCCAAATTTGTTCTTTTTGTTTAGTCTTGCTTTGGCTATGCAGGCTCTTTTTTGGCTCCATGTGAATTTTAAGATTGTTTTTTCCAATTCCGTGAAGAATGGTGGTGGTATTTTTATGGGAATTGCATTAAATTTGTAGATTGCTTTTGGCAGTATGATCAGTTTCACAATATTGATTCTATCCATCCATGAGCATGGAATGCATTTTCATTTGTTTGTGTCATCTGTAATTTCTTTCAGCAGTGTTTTGTAGTTTTCCTTGTAGAGGTCTTTCACTTCCTTGGTTAGGTATATTCCTAAGAATTTTCTTTTCTTTTCTTTCTTTTTTTTTTTTTTTTTTTGCAGGCATTGTAAAAGGGGTTGAGTTCTTGATTTGATTCTCACCTTGATTGCCGTTAGTCTATAGAAGAGCTACTAATCTGTGTACATTAATTTTGTATCCGGAAACTTTGCCGAATTCATTCATCAGTTCTAGGAGCTTTTTGGAGGAGTCTTTAGGGTTTTCTAGGTATACAATCATATTATCAGCAAACAGAAACAGTTTGACTTCCTCTTTACCAATTCGGATGCCCTTTATTTCTTTCTCTTGTCTGATTACTCTGGCTAGGGCTTCCAGTACGATGTAGAACAGAAGTGCTGAGAGTGGGCATAGATGGCTTTTATTACATTGAGGTCTGTCCCTTGTATGCTGATTTTGCCAAGAGTTTTATTTATTTTATTTATTTTATTTTATTATTATTATACTTTAAGTTTTAGGGTACATGTTCACAACGTGCAGGTTTGTTACATATGTATACATGTGTCATGTTGGTGTGCTGCACCCATTAACTCATCATTTAGCATTAGGTATATCTCCTAATGCTCTCCCTCCCCCCTCCCCCCACCCCACAACAGGCCCCAGTGTGTGATGTTCCCCTTCCTGTGTCCATGTGTTCTCATTGTTCAATTTCCACCTATGAGTTAGAACATGCGGTGTTTGGTTTTTTGTCCTTGCGATAGTTTGCTGAGAATGATGGTTTCCAGTTTCATCCATGTCCCTACAAAGGACATGAACTCATCATTTTTTATGGCTACATAGTATTCCATTGTGTATGTATGCCACATTTTCTTAATCCAGTCTATCGTTGTTGGACATTTAGGTTGGTTCCAAGTCTTTGCTATTGTGAATAGTGCCGCTATAAACATATGTGTGCATGTGTCTTTATAGCAGCATGATTTATAATTCTTTGGGTATATACCCAGTAATGGGATGACTGGGTCAAATGGTATTTCTAGTTCTAGATCCCTGAGGAATCACCACACTGACTTCCACAATGGTTGAACTAGTTTACAGTCCCACCAACAGTGTAAAAGTGTTCCTATTTCTCCACATCCTCTCCAGCACCTGTTGTTTCCTGACTTTTTAATGATTGTCATTCTAACTGGTATGAGTTGGTATCTCATTGTGGTTTTGATTTGCATTTCTCTGATGGCCAGTGATGATGAGCATTTTTTTCATGTGTTTTTTGGCTGCATAAATGTCTTCTTTTGAAAAGTGTCTGTTCATATCCTTCACCCATTTTTTGATGGGGTTGCTTGTTTTTTTCTTGTAAATTTGTTTGAGTTCATTGTAGATTCTGGATATTAGCCCTTTGTCAGATAAGTTGGTTGCAAAAATTTTCTCCACATGAAGGTGTTTGTAGTATTCTCTGATGGTAGTTTGATTTCTGTGGGATCAGTGGTGATATCCCCTTTATCATTTTTATTGCGTCTATTTGATTCTTCTCTCTTTTCTTCTTTATTAGTCTTGCTAGTGGTCTATCAGTTTTGTTGATCATTTCGAAAAACCAGCTCCTGGATTCATTAATTTTTTGAAGGGTTTTTTTGTGTCTCTATTTCCTTCAGTTCTGCTCTGATCTTAGTTATTTCTTGCCTTCTGCTAGCTTTTGAATGTGTTTGCTCTTACTTTTCTAGTTCTTTTAATTGTGATGTTAGGGTGTCAATTTTAGATCTTTCCTGCTTTCTCTTGTGTACATTTAGTGCTATAAATTTCCCTCTACACACTGCTTTGAATGTGTCCCAGAGATTCTGGTATGTTGTGTCTTTGTTCTCTTTGGTTTCAAAGAACATCTTTATTTCTGCCTTCATTTCATTATTTACCTGCCGAGAGTTTTAATCATGAAGGAATGCTGGATTTTGTTGAATGCTTTTTCTGCATCTATGAAGATGATCATGTGATTTTTGTTTTCAATTCTGTTTATGTGATGTATCACATTTATTGACTTGCATATGTTAAACCATCCCTACATCCCTGGTATGAAACCCACATGATCATGGTAAATTGTCTTTTTGATATGTTGTTGGATTCGGTTAGGTAGTATTTTGTTAAGGAGTTTTGCATCCATGTTCATTAGAGATATTGGTCTGTGGGTTTCTGTTTTGGTCATGTCCTTTCCTGGTTTTGGGATTAGGGTGATACTGGTTTCATAGAATGATTTAGGGAGGATTCCCTCTTTATCTCTCTTGTGGACTAGTGTCAATAGGATTGGTATCAATGCTTATTTGAATGTCTGGTACAATTCTACTGTGAATCTATCTGGTCCTGGGCTTCTTTTTTTTGGTAATTTTTTTATTACCACTTCAATCTTACTGCTTATTATTGGTCTTTCCAGGTATCTGTTTCTTCCTGATATAAGCTAGGAGGGTTGTATCTTTCCAGGAATTTATCCATCTCCTGTAGGTTTTCTAGTTATGCACATAAAGGTGTTCATAGTAGCCTTGAATGATCTTTTGTATTTCTGTGGTGTCAGTTGTAATATCTCCTGTTTTGTTTGTAACTGAGCTTATTTGGATTTTCTCTCTTTTTTTGGTTAATCTTGCTAATGATCTATCAGTGTTATTTATCTTTTCAAATAATCAGCTTTTTGTTTCATTTATCTTTTGTATTTTTTATTGTTACAATTTCATTAGTTCTGCTCTGATCTTGGTAATTTCCTTTCTTCTGCTGGGTTTGGGTTTGGCATGTTCTTGTTTCTCTAGCTCCTTGAGGTGTGACCTTAGATTGTTTGTGTTCTTTCAGACTTTTTGATGTAGGGGTTTAGGGCTATGAACTTTCCTCTTAGCATTGCCTTTGCTGTATCCCACAGGTTTTGAAAGGTGGGTCACTGTTGTCATTTGGTTCAGAGAAGTTTTTTATTTCCCTCTTGATTTCATTGTTGATCATTCAGGAACAGGTTATTTAATTCCCACGTTTCAATACATCTGGAGTTTCAAATCAATTTGGAGTTGATTTCCAGTTTTATTCCACTGTGGTGTAAGGGGGTGCTTGACGTCATTTTGATTTTCTTAAATGTATTGAGGCTCGTCTTGTGGCCTATCATATGCTCTATCTTGGAGGAAGTTCCATGTGTTGTTGAATACAGTATAGATTCTGTGGTTGTTGGGTAGAATGTTCTGTAAATATCTGTTAAGTCAATTTGTTCCAGGATATAGTTTAAAACCATTGTTTCTTTGTTGACCTTTTGTCTTGATGACCTGTCTAGTGTTGTCAGAGGAGTACTGAAATTCCCCACTATTATCACTATTATTGTGTTGCTGTCTATCTCATTTCTTAGGTCTAGCAGTAATTGTTTTATAAATTTGGAAGCTCCAGTGTTAGGTGCATATTTATTTAGGATAGTGATATATTTAGGATTTTATCATTATATATGTCCCTCTTTGTCTTTTTAACTGCTGTTGCTTTAAAGTTTGTTTTGTCTTATATAATAATAGCTATTCCTGCTCACTTTCAGTGTCCATTAGCATGTAATATCTTTTTCTACCCCTTTACCTTAAGTTTATGTGAGTCTTTATGTGTTAGGTGAGTCTCTTAAAGGCAGCAGATAGTTGGTTGTTGAGTTCTTATCCATTCTGCAATTCTGTTTCTTTTAAGTGCAGCATTTAGGACATTTACGTTCAACATTAGTATTGAGATGTGAGGTACCATTCCATTCATCATGCTATTTGTTGCCTTGGATTTTTGTTTGTGGCAATTCCTCAAGGATCTAGAACTAGAAATACCATTTGACCCAGCCATCCCATTACTGGGTATATACCCAAAGGATTATAAATCATGCTGCTATAAAGGCACATGCACATGATTTTTGGAGTTTTTTAAATTGTATTTTTGTTTTATAGGTCCTGTGAGATTTATGCTTTAAAGAGGTTCTGTTTTGATGTGTTTCCAGGATTTGTTTCAAGATTTAGAGCTCTTTTTAGCAGTTCTTGTAGTGCTGGCTTGGTAGTGGCAAATTCGCTCAGCATTTGTTTGTCTGAAAAAGACTGTATCTTTCCTTCATTTATGAAGCTTAGTTTAGCTAGATACAAAGTTCTTGGCTGATAATTATTTTGTTTAAGGAGGCTAAAGATAGGGCCCCAATCCTTTCTAGCTTGTAGGGTTTCTGCTGAGAAATCTGCTGTTAATCTGATAGGTTTTCCTTTATAGGTTACCTGGTGCTTTTGCCTCACAGTTCTTAAGATGGTCTTAACTTTAGATAACTTGATGACAATGGGCCTATGCAATGATATTTTTGCAATGAATTTCCCAGATGTTCTTTCAGCTTCTTGTATTTGGATGTCTAGGTCACTAGCAAGGCCATGGAAATTTTTCTCGATTATTCCCCCAAATATGTTTTCCAAACTTTTAGATTTCTCCTCTTCCTCAGGAATGTCAATTATTCTTAGGTTTAGACATTTAGCATAATCCCAGACTTCCAGACTTCTCGGAGGCTTTGTTCATATTTTCTTAATCTCTTTTCTTTGTCTTTGTTGGATTAGGTTAATTTGAAGACCTTGTCTTCGAGCTCTGAAGTTCTTTCTTCTCCTTGTTCGCATCTATTGCTGAGACTTTCCAGAGCATTTTGGCATTTCTATAAGTGCATCCATTATTTCCTAAAGTTTTGATTGTTTCTTATTTATGCTATCTGCTTCATTGAAATTTCTCCCTTCACTTTTTGTATCTTTTTTTGTTTCCTTAAATTGGGCTTCAACTTTATCAGGTGCCTCCCTGATTAGCTTAATAACTGAGCTTCGGAATTCTTTATCAGGTAAATCAGGGATTTTTTCTCGGTTTGGATCCATTGCTGCTGAGCTAGTGTGATTTTTGGGGAGTGTTAAAGAACCTTGTTTTGTCATATTACCAGAGTTGGTTTTCTGGTTCCTTCTCTCTTGGATAGTCTGTGTCAGAGTGAAGGTCCAGGGCTCAAGGTTGCTGTTCAGATTCTATTGTCCCACAGGATGTTCCCTTGATGTAGTACCCTCCCCCTTTTCCTAGGGATGTGTCTTCCTGAGAGCTGATTGTTATCTTTCTTCTGGATCTAGCCACCCAGCAAGTCTACCATGCTCCAGGCTAGTACTAGGGTTTGTCTGCACAGAGTCCTGTGATGTCAACCATCTGTGGGTTTCTCAGCCATGGATCCAAGCACCTGCTCCAGTGGAGGTGGCAGGGGTATGAAATGGGCTCTGTGAGGGTCCTTAGCTTTGGTCATTTAATGGACTATTTTTGTGCTGCTTGGCCTCCTGCTGGGAGGTGGCACTTTGAAGAGAGCATCAGCTGCGGTAGTATGGGGAAGAACAGGCAGTAGGTGGGGCCTTAGATCTCCCAAGAGTATATGCCCCTTGTCTTCAGCTACCAGGGTGGGTAGGAAAGGACCATCAGGTGGGGCAGGGGTAAGCGTGTCTGAGTTCAGACTCTCTTTGTGTGGGTCTTGCTGTGGCTGAGTATTTGGGGTGTCTCTTGGGTCTTGCAGGAGCAATCCACTTCCTTCAGAGGGTCTGTATTTTCTCTCAGCTTTCCTAACTTATTCCTGCAGTCGTTCTGGAGCAAAATTTCACTATGCAAGCCTCCACACACTGCTTTGTCGGTCCAAGTGGGACCTGCAATCTAGTCCTGCCTCCCATTTGCCATGATCCCCCCCATGCAATATATATATATTTTTTTATTTAAAGCTTTTGTTAACCACTGTGTGATGGTTAATTTTATGTGTCAACTTGATTGGGTTAAGTAATGCCAAGATAACTGGTAAAACATTATTTCTGGATGTGTTTGTGAAGGTGTTTCAGGAAGAGAATAGCATCTGAATCAGCAGACTAGGTAAGGAAGATCTGCTCCCACCAGTGTGGGCAGGCATCATCCGATCTGTTGAGAGGCTTGATAGGACAAAAAGGCAGAGAAAAGGTGAATTCTTTTCTCTTTCTTCTTAAGTTGAGACATCCATCTTCTCCTGCCTTTGGACATCTGAACTTCTGGTTCTTGAGCCTTCAGATTACACCAGTGTTTACCCCCATCCATGTTCTCAGACATTCAGCCTCAAACTGAGAGTTATATCATTAGTTCCACTGGTTCTCAGGCCCTCAGACTCAGACTGCAATTAAACCACCAATATTCCTGGTTGTGCAGCTTGCCAATAGTATATAGTGGGACTACTTGGCCTCCATAATCATATGAGCAAATTCCCAACATAAATCTCCTCATATATATCATGTTGGTTCTGTTTCTCTAGAAAACACTGACTAATACACAAAGGTTTCTTTCACTGATTGGCATACTAGATGTGTTAAGGGTGGTTAAATTTCTTATTTGGAACATAAATAACAGGGATCACAAGAAACCATAAGATTTGACTGAGAAGAATGGACATTAAACAGATATCACGGACTCAGAGATGGCTACAATAACTGGGAAGAAATGTGGGTTGTGTTCCACTATGGAGAGAGTGAATGTATGTGTAATTGTAGGTGTAATCATTGCAGTAAGTTACAGGGGGGAATTTGGATAATTGTTTATAACTATAGGAGAGTGTACTTATATTTAGACACTAAGCTAGACAGAATCCAATCTTACAAGTCAAGATCCACATAAAATTTCTAGACATCACCAAGAAACAACTTATGGAAAACATGAAAGGACTAATCAAGGTTGAAGATAATATTTTTAGCAAATGTCCTTTTTTAAATGTTTTTTATTGTACTTGGGTACAATACATTGATATAATTATCTAGCTATATTCCAAAATGTTACAACGTGTGGTAAATTAGAAGCAAATAAAACAAAAGATGGATCTGTAGCACCCCTGTCAAACTAGTCTATTCAAAGTTTTAAGACATTTGGAATACAATAAGGAAAATCACACTATCACCATTGACAAGAGATTATTGGAGGCTTCAGCCTCTATTTGCCACTGTTTAATAAAACTATTTTCTGTTGCTTACATATTATATTAAATTTTTACAAAAGAGATATATATTGTCCCAACTTAAAAACAGTTTATTGTAGCACAATTATCATCAGAGATTCTAAAGAAAAACATCATCTTATAAAAAATCATATTCTGAACATTACTTTCAACAAAAATCAGGCTTTCTTATGCTTGAAGTAAAGCTAGCACCTTTCCTTGATTGGTACTTCAGGATCAAAGGCAGTCTCTGCATTTCTAATCTACTTTTCCCAAGTCTTCAAGACCTTGAATACAATTATCAGGACTGCTAAAGGAAGACCCTTCTGTCTTTGAGAATAACACAGTAAATAGAAAGGATAATGCTTTTGTTGTCAAGCATCTCTAAGGCTCCTTAATGAACATTCAGTTGGTAGTAGAAAAACTCAACGCATATCTATAAATCAATGTGAAGAAACTCCAGTTGTTTCCCCAATGTTCAGTCCTCTCAGCTTGAATTTGTCAGATGTTGCCACAGGATAAAATTTTCTGTTTAACATCCCAGACGCAACATGGTAGAGAGAAAAGAGAACTAAACAATAATTCTGATTCTACCTCATACTTACTTTGCACAAGTTAAGTAAATCTCTGTGAGTCCATTTGCTCTTCTATAATATAGAGATAATTTTTGCCCTCCATCCCTCATAAAGTTATTTGGATAAACATTAAAACTACTTATAAACTGCAGGTTGCTATACAAATGTGATATATTTTTGTTATATAAAGAAAGTGCTGTTGATATTTTACTACTTGGCACACTAATCAGAAGACTCATAAAAATAGCAGGCAAGATAACATGAAATAAAAAAAAAACATGGTTTTTGTTTCTGGCAATTTAACAGATGAGATACACTGCACAGCCATCCCAATTGAAATAATTAAAATTTTGGATAAATCATCTAAAAAGAAGTATATTTTAAATGTATCTTGCATAGAAGATAGAAATTCTGAGCAGATAATTAGGAAATATAAAAAAGAACAAAATAAAAATTTGAAACCTGAAAATTACAGTATCTGAAATTTAAAAATTCACTTGGACTCAATAGTAGAATTGAGAAGAGGAAGGAAAGAGTAAGGGAATTTGAAGATATATTAATAAGAATCAAATAATCTGAAGAATAAAGAAGAAATTATTGTATCCCTTGATATTGGAACAATATTGTCCCACCAGCCCCTATGGCTCAAACTATTTTTATTTCAATCATATGATTAGAGTCCCTGAAAAAGAGGAAGTGGTACAAAGGAGGGATTGGTACAGAACATTTGAAGAAAAATCACTCAAAACTTCTCAAATTTTGGCCGAAGCCATAAATTTACAGACTTAACAAGTTCAACAAATTGGAAGCAAGATAAACTCAAATAAAGGTATACCCAAATAGTATACATCATGAAACTGCTGAAAACTAAGACAAAGAAAAGATATTTAAAGCCGTCAGAGAAAATTCCACATTACATTTAGAACAATTCGGATGACTATGGATTTCTCATTAGACAACAGGCTAGAAGACAGCGGAACAACATCTTTAAAGTGCAACATAAAAAAGAACTATCGGTCGAGAATTTGACAACCAGTAAAAATATCCTTCAGGAATGAAAGCTAAATAAAGACATTCTCAGATGAAGGAAAACTAAAAGAATCCATGGCAAGCCAACCTGTTCTGAAAGAATTACTAAAGGAAGTTATTCAGGCTGAAGGTAAAATGATTAAGGAAAAAGGAGCCTTTAGAAATGAATAAAGACTAAAAGAATTAGTAAATATCTGGGTAAATATAACACACTGTGTTTCTTCTACTTTTAATTTCTTTAAAATATCTAATACTGTGTAAAGCAAAAATTTAAACATCACCTGGAGAGGTTTCAATATACATAGATATAATGTATATGACAACTAAAACATAAACAGGATAAAGGAAAAAGCCCTATATGGTGGTAAGTTTCTTATGCTATACTAAAAAGACAAGATATTAACTATGTATAGACAGTGAAAAGATATATATACATAAACATATAAACATGTATATTTAAATTGCTAGAGCAAATATTAAATAAATACAAAGAAAGATAGCCAAAAAGCAATAGATGAGTTTCACTGGAATAGTACAAATAAATAAATAAATAAAAATTAATATTATGCAAAATAATGCAGAAAATGAATAGCAGAAGAGAAAAACAGGGAAAACAAACAAGAAATGGTAGACCTAAGTTCTACCATTTTGTCAATAATTACTTAAATGTAAATGGCATGTACACAGTAATTAAAAGATAAAAATTAACACATCGAATTTTTAAAAGAAGATGAAGTATATGCTGTCTATCAGAAAATCTACTTTAACTATTATGATATGGGTAAGTCAAAAGCAAAATGATAGAAATACCTAGAAAATTCCAAAATATTTTGAAATTGGAACAATTCTATATTACCCATGGGTTAAAGAAGGAGTTTCAAAATACATTTGAAAATATTTTGAACTGAATGAAAAATAATACAACACATCAAAAGCTGTGGGTTACAGCTAAAGTAATGCTTAGAGAAAATTTCTAAAGTAATATTTAGAGGGAATTTTATGGCAATAAAATCTTGTATTAGAAAACAGGAAAGAGTCAAATCAATAAGCTTCTATCTTATGAAACTAATAGAAGAGCCAATTAAACACAAAGTAAACAGAAGAAAGGAAATAAAGATAAAAGCAGAAATCAGTAAAAATGAAAAAAGAGGAATAAAGAAAATCAATCAAAACAAGTTTTCTTTGATAAGATAAAATTAATAAGCTTTTAGACAGACTAACCAAAAATAAAAGAGAGAGAGAATATACCAATAACAGGAATAAATAAGCTGATATCACTATAAACCATAAAGACATTAAAAGGATAATAAGGGAATGCAAGAGCAACCCTATAACCATAAACTTCACAACACAGATGAAATGTACCATTTCCTTGAAAGACACAAATTACCAAAACTCACTCAAGAAGAACTAGATAGCCTGAATAGTCATATTAATTAGAGAAATTTAATTCATAGCTGACAACCTTCCAAGAAAGAAAAACCCAGGTCCAGATTGTTTTCGTGATGAATTCTACTAAACATTTAAGAAGAAAAATGACCAACTACACATAATTTGTTCCAGAAAAAAGAAGAAACATTTCCCAATTCATTTTATGGAGCCAACATTGCCCTTTCTATACAACCTAGCACTCCCATTCCTAGATATTTACTCAAGTAAAATGAAAATCAGTGTTCACTTAAAATCTTGTACCTGAGTGTTTATAGTATCTTCATTTGTAATAATCAAAAACTGGAGACAACATCGATGTCCACCAACTGTTATGTGCATACAATGGAATACTGCTAAATATGCAAGATTATGGATGAATCTCAAACATATTATGCTAAGCCAAAAAAAAAAAATCAGTCTCAAAAGGCTAGACAGTATATGATTTCAGTAGTTTCCAGGGGATTAGGGTGAGATTGGATATGACCATAAAGGGTGACCATAAGGTAATGGGAAATGGAGTGGGTAATCACAATCAAGACACAAAATGTGTCTTGATTGTGATGGTGGTTACCCAATTCTATGCATGTGTCAAAAGTCATAGGACTGTATACCTAAAAAGTATGACTCTTACTATGTGTCAATTATGTAAATCTCACCAAAATGTATAAAGATTAATATATATAATTTAAAATATATTTAGGCCAGGTGCAGTGGCTCACGCCTGTAATCTAAACAGTTTGGGAGGCCAAGGTAGGCAGATCATTGGAGGTCAGGAGTTCAAGACCAGCCTGGCCAACATGGTGAAACCCTGTCTCTACTAAAAATACAAAAATTAGCTGGGTATGGTGGTATGTGCCTGTAGTCCCAGCTGCCCCAGAGGATGAGGCAGGAGAATCACTTGAACCTGAGTGGCGGAAGTTGCAATGAGCCGAGATCACACCACTTGTACTCCAACTGGGGCAACAAAGAAAGACTCCATTTAAAAAAAAATTAAATAAAAAATCAAAAATATCAATCAGTGTAATTGACCACCTTTGTAGTTTAGAGACGACAAACCATACATCATCTAAGTACTTGCAGACCAAATTTAATAAAATTCAGCAAATTTGTATTATATTTTTGCAAATTGGAAATAGAAGAGAATTATATTAGCCTAAGAAAGAGCATCTACAAAAAGCATATCACAAGAATCCTACTGAATGGTGAACAGTCAAAATAGTTTATTTTAAGATCAGGAAAAATACAAAATACTCACTATCACCCCACTTGTTGAACATTACACTGTAGGTCTTTGCTAGTACAGATAGAGAAAAGTAAAAAAGAAGAAAAAGGTATAAGAAATGAAAGGTGTGTAACAATGAAGAAATTCCAAAGAAAATTAAAGCTATACCATTACAACTAGTAGAGATTAGTAAGGTTTACTAAATAAAAATGAATGCATAAAAGTCAAATGCATTTCCTATACATCAGCAGTAATCAGTAAGACAAATACAATTTTAAAAATTACATCATTCACAATAGCAACAAAACATAAAATACCAAGAAAAAATGATATAATTTTGCACAATTTTGTACCATATTTTTCTAGATACTTTATGTTTTGGTACAAAATTATAAAATTTTATTGAAAAATATAAAATATATATAAATAGATGGAAAAATGAATATAATTCACTTGAATAGGAAGACTCAACATAATCACTATGTCAATTTTTTTCTTTCTTTTTTTTTTTTGAGATGAAGTCTCACTCTGTCACCCAGACTGGAGTGCAATGGCACAATCTCGGCTCCCTGCAATCTCCACCTCCAGGGTTCAAGTGATTCTCCTGTCTCAGCCTCCAGAGTAGCTGGGATTACAGGCACACATCACCATGCCCAGCAAATTTTTGTATTTTTAGTAGAGATGGGGTTTCGCCATGTTGGCCAGGCTGGTCTTAAACTCCTGACCTCAAGTGATCTGCCCACTTTGGCCTCCCAAAGCACTGGGATTACAGGCATGAGCCTCTGGGCCCGGCCAAGATGTCAATTGTTTTTAAATTTAGTTCAAATCCAATTTGGACTGCAATTCCAGTCCAAATCTCAAAAGGATTTTTTGTTGAAATTGATCGGTTTATTCTAATATGCATTTGAAAGGACAAAGGACAAAGAATAGCTAAACATTCCTAGAGAAGAAAAATAGAGCAAGGAGGGAAGACTTATCCTGTCAGTATAAAGATTTAGTATAAAGCTATAGTAGTTGTTAACATGATATTGTACCATGGTTGGAAAAAAATAGGCCAGAAACAAACCACAAATATATAAATCCTCTATTTGTGACAGAGCAGGCTTTGTACATCTGTGGAAAAAATTGATTATTTAATATGATAGTGCTGGAACAACAGATGAAAAAGTGAAATTGTATCCTCACCTCGTACTATACATAAAAATCAGGGTGGATTAAAAACCTAAATGCACATAAGAATATGGTAAAAACTTTTAGAAGACCATTTAAAAATAATTTTATAACCTTCAGGTAGGGAAATATTTCTTAAGTAAGATGAAAAAAGTAAAAATCTATAGGAAGAAGATTGACAAATTTGACTGACTCATAATTAAGAACTTAGTTCATCAAAGGACACCAAAGAAAGGGAATAAAAAGACAAGCCACAAGCTATGATAGATATTTTCAACACCTAAATCTGGAAAGAATTATCCAGAATATATCTTTGTTAAAAATTCATATAGAACAATAAGTAAAAGACAAGTAATCAACTGAAAAAACAATGAGCAAAAGACTTTGACAGGCATGTCTCAACAGAAGAAATGTAAGTGTCTTTTATGAAACATTTGTATTATATAATATAGAAAAAATCTGGATTATATTTGCATATAATATATAAGACTTATGTGTCCCATTAGGGAATTAAGAAATGCAAATTAAAACTACAATGAGAATCCATTTCAAACCCACAAGATTGAAAAAATTTTAAAGTTGAACAATTCAATTTCGTTTGAATTTGCACCCAGGAGTGGGTTGTTGGATCATATGGTAATTCTATTTCGATTTGATTTCTATTTTCTTGATGATTAGTGATGCTGAGCATATTTTCACGTGCCTGTTGGCCATTTGTATGTCTTCTTTTGAGAAATGTCTATTCAAGTCTTCTACCTGTTTTTCAATCAGATTATTTGCTTTTTTGCTATTGAGTTGTTTGGATTCCTTATGTACTCTGCATATTAACCCCTCATCAGAATCAGTATGTTGAGGAAATAGCTCTACTCCCACGTTTATCACAACACTATTCACAATAGTTAAGATATGGAATCAACCTATGCGCCCATCAACAGCTGGATGGATAAATAAAATGTGATATATATACTCACTAAAATAATATGCAGCCATAAGAAAAAATGAAATCCTGTTGTTTGCCTCAACATCAATGAAGCTGGGGAGCATTATGTTAAGTGAAATAGAACAGGCACAGAAAGACAAAGACCATATGATCTTACTCATATGTGTAATCTAAATAAATAGATCCCTTAGAAGTAGAAAGTAGAATAGTGGTTACCAGAGGCTAGGGAGAGGAGAGGAAAGAGAGTATAGAGAGACGTTGAGCAACAGGTAAAAAGCTAGTCAGATAGGAGAAATACGTTCTGGTGACTATGGTTAAAAATATTGTACTGTATATTTCAAAGCAGCTAGAAGAGAAGATTTTTGAATGTTCTCATCACAAAAAACTGATAAATGCATGAGGTAATAGATATGCTAAGTACCCTGATTTTATTTTTATGCAATGTATACATGTATCAAACATCACCTGTAGCCCATCAATATGTATAACTACTATGTGTCAATAAAAACAAAATTTTAAAAAGTTTAATAATTCCAAACCTTTGTAAGGATACAGAGCCAGGAAAACTCCATCCACTGCTAATGGTAACATGCTATAATTTATTAGAAAAAAAGTATGGCATCACCTAGTAAATTTGAATGTGCCTAGGGATCTATACACCTTTTCTTTCCCTTTCTCTCTCTGACTCTTTTTTCCTCTCCCTTTCTCTTTTAAGCACACACACACACACTAAAGGGTGACAGGTTTCTTTTAAACAAAGTATCAAATGTACACAATAGGTTTATATGTGCATTAGTTTTTAATGATACCAAAATGCCGTAAGAAAGATATTCCTTTTTTTTTTTCTATCACAGGAAGGCTGGGGCACAGACTTACTAGTAATGAATGATAGTGAGCATGTGGAAGCTGTTTGTAGACTGTGTGATCATTTATTTGGAATAACCAAAAGGCTTCTACCTTAGTATTCAAATCAGTGTTAGAATTCAACATCCAAATTCAGATTTTCTTTTTATTTTTAGTAAAGCAGAGATCTACACCTTTAGGTAGAGGAAGTCAGGGGGAAAAACAACATCATCATTTTTGCAACTATTTATTGAGAAGTTACTATGTGCCAGGCCTGTGCTATATATTTTATGCCCAGGCTTATAGATGCTTAAGAATTTGTGCACACAGCTAGGAAGTGACAGAGTGAAACTACCAACTCAAACACTTTGTTTCCATAGGCTTCTCTACCGTTCTACATCTATCTAAAAGACAGTAACAGCATCTTAAAATAGGCTTGCCTTTTTATTTATTTATTTATTTTGAGACGGAGTTTCACTCGTGTCACCCAGGCTGGAGTACAATCGTGTGATCTCAGCTCACTGCAACTTCTGCCTCCCAAGTTCAAGTCATTCTCTTGCTCAGTCTCCCGAGTAGCTGGATTACAGGTGCAGGGCACCTCGACCAACTAATTTTTGTATTTTTAGTAGAGATGAGGTTTCACCACGTTGGTCAGGCTGGTCTCGAACTCCTGACTTTAGGAGACCAGCCTTGGCCTCCCAAAGTGCTGGGATTACAGGCGTAAGCCACCGCGCCCAGCCTTGCCATTTCTTAAATAAAGAAAAACATCATGAAGATCCATGAAGTTGAAATTTCCATGTAAGTTCTGTTTTTCCTTGTTTCTAGTATTTTTTAAGAAAAATTGCTGTTTATTAGTTTGGATCATAAAACTGCTGTGCCCAACTTTGTTAATTACACTACAAAGATTTATAGTACATGTTTGTATTATCTGTATTGAGTCTGAATGTATATCCTACCAACTAAGATTGCAATTCCAAATTGTATGAACATAGTTCCATAGCTGTCAAAAGCTTTTCTAAGACTTCACAATTCGATGTCATAAATTGCCAGATAGCCTGCTTCTAGAGTTTAAATAGATTATCTCCCTTTGAACTTTTATAATATCCAGTTTAAACAGTGGAGCTTTAGCTACGTAGCACAAAAATAATATTGATAGACCTCAAATGCTATCACTCTCCTGTAATTTATCTACATTCTGCTTATCACCTAGGCATTTCCAAATATGCAGATTGATAACACATTATAAGGAATATAGTTGGGTGCCTTAAGCATCAACAAACTGTGGTTAGTGGGTCAAACCTGGCCTGCTGCCTGTTTTTATAAATAAAGTCTTGTTGGAACACAGCCACACTTATTCATTTACTTATTCTGTGTGTCTACTTTCACATTACAACAGCAGAATTGAATAGTTGCAATAGAGGCTGCAAAGCCTCTGCAAAGTCTAAAATAGTTGCCATCTCTCAGGAAAACTTTGCCAATGCCACTTCATCTGAAATATCTCTGTTTTCTTGGGTTTTGCTTTGTTTTGTTTTTTTATTTCTCAATAATATCATGTGGAAGGAGAAAACTTCCTTCCCTGCTCCCTTCATTTTCTTTGGAGCATCTAACCTCTCTGAACCAGTTATTACATCTTACAAACTGGAATCAACATCACTAGCTATAAAAAAAATGCCTACTTTATAAAGTACATGTAAAAGGCAATGTGATAATAATGAGATACATGCGATTCTTATTAAACAGAGTGTGAGGTGATTCAAATCAGGCTGGAATAATTTTCCACCTCACAAATTTTACCCATGCTTTGGATGACATGGGCCGCTAAGGATTGCAGGCAAGGTTGTGGAATCAGACCTGGGTTCCAGCCTTGACTTTACCAATTATAAGCTGTATGGCTTACCCTCTGCCTGAATCCATTTCCTCCTCTGTTACTTGGAGATGATAATAATAGTATCCATTTGCATGGGTTGTTAAGAGGATTAAATCCTATTAAGACATCGTGCTTTGCCTTGTGCCTGGCACATGGTAAGTCCTCACATCCTGCCATTGGCAACTTTAGAAGGGAACTGAAGAGACTTAAAGGAATGCATGAAGAAGGGAAGAAAGAATTATCACTAAAAGAATGTGTGCATTTTTCTGCTTTATTGCCTTACATTTCAATTTCCAGAATTAAAAAAAAATTATAAACAAGAGCAAATGCTTCAAATATGAGATGCTTTCATAACTCAAATTATTTAGAAACTTAAGAATTTGCTTATTAATTTGAGTAAATGGAATCTGTGAAACCACAAATGTCTTGCTCATGCTTAGGGCTGATTTCAAACTTCACAGATCCTGAATGAGATATGAACGCATCCTCAATGCATGTGTAAACATAAGCAATGGCTGATTTCATAAGCTCAGGAAACATATTTACTTTCAACTAGAAATGAGCTCTTGCTTGTAAAATTGGCCTGAAAACCCATTACTGCAATGGATTCATTTTCATTTATTTCCCAACAGGTAATGGAGTTTATCTGGAGGAGTGAGGGATAGTGCTTCTCTGAGGTTGGGTATTGTCTCATTTACATGCAAATATTTTTATCTTCATCTTAGGAAAAAATATAAGCATGCTCTATAAAGTCTGTCATGCACCCAGAATTTAATTAATGATGTGTCTATGCAGAATCAAGATGAAAAGCTGAAATGAAAAAAAGTTTATGCAAGTATATTTGGCATCACATAGTTTCAAAGCCTTCAATTGTTTTAGTAATTTCATTCATTTATTCATTCAGTTATCCACTGATTTAATGAACATTTATTGAGTTCCTACTGTATGTTAGACACTTGTATGTGATACAAACACGTAAGTGGAAAAACATAACTTTGCCTCCAAGAAGTCTACAATGTAACAGACAGAAGCAAACAGAAAGGATCCTTCTGTTCTGATGAAAGTAAGGCTTAAGTACAATGGCAGCATGTATGCCCAGGGACATAAAGGTAAGCTTCACAGACAGATAGTTCCTAAACAATCCTTGAAAAATGAGCAGACATATGCTGAGGGCATGCCAGGCAAGGAACAGCATGCACCACATCTAGCAGTGTGCAGACCGCGGAGTGTCTGAGGCACTAGAAGTGGCCCAATATTGGCAGAATGTGAAGTGTTAAGTGGGAGGGGCTAAAGGTACAAAGAACTGGTGAGAGTGGAGGCTGGATAGGGGCTTGATTATGGAAGACTTTGTCAAGCAAAACACTGCAGATTTTATCTGAAGAGAATAAGAAGTCACTGCAGAATTTTGAGCTGGAGAGGGAGTAATCAGATTTTCACACTGGAAAATTTCAGCAGCTTTGTGAAGATAATGAGATAAGGCTAAAAGTGGAACAATCAGAAAATGCCCTATTTTGACAAATGGGCAAACAATGCCATTTGCGTGGGCGTGAGTCATTCCAGTGACCATGGAAACAGATATGGGGGACAGAATTCTTTAGGAGATGAAATCAATGGAGCACAGAGATTGACAAGATGCAGGATTTAAAGGAAAAATTGTAATCTGGGATGATACCCTCGTCTCTGGCTTGGGCAGTGGGATTAAGTGTCATTTATAAGATAAGAAATTCAGGAAGGTATTTATGGAAGCAGGATGTGAGACTATTGTAGATGATGAATTCTAGCTGGGCCACCATTGCTATGGATTATCTAAGCAGAGATGCCTGGTAAACAAACAGAAAACAACATTTGAGGCTCCCAAGAAAGAGATCTGGACCAAAGTTCTAAATCTAGGAACTATGGACATTTAAGTGATATTTGATGTTGTAGGTATGAATGAATACATGCAAGGAAAGTATACTGCAAGAACAGAGGAAGAACTAAAATGGAAAACTGAAAGGATTCAGTGACCCCCCACCTGCCGATGCAGTGGAGAGAGAGCAAGAAACTTGATTGTGAAGAGAAGATCCGGGGGAACAAAGAATGAGAAGAGGCTTATTGTGGAAAGGAGAAAAAGAAAGAATGAATGAATGATGGGAGAGAAAAATGAAAAGGGAGAAGTTGAAGGCTAGGAAAAAAACAGCTATTTATTAGATCAAGTCCTATGCATTCTGTTTAACTCTTTAAAAAAGTAGATACACTCAATTTAAAAATAAACATTTTCATGGAAAAAAGTAGTGGGTGGTTCTACCTGATGTTAAATAATTATATAGAGTGGATTCTCACTTTTAACTGGATTTCTTTGCCTGATATAAATAGCATTTTTAAGTTAATTTTGGTGTGAGGTGATGAAAAAGCTAGAGTTGATTTGCTAAACACCAGGAGCATTTGAATAGTAGAGTCTCCTTGAGTTGAGAAGGAAACAAATGTGTTCTTTCTGAAGCTCATAAACCCTTTTTATGGAACACAAGATCCATCATAACCTTGTTAATGCATGATGAACTTGCTTTCAATTAAGGATTATCCTTTAATGAAGTGCGTTGTTTAATGTGTGTGAGATGCTTACCTAACACCAGAGGCAAGGTCTTTAAGAAGCAACTCTACAAGCCACAATCTTC
This sequence comes from Homo sapiens, assembly GCF_000001405.40. Lineage (NCBI taxonomy): Eukaryota > Metazoa > Chordata > Mammalia > Primates > Hominidae > Homo > Homo sapiens. The sequence goes on along the minus strand of NC_000007.14, from coordinate 117,906,056 downwards.
TAAGAGAAAAGCTCTCTCAGGGAACCTAGTTTTTCAGATACACTGCTGCTGCTGTTACTGCTGCTACTCCAAGCAGCTCAGTGCCGGTCTTGTTCTTGGAGTAGAAGTGCCCAGTGTACAAAGCAAAGGACAGAAGCCATGGCTAATGACTCTCTCCCCTAGGGCCAGGCCTAGATAGTTTCAAGACCCTAAGACGAGTTTGAGCCAGCAATGAATGGGTTATGGTAGGTAGTAGAAGAAAGCAAGGGAAGCAGTACATGGAGAAACAAACCTATAATTCCCACAGATCAGGAAGAGGACAGAGGATGTAGCTGAAAGACAGGGGAGGATGAGAGATCTAAGCAGAGAACATTTAGCCATTCAACCAGTAGTTACCAGAAAACTATTGAGTTAAATAATTTGCCTAATATCAAATAAATACAACTGCCTAAGACACGGCTCCTAGTCTAGAGAATATAAACAACCTACACTCGGGAAATACATGTAAAATTGTAAGTAGCAATGCATTTATATATTGTTCAATATAACATATATATCACATGGCCAACCCAACAAAAAACAGATTGTCTATTAACTAAAGGTCTGCATGTATTTTAAAATATTCTTGATGAGCTTAGTATTTCTGTTAACACTTACCTATATTACCTGATGCATTCTATTAGTAATTGCAAAAACACTTAATCACAAATAGTGGAATCTGCTTCTAATTTAAATCAAATTGAATGACTATCTCCAACTAAAATCTCTTCATATGTATGTTATTCATGAAAGATTTAATAAAGATTAAAAAGGATTTCCAAATCACAACCTAGTTAATATTATAATTCATGGTAGGTAAAAACATTTTTTATTGTAGAAGCAGAAAAATAAAATATCAACCAAATTGGAGATCCTACTGTTTCTTTTTAAGCCTGATTTAATTAAATTTTTGAAAAATTGAATTCAAAGATGTGAGGAGAATATGAAAAATCTTTAGATGTTAAGGCTAGGTCTGAAGCAATATAAGAATCAAATTTATATTCCAGTTATATATTTTTGGAGGGCAGATAGCATATATTATCTCAGTACCTAGAAAAGCAGAAGCAACTAAAATGGCAACTGAGGTTTTCTAGTCCTGGGGAAAGTAATTTGAATTGTTCACGTCTATTTTTCTGAAAGCTTGATCATGAAAACAGAAAGAAGTATAAAAGGTCTTTGCCATCTTCTTCTGAACGTTCTGTGCTCCTGCAATAAATCACATCGTTAAAATATTTCTCTTATTCATACTCTGACAATTTGAATATGTCGAGAAAATCACTCTAATCAATGGGAAAACTGTGGAAATAGCAATAATATTAAGGGTAAAGATGTAGGTTACATGTATGTCTATCTTCTCACAGATTTATCAGACTAAGGATACAAAATGAAAAATATTCAATCAGGGGCATGTGTGGTATTTTAATTCTCATCAAGGGTCACCCAACCAATTTACAATGCCAGCATGTCTTGTTTACTAAATTACCTGGACATTATTTTGAGTATGTCAAACAGCCTTCCTGCCCTTTCTTATTCAACTCAAAGAGCGCAGAGTGGATAACTTCTCTAGCCTCATTTATTTTTTTTTAGCATGAATGTTTGCTCTTTTCCCAAATATGCCTGTCTGCACCTCTCCCTCTACAACACATAGCCTAATAGTGTATTTCAGGTCCATTATTAGAGAATCTCCTTTATTGGAAACCACGACTTCAAGAGTAAGGGGTTTGAGCAAAGTATATTAGGATGATCCTAAACACTGACTAACACAGTGTGTCTGGTTGAATATGACCCCCATAAGTTGTTCTTGGTCTTGGAAAGACAAATAGCTGAATTTTAAAAAAGAGAAAAAGAGTAGCAAAGAGAAGAAAGAAAGCATACAAATGAAAGAATGAACAAAGACAAGAGGAAGGTTTGCGCTCACAGAGCAGCAACACTGAAAAATACTGAAATTGAATTTATAGCATGATAACTGCAAGTATTGTTATACAGCATAAAACATTTTGGGTTAGCATATTACTCGACCCAAGGGCCATATTTGGTGCTACGTTTAAGTCATAACTAGTGGAGAATTACAGAGTTGTCTTGGTCTAAAAGAAATTAGCTTCCATGTAAAGAAACCAGTCCTTCTGTAGACAAAAAATGCCTAACTCTATAATAGAAGGATCCCAATTCAACCTCAATTAACCCTCCTCCTTGGTCAGTTGTCCAAAACAACCAAATACTACTGAAATTGTACATATTCTGTAACTACTTCAAGTAGGTTTTTATTGTACCTAATGCAATTAGAATCATTTTTAAAAATTTGTATTCTTACCAGTAAGTTGAAAAATAGTATTGACAATACTATTTCCATTGGGCTTTCTGGGCTCACTCTATCTCTTTAGACTGGGCTTCTTTGCTTCTGCTATTTTCTTACCAGATGCCCACATTTCTTGGCTTGCAAGACCCTCTGTTTCACCTACATTGGTTGGTTTCTAATGACACAAGTTATTGACAAGATATCTAAACCTCCTTTGAGGAGGTTAAATGTGGTACCTCTTACCACATTTAAACAGATCAAAGAAATTGGGTGAGTCCAAGGTCAATGTGATAATTTTGGTTTTTCTTAACGTTGACAAATTTCATTTGTGCAGCACTTCACAGCTTACATAGTAATTCTTTGTGCATGATCTTATTTGTGCCTCACAGCGACCCAGTAAGAGAAACATTATTATGCCCATTTTCCTTATGTGGACTTTGAGGTTCAAAAGGGATGCAAGCTGCCCAAATTCACAAAATCAGTAAGTGAAAAAGCCTCCATTCAAATCTACAACTCCCAGTCCTTTCTTCCTCCCAGCAAAGTTGGCTTCACTGAACAATGAGGCCAGATAACCAGGTAAGACTTGCTCCTGGGTTACATAAGTTGCTGAAATTGTAGAAGCATGTTCTGGTCACTTCAGGTACCCACAGTGTCTCTAAATTGAGACATTGCACTTATAATAATTGTGTCACTGAATATGTTTAAATATGCAGTGTCCACATCTGGACATCTTTCCACTTTCCACTTCATAAAAAGCCATTTTCCTTTGGGTCTCTCATTATGGTATTTTTCTGCTCTACTGTACAATTTCACTGCAGAGGCTGCAAGGCAAAATTTTCTCCATGGGAGTCTTCTCAGACCTCACCTGGACTTCTCCTGGTTGTTCAAGACTGTTGTTTTGTTGACATCACTGCAATTCAGAAAACACTCACCCTGGGGCAGGATGGGGATAGGGGAAGAGAGGCATGAGGGGTTGAACATCACGATACAGTGAGATGGACTTCCATCTCCACAGAGCTACCACGCGTGTTAAAGAATGGAGGGTGGTGGGGGTGGCAGAAATGCATGGGAAGCACCACGTGGCAGAGCAGCTGGGAGCTGTGATATGGATCACATGAAGGGAGAGCCTTCATGATTTCTAACACTCCATACCATGTATTCTTTCTGCAAGCACAGCTATGCAGATAATGCACATCTCTCTAGGATTCCTGACTCCTGACAAGATGACAAAAGCACCAACAGCCACAGGGGACCATTTTTTCTTAATGCATATCATTTAACTTTCGCAATTTGACTACTGTAAGTAGATGCCATAAAGGAATTTTCAAAGCTGTGAGTGGGAGCTGTGAATACTGGAAACTAAAGAATCAACTCACACACTTAACAATTCTATTCTAAACAACCAAGGTGTTTGGAAAGGAACACATAGCTCTACTTTTAAATTGCCCAATTTTACATAAATATACAATTTTATTAATAGTCCATGTTGCTGGACTGTTCTAGCAACAATGCCAACCACACTGGGCCTGACTCTGCCCCCTAAATGCACTGCATTCATTGGACATGGGACTCAGGGAAGGAAGAAAAAGAATTATCTGTGATTAAGAAGCTTCTAGAAAACTTTTATTCTTTCCAGGAGCCCCTCAGGTACACAATGTGCAAACTCATCCCCAAACTCTCCATCTTTTAGCAGGGAATAATGCAAAATCTCTGAGCTAGAGAAAAAGAACTAATATATGCAAGACAAAATAAAGGCACTTTTGGTAATCACTACTTTTCTTAAAAAGTTGTCAATCAAATATCAGAAAACGTGTGTGTGTGCGCACGCGCATACCAGAGAAACTTACTATTATAAAGAAAGCTTTGGATGATGTTTTGTTTATACAGAGTGCCTTCTCATGGCAAAAATCAAGTCCCATTTGTCTGTTTTGAAATTTCGTATTAGTCTGAATCTCTCTTTTATTGTTTGATAGTAAGGTACATTTGCAACATTGTATTACTGTTTTACAGATAGTAAACCTGAAGAACAAAAAGGTTACCTGGCTTAATTTTAGTTACATCCCAGCTGCCTAAACCCTTAATTTTGTTGTCAAATGGGAAACTGGTAGGAGGGGAGCTATTTGGGCCTTGCTCCTTGTGCTGTCACAGTGACATGTGGCTTCTGAGTCACAACTGCAATTGCGACTCAGAAGGATATTGATATTTTCTCCAGGATCTTCTCACTTCTCTAAACTAGAATCATCAGATTCAGTTCAATATTTGCTCTTTGAGTTGTACTTAACTTTTATGAGCCTCAGTTGTTCAACCTTAAAAACAAGGCAAATAACAGCACCTACTTTATCAGGTTGTTGTATGAATTGAATGAGCTCACCCATGCAATCCTGACATGGCCTTCTGGGCCCTGTATACCTGTTCTGGCCCGCTGCCATCCCTCTGATCTTTCTACTGCTGTAATTGCCCTCTCATTCCAATCTGGACACACTCCTCACCATTCTTTAAGCGTGTCAAGTCAACTCCCCCTACAGGGCTTTTGCATTCACTTCCCCCAGTGCTAGAACCCCAATCCCCCAATAGCTCCATGGCTGCCCTGTACCTCCATTTGGTTGTTGATCAAATGTCACTTTGTCGGAGAATCCTACTGTGGTACGTAGAATAATGACCCCCAAAGATGTCCATGTCCTAATCCCTGGAACCTTGAATATGTTCCCCTACATGGCATAATAGACTTTGCCACTGTGAGTAAATGTGAATAAAGAATATTGAGATGGGGAGAGTCTCCTGGATTATCCAGGTAGGCCCAGTATAATTTCAGGGTCCTTATAAGAAGGAGGAGTGAGAGGGAGGGAGATTTGAGAATGTTACACTATTGGCTTTGAATGTAGAGAAATGGACCATGAGCCAGGGAATGCAGACAGTCTCTAAAAGGTGAAAAAGGCAAGAACCCTTCCCTAGAGCCTCCAGAAGGAATGTAACCCTGCCAATCCATTTTAGACTTCTGACCTCCAAAACTGTAAGGTAATAAATTTGTGTTATTTTATGCCACTACATATATGACAACTTGTTGCAGCAGCAATAAGCAGATAATAGACCCTTCTCTCTCTCTACATAAAATTGCTCACAGCTTTGCCCCCATATCATCACTTTCTATCATGCTTGCCTGCTGTATTTACCTCTGTAGCACTGTCACCACCCAACATAGGTTTGGTTTTCTGTCTCGCCTTACTAGAATGTAGTCTTCATAAGAAAGGGGTCTTTGTTTTATTGTTTTGTCCCCTGCTTTGAGAAGGGCCTGGCACATAGTAGGTGCCCCAAAATGTTTCTGGGATGCATATAGAACCTAGCATAATATTTTCCTTCCATGGCTGAGGAAAAACGAGAACACATCTGCCAGTGCAGAATTTCTAAACAGTGGGCTGCGGGCTAAATGCTCCATCTCAAATGAGTTCCAGGTGTGCTTGACATACTGCTCTCCTCTGCCCCCGAGTTGGCAGGTGGAGCAGCCATATTTGCTTATTCAAGTGTACCATGCAACTATTATAATTTTCTATGTGTGGTGTGATATACAAAAGGTGTGGTAAAGTGTATTTGAGAGCTTTGGTAATACAGCAGTTAAGAAATCACTTAGGTAGATAGTAAGGGTATGGAAGTCCTTGGTAAGGCTTTCCTTTTTAATGAAAAGCAGCCCCAAATCATTTTCTAACAAAGCAGCCTGTAAAGTCAAGCTGCAGACATAGACAAGCAAGCTAGGGGCTTGCATGGGTGAATGCCTGCAGGAACTAGAGACTAGACACGTTCAAGATGGCGGCCGCATCTTCCCTTCTCTGCCAGCCACGTGTACAGTAAGGAGCAGACAAGATGGCACTGCTCAAGGAAAATTCGTTTGCATTATAAGATTAGGGTGGGGCAACCAGCCTTCCCTGCCTGCTATGTAAACTTTCTACCTGATGGAACCAACCTGTGAGCGCTGCATAAATCAAACACTGCCTCCTCAAACCACACTATAAAATCCGGGTCATCTGTCTGCAGCTGGTCCTTTCTGCTGGGAGACCCCTCTCTCTATAGAGAGAGGTGTTTCTCTTTCTCTTCTCTTCTGCCTAATAAACCTCTGCTCCTAAACTCTTGATGTGTGTCTGCATCCTAAATTTTCCCCACACACGATGACAAACCCCAGGGTACATACCCCAATGTAGCTGCTTCATTGGCAATGACTACCCTGTGAAAATCAGGTTCTTACTTGTTGAGAGTTAAGAATGCAAGAAGGCTCTCCTCCCCCACCACACAGTTGTATACTGAGCATGAAGCAAATTTTAGTTTGAAGGTCGTGATGTCAGCAGATATCCCTCTTTGAATCTGTAATGTCTGTATGATTGGGAATGACTTCCTAGAGTAGAATACCTATGACTGATAGTAGACAAATGTGAACTTCAGGGATAGGACCACATCTGTGGCTTCCATTGGGCTTTCTGGGCTCGCTCTATCTCTTTAGGCTGGGCTTCTTTGCCTCTGCTATTTTCTCACCAGATGCCCACATTTCTTGGCTTGCAAGACCTTCTGTTTCTCCTACATTGGTCAACAATTTCAGTGAGCTTCCCTGCCACTGATGTATGATTTCTTTTCTTCTTTGACATTTTTTTAATTGCTCTTCAAGAGTAACAGGATTATTGCTCATTAGCCATTTCATTTGTTCCATTCTTACTACTGTCACAGGAAGAGCTGACTGCTGTAATAATCAGAGCTGTTTATTCCTGGAATTTGCTGACCCACACATCTATGCTGATGGTCAGTGTGCTGTTGGAGAAACTAGCTCATTACAGTAAAGCCATCTAGTGCTGGCCTTCCATTTTTATTCACTTGCTCATTCATAGATCTATTAAATAAATAAATAGTTTTTAAGTATTTACTACATGCTGGAATAAGTAGAGAATAAGGTAGACACCATCCCTGCCCTAATGAATGTTACAGTCCAGAAAGAAAATTAGACATTGACAACTAAGGACAAGCATGTTGAGCCTACAAAGGAGAAAACCAGGATTCTAAAAGAATATATAATCTATTCAGTATTCAGCAGTATTTAATTAATGGCTTTTATGTATGAAGGACTTTTTTGGGGAGCTGGGATTCAACAGTAAATGTTCTTGACCTTCTGGAACTTTTAATGTAGTAGAGGAAAGAGAAACAACAAATAAGCCGATATACAATGTCAGGGAATTATAAATATTATGAAAAAAGATGAGAAAAAGAGATGAAAGAAATAGTTAGTAGTGGGTAGTCATAAAAAGCCATTCTGAGAAGATTACATCTGAGCTGGTCTCTTACTTATGGAACAAGCCTTATTTTCTCAGGCTTCTTGGGAGGCAGCCTTAGGCAGAGAAGGAGTATTCAGAAATGTCCTCAAATTTTCACGTTTCCTTGCAATGTCAGTATCATCATCACTTTGAGATGGGTCTCTGCCCAGCCTGCAAATGCTTTTCATGTTCCCATTAATAATCTAAGAGCATGTTGAGTCTTTCATGTTCGTACAATAATCACACAGTAATTCAGCTCTTACAAAGACCTATGGAATAGGTTTTAAAAAGTCAACAGCCATCAGACGAGAGTACAAAAGTTAATTCCAAGGAAAAAAAAATAAGAGTTAAATATGAGTATGTAGGGGGCTTAAATGAGACAAAAATGTTAATCTATTAGCAACCTTCTCACCTAGGCAAACTTTTTTCAGGCCCATTTGAGGATAATACTCAGTGTGCAGAATCACTGACTAAAGAGCACTATAATGAAGGAGCAGTGGGTTTAAGGTTGACCCAAGAATAGGTATTTATTGAGCACCTACTACATGCATGGCTATAAAGGCTAGGCATCTAGAAACAGAAGATGATTTTCTCCTGTTGATTTTCCCTACCTAGAATGTACTTTTACACCTTGTACCCCTGGCTAGTTGTATTTATGCTTCAAAATCCAAGACAGAAACCATCTCCTACATATGCCCTTCTCTGAGCTATGCCTCCTCAGCCAAAATAAGTAAATTTTTCCATCCTTTATGCTACATGCTAAGCTTCTACACACTTATAATTTTGCTTTTATCATCCTGAATTATCACTACTTAATTACGTGTCTTCTTGAGGAGCTCTATCTTATTCATCTCTGTATTCCCTTTGTCTTACCTAATTTTTCCAAACTTCCCTGATGATAAGAATTGTCTGGAGACACTTGTTAAATATCTGAATTACCTGGCCTCTCCCTAAAAATTTGGATTCAGTAGTTTTGGATTAGGGCTGAGGAATCTGTTGTAATTCCAGGTGATTCTTATCAGGCAAAATTGAGACATACCAGTACATAATACCACTAAGGAAATGTAATTGAGTGAATTAAGAAACTATGGATGAACAGAAGTTTCTATCTTCCTTTAGATTAGACAATCATCAAATAAATATAGTATTCCAAAAGTGTTTATCAGGTTCAGCTCCTAATTTTGATGAAATTGGGAAGAGGGAAAGATGATGAATTGTTTTACTTCTTTGGCCATGAGTGCAGTAAATTAAGAAATGAATCAATAAACTACAATTGCTGCTGATAATGTAGTTATTTATCAGTCCTTCACAACTTTAGCTTTATATTATGCAGTGCTTCTCAATAGGGCAATTTTGCCCCCCAGGGAAGATTTAGCAATGTCTGGAGGCATTTGGTTGTCAAACTGGAGGAGTGCTACTGGTGTCTAGAGGGTAGAGGCTAGAGAGGCTGCTAGACATCCTACAATGCACAGGACAGTTCTCAACAAAGAATGATCTGTCCCCAGATGTCAACAGTATTAAGCCTGAATCACTGCATTTGACTCACCTGAAAGCTTTAAAAATCCTGATTCCCAGGCTACTTCCCATACCAATGACCTCAGAATGTCTGATGGTGGGACCCAGGCATTAGCATTCTGCAAGCTCTTCCCATGATCTCAATGTACAACCAGAGCTGAGAGCAATGGCAGAGCATAGAGGATGCTAGAAAGAGAAGTGAACTCAGAAATTGAGTTTTAAGTCTGGAGTTTGCCACCTATTAGGCTAGGAAATTAGATGTGTGACCTCCAAGTTTCTGTTTTTTCATCTGTAAAATAAGAATAACTCTTAATCAGATGCTTATTAAAAGGATTAAAGGGATAATGCATGCAGTAGTGCTTTGTAACTATACAAACAAAAGCAAGGTATCATTACTGCTTCTTGTTTGGGCACCAATCCAAGTGGCAGAACTGGGTAGGTTACTTGCTCAGCACTACAAATACATGCCTACATGCAAATTCAGTCTTGTATTTTTGCCTGAAATATGTTCTACATATGCCAAAGTGAGAAAACTCATGTGCTTCAGTGCATTTTTTTCATGTAATGAACAACCTTCTCCCATTCTTCCTACTTGTTCTGTTTGATATATTTGAATTTATGTAAGATTTTGATAAAGCAATGCCTACATTTTTTCAAAATAATACAGTTGGACCTGCAGTCCACCAGCTACTACACGTAACCTAGTGACAGACCTCACTTGGGAAGGCCACCACTGATCTGATGCATCTGAATTTGGACTAAGGGTAGGAGAGGCTATAAAGTTGCAAAGACTCCACATGTTTAAGGAGGTCAAAGATGACATTAGCTCTGGCGCATGAGTTAAGATTGCTGAGTTATAGTAAGAGTCCTCTAGAACCAGATTGCTTGAGAGTGTGGTCCACAGACCAGCAGCATCTACATCCACTGGGTGATTGTTAGAAATGCAGAATCTCAGGACCCATTCAGATATATTGAATCAAAATGTTAATAAACTTCCCAGGTGACTTGTAGGCACATTCAGTTTACAGAAGTATTGTTCCAGCAAATCCTTCATGTGAAATTGGACAACTCTGTTCTCCCAAACATGTAGCTTGCAGTTGCCCTTCATGAATCCATGTCAATTTTAATTCCTTGCACCTCTCAAAGGTAGTCAGACTGCATATTTAGGGATGCTCCCAGTTTGTTAATTCTCACATCTTTGCCACCTCTGGGTTTTTAGAAGCCATTCTAGGTTATTAGGTAATGATCTTAGAGTTTCCAGCATACGTTTAGCGAGAAAATAATCACTAATTTCATCATTAAATTATTTGAAACGTTATTTCTTTGTTTTCATTATCCTGGAAAATAGTTTGCCTGGCAAAAGAAGGGTTAATTCATGAGCTGCAAAACTGGTTTCTTTTGTGCTGAGAGAATGAGGTGGATCATCTCTCTTGCTGAGAGAGGCAGTTAATCAGTATATAAAGTCCTGTGATTGATGTGGCATAACTTCAAAAGGTGCATAGCTTATTTCTCAATGCCAGTGCCTACTGTCTGAGAAGCAGGCCAAGGGAGAGCTGGAGTGGGGCTCTGGGAAGGCCACACTCTCTCATCTCTTCCTCTGCCTTTGTTCTTTTATTGTTCGATCATCTACAGCTATAATCCTACAAGTTCTCTGACTTTAGGTTCACAATATCCTTTTTTTTTTTTTTTTTTTTTTTTGACTGTAAACTAGTTCAACCATTGTGGAATTCAGTGTGGCGATTCCTCAGGGATCTAGAACTAGAAATACCATTTGACCCAGCCATCCCATTACTGGGTATATACCCAAAGGAGTATAAATCATGCTGCTATAAAGACACAATATCCTTTTCAGAGTATGTTTGTATTGGTGAGGCGGCTTGTTTTAAAATGACACCGGTACCTGTAAAAGAAGAAATTATTGATGACAATTGTTGAAGACAGTAAGAAAGACTTTCTTCAAGAGAGTACCATTGTGATAGGTATAGGGACTACTACAATGGGGTCTTGCAGTCGAGAAGAGACTTTGGGCTCAACTCTGATTCCAACAAGGACAAGTGGGGATTTATAGCCAAGGAGCAGAAGAGGGGTTAGTGGATGAAAAATTATTAAGAGGAAATATCAGGGGTAAGGAGGGATTCTAGCTTAACCAACCTAACAGGATTTTTGCTGAAGGAAGGCCAGGGTGATCAGACATCACCTGGAGGGTGGGGTGGTGGAGGATGAGAAGTCTGATAAGATATTCAGGGTGATCAGATATGGAGGATGAGAGATTCTGGCTAAACTGACTTAGCAGGTTCTTGCTAAAACTGGACAAACATAAAAGTCCAAAATTCAAGACCTAGTTGACAAGAGTTCAGGAGAACCTGAGTAAATTTTGGTCAATGACAGAATCTTTGTCATACCCAAACTTAGACTCACTTTTAATGAGCTAGGAATCCCTTTTATTAATTCCTATTTCACTTTTTTTTCAAAAGTATTCCTACATTTGCAATCACATGACTTAATATTATAAATTATATGCAGTCATTCAAATCTCCATCCAAGAAATTAAAACAATTTCTGAGCTATTTGGTAATTTGTTTGGAGAAAGAATTATTCTGATGTGAGGGAAAGCTATTTCACATGAAAAACCAAATCTAAAAATACTCAGTTGAGAAAGTAAAAAACCCCTAAAGAAGACTGGGGAGAAAAATAAGATTTACCTTGTCAGCAATTAAGTACTTACAACCAGACTAAACCTTTTAAAAGGGAGACTAGCTTAGAGAGCCTGGAAAAGAGTTGTGTTTTTTTAAGCGTTCCAACCTCTTGAGTTAGGAACCCAAACTTTGGCTTAAATTCCTAGCTAAATCACATTTATACTAAGTATCAACAAGGTAACCTCCTATGTAGTATAGTATACCTGATTTAGAGTTCTTACAGTCCATTAAGCAGAGTAATCAGCTCCTAGTCAAATTAATAATTAGTATGATGTAACAAATACATTTCAGATTCAGTGTCTTTCATCTTAGTAACAATGCTAAATGCATCAATATGTGTAAGACGTGACCAGAAAGTTACAGTTGTGTTTGGTAGAAGGGCTCAGTCTCATTATTGTAAAGCCATAATTCATATGACAGTTTTAAAAAGTAATTATTACTAAACTCTGTGAGGTCCTTTGAAACACAGCCACTAAATAGTTCAATAAAAAGAGTTTATCTTTTGTAAAATATCAACTTTTACCTAAATGAGACTGTCTTTTGTAGAAGATCCTGAAAAGAAGATACTGAAAACAGTTTTGCCGTGGACTTTGGGGACTTGGGGGGTAAAAGTGGGAGGGGGGCAAAGGATAAAAGACAACAAATGCCAGGTGCTGTTGCTCACACCTGTAATCCCAGCACTTTGGGAGGCCAAGGCGGGCAGATCACGAGGTCAGGAGTTCAAGACCAGCCTGACCAACATGGTGAAACCCCGATTCTACTAAAAATAAAAAAATTAGCTGGGCGTGGTGGTGCGTGCCTGTAATCCCAGCTACTTGGGAAACTGAGGCAGGACAATCACTTGAACGTGGGAGGCAGAGCTTGCAGTGAGCCGCGATGGTGCCATTGCACTCCAGCCTGGGTGACACAGCAAGACTCCGTCTCAAAAAAAAAAGAAGACAAAAAATATGGTGCAGTGTATGCTGCTCGAGTGATGGGTGTGCCAGGTTCTCACAAATCTCCACTAAAGAACTTACTTATGTAACCAAATGCCACCTGTACCACAATACCTTATGGAAAAATGCAATTAGGAAAAAAACTCAAGTGTCCTACTAGGGAATTAACAACAGAAACATGTGACTGTAGAAGAAAATGAACTTTCACCCCCTGAAGTTTCAATAATTCCAGCCTATAAAACAACCTGACAATAGGCGGATTAACAGAGAAAAGGAATACACATTTATTAGGTGCAAGCACAAGGGTGTCCTACAAAATATGAGGCTCAAAGAAGGGCCAGATGGTTGAAGCTTAAATGACCTCTTCATAAAGGAGAGAAAAGTGGGGGATGTAGGCAATTCTCAAGGAGGAGTAAATGATGTTTACGGAAGATAAATGGACCTGAACAACAGACAACAGCCTGGGACAAAGCTTGTCTGGGCTCTGGGTGTGGGGTAAGCTCTAGTCTTCCTTTCTGTGAGATGCATCCATTTCCTCCAGTTGATGTCCTATCTGGGGAAGGGATTCATAGCAATTGAGTATCTTCTGGAGGATCTATTATAGCTTTCAGGTAGATCGGGGAACTTCAGAGAAAGCCAAAGCACATTTTGAGGTATTGTTTTCTAAGCCCTAACATGGCATGAATGTAGCATAATTTGAATTTTTAAAAACAGATGTTATGTTATTGTGTATGAGAAAAAAAGTGTTCAGAGAAAGGAGAGATCATGGTAATTGGGATTTTCAGAGTATGTTTAATGGAGGAGATGGAATGTAAAGCTGGACACTAAAAAAATAAAGAATAAATTTTAGAATAAGGAAGGCTGGAGGGAGCATTTTAGACAGGGAAGACTGTATGCAAAAACATGGAGGCAGAAATCAGTTCAATATGTAGGCAACAGGCCATGGTGGATGGTTTATCCAACACACTTTTGCAGCCTATTTGTCCTCGTCGGCCTCTCCTTAGGATCTAGAAAATCTAAATACTTGCACAGCCTCCTTTGCAGTTAGATGTGGTCATATGACCATAGATTTAGTTCTGACCAGTAAATCGTATGAATAGAATTCTGCTTGAAGTTTCTGGCCAAGTGTGTGCTTTCTTGATAAAAGGACAGATATGGTTCACACTATCCTTTCCCCTTTCTCTTTTCTGCATGCCCTGACTATGAATACGATCGCTGTTGCTTCAGTATTCATCTTGTGACCATGAGGGGAAAGCCTAGAGAATTCTAAAAATACAAGCGTTGACACTGTTGAGTTACTAAATCAACACCACTTACCTCCCAGGCTCTTACAGTGTTGGGGGAAAAAATTAACCTTATTTGCTTAAGCTATTGTAGTCAGGTTTACTTGCAGGCAAGGTCATTTCTCCCTCATATAGTATATGAGAAGAAGAGAAGTGAAAAATTCTGAGTGACAAAGAAAGAATGTCATGGAGTGATAGAAAATAAGATTGTCTTAGATAAACTGGTTAGATTCTGGACAGCAAATGAGTCTGTTCTAGAAACCGTGGATGATAGGAAGTCATTGAGTATTATCAAAGGTAAGAGACAGTATAAAAGAGCTACTATATGGCAGATGCACCTGACTACAGTAACAAGCATACTCTGTATCCTGAAAATGACTCTATGGTCTTAGAAGAATGTCTGTTTAAAGTTCCAAGCTAAATAATCTGTGAATGGCCAACCTGGAGATTCACTCCTTATCTATGAGGAACATCTGAACCCCCAGCCCATCCCATGGAATGCAGGCCATGTAAGAGATCAAAGTCCTTTGTTCTGGGTCAAATGAAGGTTGCTAGGTGGAGGATGTTAGGAGGAGGAGGCTACGTGAAAGTGCTATATAAACCTCATGCCTTTTAGAAGTGATCATGGTTCTCTTGTCCAGTCCACCACCACTGAATGAACCTATATATAAGACCCTTCAATAAATTCTATGCCTCATTTGCTGGCTCCGGCTCTCTTCTTTGGCCTCTCAGACATTGTGCCATCCCTACTTAAGTCAATATGGGTCTGGCGTGACAGCTACTTGTTGGAAATCTTACCAACAGATAGAAAGATTATCCTGACAATAACATGCAAGATAATTTGGAAGAAGAATTAGAAGCAGCACTGTCAATATTGAAGATGAGCCTATATATAGTAAAATTTAAACTATTAATACTTTTCATTCCTCTAAGTCAGAATTTGAGAAAACCAGACTAGGTGTTGTGATTTCATATTCTATATATGGCATAGGTTCTAAAATAAGTGTGTTAAGATGAAAATTGCATATAGCTAAAAACACCATGGGAAATCCTTTAAGAATCAAAGGACAAAACTCCTTGTGTTTATTTTTACATTTTTGCTGTGGTCTCGCTTTCCCTAGAGTAGTGGTCAGCAAGTTTCTTCTATAAAGTTCTAGAGAGTAGGCAATTTAGGCTTAGCAGACTGTCTATGTTGCAACTCATCAACTCAGCTGTTGTACAGCAAAAGCAGACAATATGTATTATAATAAGTATTAATGAGTATGGCTGTGTTGCAATAAAAGTTTATTTACAAAAACAGGCAGCAGGCTGGATTTAGCCTGCAAGGTATAGTTTGACAGCCCCTAACCTAGAGCATTGGAAGTTAATCTTCTTCAAAATGGAGAAGGGCGAGGAAGTAAATTGAGTGAAGCCTGGCAGGGCACAGTGGCTCACACCTGTAATCCCCGCACTTTGGGAGGCCAAAGCAGGCGGATCATTTGAGGTCAGGAGTTCAAGACCATACTGGCCAACATGGTGAAACCCCGTCTCTACTCAAAATACAAAAATTAGCTGAGCATGGTGGTGCACGCCTGTAATCCCAGCTACTCGGAAGGCTGAGGCAGGAGAATAACTTGAACCCGGGAGGCGGAGGTTGCAGTGAACCGACATTGTGCCACTGCACTCCGGCCTGGCGACAGAGTGAGACTCCGTCTCAAAAACAAACAAACAAAAAAAGAGTGAAGCCTATGTAATTCAATTTACATAATGTATGTGCACATGAAAATCAATCCTATTGTTTATGACATAAATATTTGTATGTATTTTCTGTAATTTTTAGGGCCTCACTGAGAATAAAATAAATTTTTTCCAGGGTCAGTAACTTTTTTAAACAAAAGGCATTGAGTTTTAAAGAGCTCTTAAATTCACTTTCAATTTCTAAAAATGTATTGTTTGGATAATTTTTATGCAATGTAGCTATTTTGATTTTCCTTATTAACATAGTTCATTATCCCTACATAACGAATATCACAGAATGCATTTCTTTTAACATATTCTCTAATTCAAATTTAATTGCATTTTGTTTTTATGATTTTTCCCAGTAACTTATATATCAAATTAATTATTTCATTTTCAGTGTCAGTTTGCATATTAGTCAGGATAGGCTAGATGATGTTATGGTAACAAATTACTGCCCACATCTCAGTGGTGTAACACAGTGAGCATTTTTTCTCATTCCAGGCAGCTTTCTAAGGCACTTGTCATCCAGGTAGTGACTCAAGGGTCCATCTTATAGCTTTGCCATCTGGAATTGTTGACATCTAGGTCCCTGAGCAAGGGAAGAGAGATCACCACTGTTCTGTGCTTCAGCTGGAAGTAATATATGTCACTTTGTTTGTAGCCAAGTACCCAGAACTAGTTACATGTCCCCAACTGAACTATCTGGTGACCTGGGAAATGCCATCTTCCTGTGTGATCAAACGGCATTTGGAGAATACAGAGCATGGCCTCAACTGCACTTTTATTCTGTTGTATAAAAGGCCATCAAAGAGCCAACATTTAGTGTTTTGTCTGAGGTTTAAGATTTATGCAGGCTAAATATCCAACATAATATATAATAACACATGGAGACATAATATGAAGGTTGTTAAAGGTCAAACGTTATTACTCAGTTTTGTTCTCTAGTTTAGATAGGTAACTGTTATAAAGCTTTCATGAATTATCAAAAGAATTAGGTGAGAATTAGAGAACCTACACTGTGGAATGAGACTTTTTATTCCAATATCATGTTACTTGACAACTGCAAATAAACGTGTGGTGGGGTAGTGCTGGGTATTCCAATCCACTTTTATAAGGATTTAACGATTATCCTGAGTGAAGTATAGCTAGGGGAATGCCCTTCATTCCAGGCCATCTTTCCGTTTTACCCCTCAATTCCATTAAACCAGTTGGAAATCTCACAAAATTATTATCCCTGATCTGCACTGTAGTGCTGTTTCTTCAGAGGAAAGCCCTTACTGCTATTGCTGGATATCTTAAATCTTTGATTATGCACGTACTCTGAGATTACTTTATGCATCAAAGCTTTGTCAGTAGGGACACCAAGGATACTTCACTTCCCTCTAATGAACTATCTAAAATTGGCTGCCTGATTTGCATATGACTCCCAAAGTAGCAGAATGTTACCATAATCTGTCCATTCTCTCTAATCTGAGCCTTCTCACTCTGTAAATTTACCCTGGGTTTTCTGCCAGAGTTAGAACTATATTCAGCATCTTTTGGCTCAGGAATTATCACCATGGATGCATGGATTTCTGGGTTTGAAAATGAAAATTAGAATCTCTGGAAGTAAGAACAGTGGGTGTAAGGTGTTTATAGTAAGAAAAAGCATATTTAGCATAACAATGCAGTGTGATATTTTGGAAAACAATTGTTTTTATAATTCAAATCCCTAGAAGTAAAATTCAACCGTCCTCTTGGCTGCTGTGAATACATAAATGTTGATGATTTTCATCAGGATTGCGAGGATGCATTTCTGAATCAGCAGGGGGTTGGATTTTAAAATTTATCCAAAGAGGAATTGGGTTGGAGATGTGGAGAAATTTTTTATTAAGGCAAAAGCTGAGCACAGATCGATCCTCCAGTGAGCAGAAAAAAGCAAATCATGCCATCATTGTGAGATCTGAGGGTAAGTGGGTCAAAAAGGAAGAATTCAGAGCAGCAAGTGAGGGAATAATGTCAGGGAACTGAAAATACCTCTAGGAAATCTTTGAGAATATAAAGGCAGGGACTGGACATACCATAGTTGTGTAGATGGAGCTGAAATTATTTCATTTGGATGTTAATAGAAGGCTGATAAAGTTGGGATCCCTAGAGCTGCATTTATATTTGGAGAGATAACATGTGACCTGCTGTATATCCAAAATAATAAGCCCATCTTGGCCTTAGTTTCACTTCCAAGGATAGGTGACAGACAAGGTCTTCTCCATTCAAAAATTCCATCATTTTATGATGCTTTTCCTTACCAAACTCCACCCCCGCCCCCCCGCACACACACACACACACACACAATAAAACAATTAGCTTATAGTCAATGAACATTCATCAAGATCATATAATGATCCAAACATTGTCACTAAGTTCTACAGGTGTTGCAAAAACAGAATATAGACTTTCCTGTCTGCAAGAAACTTACACTGTATTTGGGAAGATAAGATATTATTGTAAATGATGCAACAAGTACATAATTTTGTATTAGAACAGGTATAGGCACAATGTGGCCCACAAGACAAATCTGGCCCAACACCTGTTTTTGTAAATAAAGTTGTATTGGAACACAGCCACACCCTTTCGTTTACATTTATGGGTGCTCTCACATGGCAAGGCAGAGATGAATAGTTGAGACAGAGGCTGCTTAGCCCACAAGCCTAAAATATTTAGCCCTGGCACTTTACAGAAAAAGGTTGCCAACACCTATTTTAAACAGTCAAATAACGTCACAAGGCAAAACGAGATCAATTCCAAGAGGGTAACAGGGAGGTTGAAGGTATTGGAGTTGAGAGACCCAGGCTGTGCAAACTTCAAATGATTACCCAGCCAGGTCCTGGAGACAGACGGGGGGAAAGGACTTTATTTCCGTAAAAAGAAGGTGGGGAATGGGGGATTCTTATAATAAGTAAGAACATGCTGAAAGCAATTGCATATTGCTTTTATTACATCCTTTTCTTATCACTTTTACTATATTGGCCCTCAAAATAATTAATTTGGAAAAGTCTAATCCTTTTAAACATTTTTCACAATGTTGTTCCAAAGTCAACATTGATTAAAAATTCACCACTCCTCTCCTGAGAAGCAGGAAATATTGCTGCATAGTTACTTTTACATACATGACATTTTGTGATTCACTCTAAAGATAATTAGAGGAATGTATAAATGAGTTGCAAGGGAAATTAAGATAGGAAAATCTAGAGTTAGAATTAAAATATCAACATTTATTATATTTTGATTGAGAGAGTTCTATTACTATTTGTCCTTAATTCACAGATGTATTTTGTTAACCACCGTAATTTTTACAAATAAAAAGACAAAGATAAATAGTCATTGTTACAGTTTCAGGGCCTGATTATTTTCCACTGTTTGAAACTTTGCTATTGTGGTGAAACAGATACTTTTTTTGATTCCGATAGTTTTGGAAGAACAGGTGGTGTTTGGTTGCATGGAAAAGTTCTTCAGTGGTGATTTTTGAGATTTTGGTGCACCCATCACCCAAGCAGTGTATAGTGTACCCAATGTGTAGTCTTTTATCCCTCACCCTGCTCCCATACTTCTGCCCAAGTCCCCAGAGTCCATTATATCATTCTTATGCCTTTGTGTCCTCATAGCTTAGCTCCCACTTATAAGTGAGAACATACGATGTTTGGTTTTCCATTCCTGCATTACTTCACTTAGCATAACGGTCTTCAACTCCATCTAGGTTGCTGTGAATGCCATTATTTCATTCCTTTTTATGGCTGAGTAGTATTCCATGGTGGATATATATCATATTTTCTTTATCCACTCGTTGGTTGATGGACCTTTAGGCTGGTTCCATACTTTTGCAATTAAAAATTGTGCTGCTATAAACATGGATTTGCAAGTGTCTTTTTCATATAATAACCTTTTTTTCTTGGTGCCTATAAACATTTCTCAGTGCCTTAGAGCCCTTTAGATGTTATGGGCTCAGTCACCCACTGTGGGCCACTCTCAGGCCTGCCCTCTCCACATAATGTCCCGTGTTCCACAATCCTTACCCTTCTCCCTTACTCCAATCCAAATTTATTTCCCTCTATTTGCTTAGCATCTTGTATCTTGGGGGCCTTGCTACTCAAGGACAATTATATCTTTTTTATTAAATATCTACTAGTGATATGATACAGCACTAGGATATGGAAGCATTCATTCACTCCTAAAACTTCTCATGCTTGGCAATGTGCTAGGCTCAAGGGAAACAAAGATAGATAGTAGCTTGCAGGAGCTTGCTGTCTCCAGCAGTTTATCCCAAAAGGGGTCCCTGAATGATCTCTAGATGAAACTCCTGGACTGCCTATTAAAATTTGCAACTGTTTAGGCTCCAAAAGGGACTTACTCAGTGGGGATACCTTGGAACCCACATTTAGCATGCTTTCATTTTTCTGTGTGTTAAGGATAGAAGGAGATAATTTCTGGATTTAAGGCATCCATTGATCAGTGGTTGAAAACTGGCAGCCATGGGCAGCTTTGACTTGCAGATATATTTTTTATATTAGGAAATATCACATAAATATTTGATTTCTTTCTTCTCTTAAAAAATTAGAAGTTCTAACATCACTAGGTCTGTATATTTTTGACTTAGTGTGAGGATTTTTTTCCCCTTTAGTTGGACAGAGCCTATGCCCTGCTGTTGGTTCAAGTCTTTATCATTCCCTATTGTCTTACACCCTAGCCAGGCTTATTCAGATATCTTATACACATGGTCCTTATAATCATTTAATACAATGACTCTGTGATCTACATTCAAGTGGATAATTAAAAAGAAAAAACTCTGCTAATGCCATCCAATTTCTCTGTGTCTCAGATAATGCTACGCTAAGACTTAATTTCATGCACAACCTCTGAAAGGCCTTAAGAAGTGAGAATTTAAGGTTTGGAGCAGGGAGTGTGGTCAAGATATATGGGGCAAACAGTCACTTTCAGTCTTGTAGCTAGCATGGGTTTGATTTAGACTGTTAAACATGGATAGCAGGAAACAGAATAGAAATCTCTTCATTTCTTTCCAAATCTAGCATTTCTATAGCAATTGTCACCATGGTATCTTGATGTGTTTTGACAGAAGAAATTTCACTTTTTGAAAAATGTGGTAATGAGGGAAAGAGAAACTCCTTCTATACTTAAACTCCAGAGGCATTTCCTTAATAAAGAGCTCAGAAATGTGTGTATATAGAACAGAAATTCCAACATGGTCTGACCCAACTAAGGGCTGTTGGGGTTTCTTAGTGATGAGGCTGTCTATATCCAACTGAAAGAACCCTTGAATGTGAGGGCTGGAAGGTAAATCAAGCCCATAATACTACTTGTGCAGCTCTTTTCAGCATTCAAGCACTTGTCCATATTAATCTCATCTAATCCTCACAACAACCCTGTAAAGTGAGTATTGAAATTATCATTCCCATTTCATAGAGACAAAACTAGACTCACTGAAGATTAGTGACTTGAGTCAGATCACAGAGAAATCATGCTCAAACAGGTCTTCAAGACCAAGTCCCTTGGACTTTCACCATACCAGTGTTTTCTGAGTTTTCCTATTCAGACTTCTGTGGAGCATGAGAATACCATTTACATAGACTACCAGATGAGCGGCACCCCCTGGAGTTGTGTAGTGTGGCTGATTCCGGGCCGGGCCCTGCAACATTGTTGGAAAATGTTTGCATGTAGGGTACACCACGGGCATAAATAAAACATGGGACAAGCTTTGCACAATTCATGATGGGCTGGCTGTGAATCTCCTTTTTCTCAGACCCATTACAGCTTGTTCAACATCAAGTGAATGAGATGGTACAGAAATGACCTTGAATCTTGTAGGACTGAATGATTATGTCCTCCTAATATTCATATGTGAAGCCCTTACCCTGGATGTAATGATATTTGGAGAAGCCTTTGAGAAGTAACTAGAGTTAGATTAGGTTGTGAAGGTGGAGTCCTTATGGTTCTACTATTAGTGGGTGGCAGAAGAGAAAAATCTTTCTCTCTGCACATGCACTGAGGAAAGGCCATGTGAGCATGCAGCAGGAAGCTGGCCATCTATAAGCTAGGAAGAGGGCTCTCACCAGGAACCATATGTGCCAGCATCTTGATTTTGGACTTCCGTTGGATTTTTTAAAAACCTCTAACTTAATACTGCAGCGTTTCTTTTTACCTGATGGCTTGTGTTTCACAGCAGCTTTTAAAGCCTGCTTGTGCAACTTAGCTGCATACTGTATTCTAGCTATGAAAAAAAAAAGTAAATCTTACTTCAATTTTTGCCAGTTGTTTCTGTGTTAAAAAAAAAATCACACTTCTGCTGGGCAGGATTTAGAGGTTTATTATCAGTCTATGTGTAAAGTTCAAAGCAAACTCAATTTTGCTTAAGGGAACATTGTAAAGTAACAATTCTTGGTATTTCATGTATCTTATGATCCATTTCAAACCATAGAGAATTACACCTTTGTGTGTCGCTGTTTCAAGAGACAAATTTGAACAACTAAAACATCTTTAAAATGAAACAAGTTTAAGAAGTCTCAAATAAAACTTGAATTTTCTGTATATACTCCTGTCAAATGAAGTAGTTTCCTGTACACCTCTTCTCTTGCAAACTGGTCTTGTATTTCCTTTCATTTGACGTAGATCTGCTATGAGACCTAGAGAAGGATCAGGACAGCTTGTGATTTCTCTCCCAAGACAGTGGTCTCTCTCTTCTTCTGTTTCTAGAAAGGAACCTGCTCCAGCTGTGAGAGAAGCTTCTCCTTCTTGGAGATCTGTGGTGAGGTGGCCAACTCCTTCTATGATAATCATCTCGAGGGTGAGGACCCCAAGAGGGAGGTGGGCCACGATTTCTACTTCTTACTTTTCTTTTTTTTTTTTTTTTTTTTCATTTGACAGTTCCACTCCTTTTTTTTTTTTTCTTTTTTTTTAGATGGAATCTCGGTCTGTCGCCCAGGCTGGAGTGCAGTGATGCCATATCTTCTCACTGTAACCTCCACCTTCCCAGTTCAAGCGATTCTTGTGCCTCAGCCTCCCAAGTAGCTGGGATTACAGGTGCCATGCCTGCCACCACATCTAGCTAATTTTTGTATTTTTTAAAAATAGAGACAGGGTTACACCATGTTGGCCAGGCTGGTCTTGAACTCCTGGCCTCAGGTGATCTGCCCACCTTGCCTCCTAAAGTGTTGGGATTCCAGGCGTGAGCCACTGTGCCATGCCAGTTCCCCTCCGACATGGTAGTCACAGAGTGTTCTTCCATTGAGCTGTCAGACAGCATCAGCTGCATCTCGGGGCTCTCCAAATTCAAGAAAAGCAACCCACACACTTCAGAGTGGTCTGTAGTAGCCTAAAGCCTGTTCCAATTTGGTCTTTTTGCCATTGTTTCAAAGACTACCTATATAAACTTTACTGTCCAATGGACAGGAACCATGATGTGTTTCCAGATCTAGGGAAAGGGTTCCCACAGCCTGGGTGCTTACCAGTACTGGTCCATGGCCTGTTAGGAACTGGGCAGCACAGCAGGAGGTGAGTGGCCATCAAGCAAGCAAGCATTACCACCTGAGCTCCGCTTCCTGTCAGATCAGCCACAGTATTAGATTCTCATAGGAGTACCAACCCTATTGTGAACTGAGCATGCAAGGGATCTAGGTTGCGGGCTTCTTATGAGATGCTAACTAATGCCTGATAATCCAAGGTGAAAGAGTTTCATCCATGAAACCATCCCCCACCCACCCCTGTGAACAACTGTCTTCCATAAAACTGGTTCCTGGTGCCAAAAAGGTTGGTGACTGTAGATTTAGGGTAAAAATGTACAGGCTCAAATCTACACCCTCCGATTCATCTTCCCACTTCCCTCTGCCCCAGCACCCACTGATGCTCTCACTCACCCAGCAGTCCACAAAATGGCAGTGACTTTCCAATTTATATGAGTCATCCTGAGTTTCTCTATTAAGACTATGGTAAGCACGTATTGAGAGTTTTAATATTTAATCTAAAATCATGGAATATTTGGTTTAAAATTAAAAATTTATACAAATATCCTTGTTGGGACTGTTGTGTAGTTGTAGAATCATTTTTATTAATTCAACAAGTTACTTGTTTCTGAAACTCCATGTGTATTAGAGTGATTGTTAATTATTTAATAGGTATATGAAGAGCATGAAAATGGTAATAAGAGCCAAAACTTACTGGGGGCCAGGCGCTATTCTAAGTGCTTTAAATGAGTTAATGTAATCCTCTCAACAACCCTGTAGAGATAAGAGCCATTATGATTACCACTTAACCGAAGAGATAACTGAGACGTAATACTTGTCCAAGGTCACACAGCTAGAAAGAGGTTTTAATAATGTAACCTCGAATTTAACCACTACTCTAGAGCATGCAACCTGAGTTGTATTTGTTTGGAGGCCAGAGCATTTAGTGATCTTCTAAGCTCTCTCTTACTTAGCATACCCTAATTGGCCTATCACATCTAAATTTTAATCTCTCAAAACAATTTAAGTAATATATTTAATATGTACATTTTATAAACATGAAATTTTTTTAAACATAAACTTTTTTAAAAATTAAAATTAAATATTTTCATGTTTACTAACCTCTCGTAGTGAGCATTTATTTCAATTATAACTTAAGGCAACAGGCCATAAGAGACCTTGTAGTACCTGGGACTGTGTCATAGTAGAAGTCACAGATATGTTTAAATCTTGATATGGTCGCAGATATCTCAAAATATAATTTACAATCATGGGGTCTGGTGCAGTGGCTCACGTCTGTAATCCCAGCACTCTGGGAGGCTGTGGCAGGCAAATCACTTGAAGTCAGGAGTTCAAGACCAGCCCGGTCAACAAGATGAAACCCCCCTCTACTAAAAATCCAGAAATCAGCTGGGCATGGTGGCAGGAACCTTTAGTTCCAGCTACTTGGGAGGCTGAATGGGAAAACTGCTTAAACCCAGAAGCTGAGGTTGCAGTGAGCTGAGATCACTCCACTGCACTACAGTCTGGACAACAAAGTGAGACTCTGTCTCAAAAAAAAAAAATTACAAATATGGAAACTTCAAAATTATATTAATTATGGAGTTCACCACTATATCTTATTTACTGTGCTAATAAAGAAACACTTCCATTACTACATTATAAATTTGTTTTTTATATGCAGAATTTTGATCACTGGATTTTAATATAATTGTTTCCTTTAAGAGCTTATGTGTTTTATTTTATGTATTTAAAACCTTTTTCTGAGAAGAAATCCATAGGCTTCACTGCAATGTCAAAGGGGCTCATGAGAGAAGGTAAGAAAGGAGTAATATTTACTTGATCCATTTAGTCATCTATCTTTCCATCTATCCACATATCTCTTCCATTCAATTAATCTGAATAAACATTTCTTGATTGCTTGTTATGTGTTGGGTTCAGTGTCAGATATTACAAGTGTAGAGTTAATGTTCTTACAGACCCACCAATCTTCATTTGACCTTAAAGTTCAGAAAATCTGCCAAAAGTTTTCAGAATGTACTAGAATCTTCACATTTGAGATGGTTTTTTTCTATATGTATTA
Source organism: Homo sapiens (assembly GCF_000001405.40). Taxonomy (NCBI): domain Eukaryota; kingdom Metazoa; phylum Chordata; class Mammalia; order Primates; family Hominidae; genus Homo; species Homo sapiens. The sequence continues at coordinate 117,880,739 of NC_000007.14, read as the reverse complement.
TGTATTATATTTCATGAATGCAATGTGATCCTTTATTGCCAGCCTGGTTTTTCATGTCAACCACAGATGAGGTAGCAGATTCGTGCCTGGGCTCTATTTGTCAATGGCAAATAGAGTCTAAGCTAGGTTCACCCCACTCCCAGGATACAAAAACAAATAATACAGTCCTGTTTATAATCCAATTAGGCAAGGAAACATTAGGAAGTTTTGTTATAAACACTCTCTAAAAGTAAGTGTGGTTTTCAGTTCTGGTTATGACAGAGAAGCTAGTATTGGGCCAACTCTCCTGCTGAAACAAAAAAGTGGAACAACATATATAAAACAACTGTTAAAAGGCATTGGCAAGCCATGAGCACAGACAGGACTTTAGAAGCTATGATTCCCTCTTTTTTTTTTTTTTTTTTTTTTTTTTTTTTGAGACAGAGTCTCGCTCTGTTGCCCAGGCTGGAGAGCAATGGTGTGATCTCGGCTTACTGCAACCTCCGCTTCCCGGGTTCAAGTGATTCTCGTGTCTCAGCCTTCCAAGTAGCTGGGATTACAGGCGCCCTCCACCATGCCTGGCTAATTTTTTGTATTTTTAGTAGATGGAGGATTTCGCCATGTTGGCCAGGCTGGTTTCAAACTCCTGACCTCAGGTGATCCACCTGCATCAGCCTCCCAAAGTGCTGGGATTACAGGTGTGAGCCACCGCGCCTGGCACTAAAAGCTATGGTTCTTGAGGGAAGAGCTAGGATGGGAATGGGGCAGTTGGGGAATAAAGATGACTTTTACTGGGCTAAGGAGATAGGGCTCAGGCCTTGGTAATTGCCCAGGAGTCTCGGACTTGAAGGAGAAAGCTCCAGAGGAGGAAGACACTTCAGAAAAAGAGCCCAAAAAGCATGCATGCAATTTCCTCTCAATATTAGGCAGAATTCTAAGCTGGGCCTGTGTGGGATGAGACTCTAAGAAAACCGGCAGAAAACAGCCTCTCGGTGACTTAGGAGCTGAGCAAAAATTTCATAAACAGGACACAAAAAACACTAACAATACAAGATAAAGATAAGTTGGATAACATTAAAATTAAGAACTTATGTTCTGATTACAAGTTCATGAAAATATTTTTCTTCTAGGAGCTTTGTTTCTTTACTGCTTATGTTTAAATCTACAATTCTGGGCCAGGCACAATGGTTCATACCTGTAATCCCAGAACTTTGGGAATCTGAGATGGAATGATGGCTTCAGCCCAGGAGTTTGAGATCAGCCTGGGCAACATAGTAAGACCCTGTCTCAACCAAAAGAAAAAAGAAAAAAAAATTATCCAAGTATGGTGGCACACACCTGTGGTCCTAGCTATTCAGGAGGCTGAGGTAGGAGGGTCTCTTTAGCCCGGGAGGTTGAGGCTGCAGTGAGCCATAGTCACATCACTGCACTCCAGCCTAGGTAGCAGAGCAAGACCTTCTCTTAAATAAATAAAAATAAAAATAAAATAAAAACACAAAACTGGCTGGGCACAGGGGCTCACACCTGTAATCCCAGCACTTTGGGGGGCTGGGGCGGGCAGATCACCTGAGGTCAGGAGCTCGAGAGCAGCCTGGCCAACATGTGGAACCCCATCTCTACTAAAAATACAAAAAATTAGCTGAGTATGGTGGCAGATGCCTGTAATCCCAGCTACTCAGGAGGCTGAGGCAGGAGAATCACTTGAACCTGGGAGGCAGAGGTTGCAGTGAGCTGAGATCGTGCCATTGCACTCTATCCTGGGCAACACGAGTGAGATCCGTCTCAAAAAAAAAAACCCACAAAACTATGATTCTGGTTATGTTTTCTTCTATAGGTCTAGAAATGTTTCTGTACAGAAAATAGAACAATGCAATGTGGTATTTCAATATGGGGTGCCTTTACCCACTATTCAAAGTCAGGTAGTGTTTAGCAGGTTCAGTTCAATTCCTAATCTGCTGCCACCTCAAATTTTAAAGTCTGGGAGTGGGGTTCCCCATCACCATTCTAACGGCATCCATGGCCACATTGGGTGAGGATGGGGGGCTGGTCAAGGCAGAAAAGTGTCAAGCAAATGTGTTTTGTGAATCAGATGGCATGGTGTCCTTTGGATGATCAATTGTCGGGCGGTGGAGGCTGCAAGCCAACAAAGTGAGGTCCTTAACAGATGTCAAAGGGAGGAAAAAGTAGTGGTAAAATACATCCCAACTGAACTGATTCTTAATAAAGATGTTAATGCTGAAACAGATAGTGAGTGAGGTTGTCAAGATGATTATGATAGTAATGACCAGTATGTGGCTATTTATCTTTTGCCATAAGAAAAAAAAAATATTTATTGTATTGCTAGCATAAAACATTTTCAGTAGTTAAATTTTTCTTTAATTGCCAGAATAAAACATTTCAAGCTGCTTAAACCTTAATGATGGTGTGTTAGAAGTATTTTTCCTTATTATTCTACAAGTAACTTCACCTTCCCCAGAATGAAAATAGCAATACCAACGCATTTTTTTCCCTTCAGTTCTTGAATCAAGTGAAATAAATTAATCCTTCAAGTCTAGCCATGACATTGTTTTATAAATATTATAAATTAAATTATATTGTATACTTATTGGTTAATTGAACAGCCCCTACTATATATATTTTTATATTTTCAAATAATGTCATCACATTTCCAGGTGATTTTTAAATAACCCCAACTAATTTGGATTAATAAAAAAAGTCTTGATGGACAAAAAAAAACAGCCACAAACTATTGTCATCAAGTGAGATTTGAGGCAGGGTAAGGTGAAATTTACATCTCAAAAATTCCAAATGTATTTGAAACTCTATTAATTTGGTATATGACAATTGATTATGATTGTCTAGGAAGTGTTAATGTATTGGTTTATTTCACAATTTGACACAGGAGAGTTACACATGTATAGCTTTTCTCCTGCTTTTTGTATCCTAAGTAAATCCTCACTGAGTCAATCATAAATGCCATATGCATATTTATTAAAATCAAAAGATAACATCTTTAGTGTTCTTATTAATTCTTCGAACACTAAATTTCCTTTTGTGTTGAACAGTGCATATCCCCAAGTGAAAGAAAAATCTCAGCTGTGGTTTTGCAGCTGGATCCACACTTCTAATCAGAGGAGAAAAGGGCCTGATCTCACAACATATTTATATAGTTTTTAAACTTTCTAAGATAAATGAAGCTCCACTATGAGTAATGCCTAATGGTATAAACACCCCTGCTTTAATGATTGCCTAGTAACTATATACTGCAGGCTTGTGAGTTTGCTAAAGAGGCTGAATAAACAGAAATATTCAGGTCCATTTCCAATTCAGGTGGATAAGGGGCAAGAGCAGGCCAGATTTTTTTTTTTGTTAAAATTGTTTTTCCATAATGGTATTGCACTAAAACATCTTTCTGCACTAAAATTTACTCTTGTAAATGACTTCTGCAGATAAGCATCCAAACCAACAACTAATGATTTAAAATGTAAAAACCATGCAAGAGAATGGAACCAACACTACTTCATTGTTTGGTATTAGCTGGTTTCTGTTCTTAGAGTGACTGTACCGGGGGATGATTTTCTTAATGTGGCTCTAACCTTGCAGTCAAATCTTATATTTGTACATTATTTCAGCAATTGAATGAACAGATACAGTTCCCAGTTAAAGGTTGTATTAAAAGGGGCTGGGAGTGATTATGATAATTATTTATGTTTCGCTTTGGCTTGCTTCCTACATAGCAGATTTAATTCCCTAATTATGTTTTGCTTTAGCTTAGGTAAAATTAGCTTGCATTCCTTTGGCACACACCAACTGCAGTTGGTGGAGGAGGCCTTCCAAAACCATAGATTGTTGACAAGAGTGGCTAACTAGATTAGAATTAAATTTACTGAGTAAAATCCACAAAAAGCCTGAGGCACATGTAGCTAATGACATGTGCTATGAGGGAATGTAGTTAGGTCATAGGAAAACTTGTTTCTGGCAATGGACACTCAGAGCTCATCTGCGGAGTTCCTGACGTCAAGATTTGGGGCTTCCTAGGTTGGTCACCATGCTGCAGACAGGGACAAGCATGGTCTGCAATATTTAAATTGTATAACTATAGGCTTGAGGATACAGTCAGAAATGATTTGCTACTCAATAATTTTGTCATTTGGCAATACTAAGACATGATGACATATGGTTTGCTCTTTGGAATTAACATAAATGTTGTCATTTGACTGAAATAAATAATTCTCTTACTCCATGACGGAAAGAGTTTTAGGTTCTGTGTATATTCCTTTATCTTTTCACATGGAAGGAAGCATCCTGTTGTATCATATGTATAACTCTGGGTTTTTGGTTTAGTGGGTTGGAGGATATGGCTGATGAAGCCAAGGACATGGTTTAATCAGAAAACCACTTGGCTCCCAAACATCTGTCTGCATTCCCACCTTTAAGAACTCATTTCCCTGGTCATTTCACCCTTAGAGAGTGTGCTATAGCTCAACACAAATACCTCTATTCCAGGGTTTGGAAAATAATTACCCTCAAATTCTTTAGTCAGTGGGTCATCAGCATCGTTATGATCCAAAAAAAGGATGTAAATAATAGTTTTCTCTATTTGCAATATATTCAGTATTACTCCTTCCATTTTAATGCCAAAAGGAATTTACTGATTAAGACTCATGATTCATTTTTGTTGTAGGGATTTATTTTCCTCCTGTTTATACTTCTATCTTTCTCCTTTTTTACCCTGCCTTTCAGTAATTTTCACTGTAACCCTGGGATATCTTTTATTTTTATTATTAATTATTATTATTATTTAGCTGTTTAATGAGGCTTCAAAAGATTTAATTTCTGGAGCCATCAAGTCAATACCCTTTCACATCTATTTGCTTTGACTGTAATAGAGCCTGCCTTTGTGCAAAGAAAGTCTTAGAAAGAGTTAATTTGCAATAGTAGCAGAGACTAATTCTCAAGAGAGAATTGAAACCAGCAAGTGTCCTCCTGGTGGAGAAGCAGCCCCAGGCCAGGCTACTAGTGAGGAAGTTAACTCCTAGTGTGCCACTTCTGTGCAGTAGGTGAGATCCTCAGCCAACCTTCAACAGTGCTGGTTTTAAGGTGGAAACAGAATGCTGTCAATTCTCCTTCCCAGGTACTGGATTTTGGTGGTTAGAGAATGTGGTGTCCTGTGATTTTTATCACTGTTTTATTTATTTTTTTTCCATTTCACAAAAACAAACAAAAAATGATGGGTGGGGGTTTGCGGTGGGGGGGGGGGGTGGGCAAGGACTGATTTCCTTGTAACATGATCCTGCTTTAATTGTATTTAGGTGAATACAAGCTAATTTTTTCCCAGTGATTTTTTTTTAAAAATTGGGCTGCATGTATAAAAGGGATTTGCTTCCCAGAGATGGTGTCATTTCATATTTCTAACTCTTAACCCTGAGTAAAACTTATTATTATTATTTTTTCCAGAAGTTTGCCAGTTAATTGCTTGAGAAGTATTCAACATCAGAATCAAGAAAATTGATTGCCTTGCAATGTGTGGAAGTGCATTTTGAAAAGAACAAGGAATGCCCTTGGACTTTAAATTTTTACTATCAGTTTGACATCTAACTTTTACTGTCCAGTGGTTTTCTTTAATCTTAAAGAAATCTAGTTATTCTAATATTGAGCAGTTTTAGAGAGTATACTTAATAAAGGAAAGTGGTATAATGAACAGGGATGGATATTAAAGGGATAAGTGAGGGAGTAACTATCAGAGCCAATATAAATAAATAAATAAATAAATAAATAAGTACCTGTACTCACAGGATAACCTGGAGATGATTTCTAAGCCTCTGACTTTTAGCCCCAGAGTTCTAGGTAAAGTTCTTTCTTGACCTCTCTTCTGGGAGGGAACTTTTCACAGTTTATTAATCAATCCCTTTCAGGGTCTTTGCAGAAAAGATTTTCTCTGCCCTGGTTTGTGTCATATTTGGGTCTAATTTGGAAAGTGGAGCAATTAAAGAGTCAAAACCTTTCATTAGGAGCCTGCCATTAAAAAAAGAAGAAAGAAAGAAAGAAAGAAAAAAGGAAAAAAAAAAAAAAAGCTTTGATCTGTAACCCTTGGACTGAACATTCTAGTCATTCATCTTCCAAAATTTCAAGTGCAAGATTTGGTTGTGGTTTGATTTTACGTCTTTGAGACACAGCTTGAATGTCTCAATTTGATTTTATGCATTCGACACATTTTTAGGGATCTGGTGATTTGGGAAGGGCTGTACCATATGGTCTTGGTGAGGTGATAGATTTTCACATTCTGGAAATTGGCAGCAAAGGGTAGGAACTGAATTAGATGTGGAAAGGGAAGATTAAGCGTTTGGGCCTAATTCACTCATCTCATGAAAAATCTTCTGAGACGTGTAATTCCCATAAAATCTATTTTTACAAATACGGCTTTTGTTTGATTGTTTTTGGTGTATATGTACACGTGTCCTCACACGTAGGGAGTAATTTTTTTAAATTCTCTCAAAAGTAGAGGACATGACATTTAGCTTTTAAAGCTATGACATTTAACACTTCTCAGTTAGTCCTTCAGGAGAGATCTCAGACTTAGGGGGGTCACAGAATATAAAACAGCCCGCTACACATTCCCTGAAAAGGAGATTGTATAGAAAGTTAGGAGCTGAGGGGCTGGTGCCACGTTCTAAAAGAAAACAGGACAGACAAATCGTTTTCATCTGAGAATTGTTTTTGGAGAAACACTAGAGTCAACGATAGAATAAATCAGAGCCAGGTGTGTATATATATAGGGAGGATAAAAACACCCTGGCGGCAATGAAATTTAAGAAAGAGCAATTTAAGAAGAAAGGGGTGCCCTGTGTGATTCCTCGCGGTGGGATAGAGGGAGCTGAAGTGTAGGATTTTCCCTGATCTTTCAGAGAATTCAGATTCAGGAGGCCTGACATTTAATCTGGTCTGTGCACGGATTTCTCCGGCTTGGTTGGGGTTCTGCGGAATGCAACGCTCCTCGGGCGCTTTCTGCCTTCACCTCTTCCGTGGTCTTTGATCCCCAGTCCCCGCGCAGGGCCGCAGCGGAGCCAGGTCGTGCGCCCATTTCTCGCACCTCCACGAGCCCGCGGCTGGCGCCACCGGGCGCGGGACGCGGGGCGCGGGGCGGGACCGAGGCGGGGCGCTCCGGCGCGCAGCGGGTTAAGCGGCGAGGGCGGTGGCGAGGGGCGGAGGGAGTGCCGCGGCTCCCGGCTCCCGGCTCCAGGCGCCCGCGTCCCGGACAGCAGCGGGTTAAGTGCCGCCCGCGCGGAGACGGCTGAGTCCGGAGCCGCGGCTCCGAGCTCGCATTCGGATCCGCTAGAGCAGGAAGATGGCGACGGACGGCGCGAGCTGCGAGCCCGACTTGTCCCGGGCCCCGGAGGACGCGGCGGGGGCCGCGGCGGAGGCGGCGGTAACCGAGTTCCCGGGGCGGGCGCGGGGCTAGTGTAGACGCGGGCCGGGGGCGGCGCCGGGGTCCCAGCCGGACCCGACTTCGCACCCCCGGGGCGTTCCGTAAGCCCGGGACTCTCCGGTGCCCCTTCATCGGGGCCCCCCTTCCTCGGGATGCCCACACGGCGGAGGCCGCGGGGGGGAGCGGAGCGGCCACCCTGGCTGGGGATCCCTCCTGTCCCTTCCGCGCCCCACGGGAAGCGGCCCCGGGTCGCCCGGTTCTCCCAGCTCCCTGTCTGCGTCCAGTGCGACCCCTATGCCCACTCCCTCCGCTGCGGTCGCTTCTGGCCGGGGGAGAAGGCTGGGACGTGTTTCCTGGCGAATTTGACCCCCCATTGTTCACCTCTCGCTGCGCGCGTGGTTGCCAGCGCGTGTCTCGGGGGTGCCTGGTACCGCTCAGCGGACCCGGGAGAGCAGCTTGGGGGAGGTGGGCCATCGCCCAGCAGGTGTGGGGATGCCCATTGTGTGCATCTGGTCCTGTGCCTTCGGGAGGCCCACTGGGAGAGGGCCGTGTCCAGATGTGGGCGCTGCTGCCGCTGAGGCCAGCGCTTTAGGTCCTAGCAGCCTGCTGCCCCATTACTTGGTGGTAGTGATTGGGGTGGGGTGGATGGATTGGTTCTTCCCGAGACGATGCTCAGGAGAGGTGGAGGTTCTGCACCTGGTTTCAAGACATTGTTCTCCTTCTCTGGAGTCTAGAGGCCGAATGCGCTACCATTCTTGACTGGTCCTTACTTTCACCCCCTTAATATTCCGGTGTAGAGACTCGCTGGTGGTTTCCAGCCTCTACTTTGGGGAAGGGCTGGACCCACATTTCCTGGGTGGAAAAGGTTCTCGGTGTTTGGGAAGCAGCTTCGCAGGAGCTGCAAGGAGCTGCAGAGAAAGGCAGATCTGGGAGCGCCTCCCACTCTTGGCCAGATCTGGCTGCTCCCGCCGAAGGATGGGGTGGGATGGAGCGAGCGGGGCGTGGACGCCCCCCTCTTCCTATCAAGACCTGAGCAGAATCAGTGCAGGAGAGGGCAGGGCCGGGCGTAAACAGCGGGGGCCGCTTTAACTTCCTCCCACCCTCTGGAGGTAGGGCTTTCTGGAGAGGGAGAGGAGAGATGTGGAGGAAGGTACTTGGGGTGAGAGGAGCTGAGCCTGGCAATGGAAGGAGAAACGGGGAGGAGGACTGCTAATTTCCACTTGTAAAACTGGCAAGTTTTGATTTGAACTTTTGGGAAAATTGAGTTTCCATTCTTTGCATAGAAAATGAGAACTTTAAGATTTCAAACGAAACCTGCCCACTTATGTGAATCAGCTCCCCTCTGTGGGGCACAGTAAGGAAACTAGCTATTGAGACAAGGCTCTCTGGCAAGTGGAAATGATTTGGTGCCTTCATCCCCAAAAGGTGGGAAGGGGAAGGACGAGGAAAAAGAAAGAGGGTGTGTGTGTGTGTGTGTGTGTGTGTGTGTGAAGGGGAAGGACGAAAAAGAAAGAGGGTGTGTGTGTGTGTGTGTGTGTGTGGTGTGTTTCTTGTTCCCCAGAAAGGTTGAATTTGTTTACTTAATCCACTCAGAATGGGTTTCTGTTACCCTCAATATTTTAATCACCTGACAATTAACCCAAACACAAACATCTGACTGATGGTCTGTAGAGCTGATATATAGTTTTGTTTGGTTAGATCGTAAACAAAACCCAGGACGCCAGGCAGATTTCTGTGTTAACAAGGTCAGTGTTCCCTCTCTTCTGTTTAAAATGTTCAAGTCTGATTTTCACTGCTGATAGTTGGGGATTTGATAATTTCACCCTTGTTAATGGGCAGAGCCATGGAAAATCTGCGAAAGTGAACCTTCTTTGCTATTTCCATAGAATCCTTTAGGGTTGCGAGATGCAATAAGGATTCTTCATCTAGTAGTTTAAAAACCAGTAATAATTTCTGAATTTTTAGTAAAATTTTGATGATGGCTTTTGTAGTAAATTGGGCCTTTTATTTTAGTTCTCCAAATAGTTTTGACTTAATAAGGCATGGTTCTCTCATATCAGCCGCTTGACCTATAGACTGATTTTTAAGTGAAAGGAAAGCTAGTGTAGAGGAGTGATATGTGTCATCACAATTGCTCCTTAAAAATCAGAGGCGTTTTATGCATTTTGGGTTCTTGTTGACTGATATTTTTTATTTTAGTGAACAATTCACTTTGCATTTTGGAGATTTGTTGACTTTCAAATTGGTTTACATATCGTGCATTTTTATGTATACATTTGGCAGTAAGGAGTCAATGGAAGCTCTAAAGCAGTAGGCTATTTTTGAAAGTGAGTGTTTTCACTAAGCTTTGACTATTTAGATTGTTGCTTAGAAACAAGCTTAATTTATAGTTTTCAGTTTAATATCATTTTTAGTGGAATGTTTTAAATTTAGTTTGTGATCCTCATTCTTAGCTGTTTAAATCCTGAAAGCATCCCAAGTTTAAGGCTGGGTAACAGCTACATTATTCAATAGGATCATATTAATAGTCTTTGCCGTGAACCGTGCCGGGAAACCTGGGCTATTTTCAGTGCCTTAGCCAAATGTGATGACTTTTATAGGCCATATTGCTGTTTCCACTCTGAAAATAACTCCTAATGGATAAGGCAGTATGGAAAACGAAATCTTCATGCTTTTTATTGTCACCAAAGAATTTTGGAATGAAAGGAAAATGGAGATCTTTTTAGAGCTATATTTGGGAAGCCAACCAACATTCTTGTCATTCTGAGCTTTTCTGGAGCAGCTAATAGACAAGAAGTAGGTATAAAATTTGTTGTCATGGTGGCAGTGACAAAGAAAAACTTGGACAATGATTTAAAATGCACGACAGTGATGTTAAACAAATTAACAGCTGAACTTGAAATTTTTGTTTTCCAGGTGACAGTATTGAATGTAAATGCACTGAAAAGAACTTTCGTAGCCAATTGCGCTAAGCGTTTTTTTAAACTAAATTATAGTTACGTGGCAGCTATAGAATGTTGAAAGTGTTGCAGCTTAATTTTTAAATAGGAAATAACGTAGATTTAACACACATTACTGAACACTTACTGAGATACAGGCATCATGAGTATGATCTTTGCTACCCTAAAGTAATACATTCCAGTGATAGAAACTGACATACGCCAAGGAATCAAATTGGGGATGATGGTGTCATGAGAGGCAAAAATGATTTTGCATTAGAAGTTTGGAGAGGAACAGTCATAGAGAGGGTCCCTAGTGGATGGATCTAGAAACTTCCATAGAAGGATGACATTTGAAGTAGTCCTTGAGACTGAAGGAGGATTTGGACCGGCACTGCAAGAAGGAGTGTGCAAATGTGGTCATATCCTAGGGAGCCATATGCGAAGGGTTTTCAGTGATGAGCATAGAGGTTCCCATTCTGGTCTCAGCTATATGGTTCAGAAAAATAGCTTGGAAGTTGAGGAAATTGACTGGAATATTTTTCCAAAGATGAGAATATAACTGTTTTCAGTGTCCTGCTTTTCACTCTTTTTTTTTTCTTCTTAAATAATAGGTTGTAGATTTCTGTTTGCCCCAGTTTTTGAACTTTATTATTATTGTCGTTGCTGTCATTGTTATTGTATTTCTCACAGCAGCAATTTTGTTTAGAGAACATTTGTCCTCTCAGTGATTGAATCCATGCCTGGGCTAGATTACCAGTTGGTTCTATCCTTGTGTGTTTCTCATAACTTTATGAGGTGAGAAAATGTTTCACAGCCTTGGTACTTAGACATTTACAAATATCTGCTGTTGATCATGTGGACAGGAAGGCTGTGGCTGGGAGAAAGCAGCCTCCTCCTCCGAGGAGAGTTGTGTGAAGTTTGTAAAAGAAAGCAAAGGTGGTTAGCACAATGCCAGGCACATGGTAAGTGTTCCACAAATATTTACTGAATGAAGAAAATGAAAAGAAGCTCACCAAGAAGCTGTGTCATAAAATTTAATGTTGATTGGCTAATTAGAAAACTCACTTTGTGTGTTACCAGCTATCTTATAGTGAAATTATTGGCCTGTGACTTGTAATAATTAATGTTATAGATATTATAGATCTTGATCCAAAAAGATAACCCTAATTCTTTTAAAATTTTCATCTTAATACTGCCGCTTTCCAAGCTGCTTTTCTCAATGACTTCTTAGATTCTTTGCAGGGGTTTTTTAAAAGTTTAATTTCCAACACTATTAGTTTTCTCTTTAGATTCTCGCTTTTCAAAATGATGATTGAGGCTGCACCTCTACCATCCTGCATCCTTCCAATAATAAGAGTCAAGGCCACATCACCCATTGGGGTGTGGAGGAGAGGATGATTGATAGGGGGTTAAGAGAAATGTGGGGAAGTTTGGAAACAGGAAAGGGGAATAAAAGGAAAGAATGGGCAGGAAAAAAGGAGTTTAGGCAAGGCTTTAGAATAGTCTGCAATTTCACAGAAATGTGGGACTGGAATTTCAACTTTGAATGTGCCTAGGAAGGATGGAGCAGTATCCCCCAACTTCATTTACTTTGCTACCCAGGCCTGTCTGAGTATTGCTTTAGAAGGATACTTTATTTGAACATACTCGATTACATTATTCTCTGTTGGTGCTCCTTTGCAAAGCTTATGTAACATGGAAAAAGATTTGTCTTTTCTGTTGGTAGTTAGGTAAGGAATCAGAGGACAGGTACGAGAGACGATGATGATGACATCGATATTGAAAGATTTTTAAAATTTTAATGTTTTAAATAACTTACACAAATAATGAGATCATATTATTAATGCCGTGTACAGCATGATGCCTTCCATATAGAAATCCTGATTTTAGAGTAGGGGGAGATACTCTCTTTAAATAAATTGTTAGTAACCAACTAATACATTGGGGATCAGTTTAAAAGGTTATAGTAAATGTAGAGTAGTCGAGGTAACATTGCTGTGTAGAGTGAGTACTTGTTTGCAGATGATTTGGTTTTGACATTTTTATATTTCATTGAAAAGACAAGATGGTTCCAAAGGCCTGCGTCTTCATCTGGCCCAGCCTTTTCATTTGAAAATCAGCGTGCAGATATTTGCCACCTACAGATAATCAAGACTATTCTTTAATGCATTGTAAGCTTCTTAAAGGATGGTTATTACATTTGAATGTCTGCTTGCCTGTGGAGCTGATCCATGTCCCATGTCGGGCTGATGTCACATCGAAAAACTGAGTTAGGGTGAAAATAGATGTTTGTTTTATTTGAGATGTAGTCCTTTTTTTCCCTAAGGAGGAAATAGAGACTGCGGGGAGATCTGAAAGGAGGAAAAGGGAGGTAGCTGAGCTTAATTATCAGAGGCTGTCACCCCTGAGCCACTTTTCTGCCATTCTTTCCAGCTTTCTCAGCTAAAATTAGTTACATCCATTACCAGGTTTCCTTCCTGACATTGTTTCCTTGTCAGTATTACCTCCTTTCAATACACTGAGTTTCTTGTCTTGCATCAAAGACCCCAGACAGTGTGGTTGATTTGAGGTGCATGACCTTGGAGAGCTGACACCAAATAGATCTCATGTTCTCGTACTATATGTTGTTTTAAAGTGGAACATCAAGCAGCTTCCCTAGTTTAGGTTACTCTAAATGATTTTTGAAACACTGAGAGAATCATCTAATACAGTTACTTAGTTCCCCCTAGAGTGGGCTGAAACATTGTATCTTAGTAAGATGGATGTACCTGAGACATCCTTTGCACACTTTCTGTTTTCATACTGTGTGCAGTAGACATTTTATACCCAAAGTGTATATGGTGGGGTGGGGGCAGGGGGAGCATGTTGGATAAAATAAGTGAAGAAGTAATGTTCTTACTGTCCTGACACATCTAGTAGGAGTGAGAAAATAGAGTTAATAGAGATAATAAGTTTACTATGAGGAAATGCACAAGGCCGGACATGATTAACTGCCAAGTGAAGTAATAGAGCAGATTTTAAGACTGAATGGCGAGAACAAGAGATTTCTGGAGTCTGGAAAGACATTCAAAAGTGGGTTTGAGCTATGTGCTGAAGAAAGATAGTACCCAGATGAATCAGAGGAGAATGGAGGATTAGGAAGAGCAGCATCAGAGGTATGCAACCCCATCACAAAAATTCTTTCCTCCTTGTAGAGAGAGAAATCGGGAAGATAATCTCAAGGCAAGAAGTAACTTCAGAGATTTGAAAATACTTTGAGATCTTGAGAAGTATGTACTTTTCTTCATGAAAACCCTTACAATTAGCTGAATTCTTAATATAGTGCATGTTCTTATGTACCTAGAGAGGTGAATTTAATATTTTGCATGTCAGTGATACAGCCTTTGCATTGTGATGGTGAACTTTCAAGTTGATTTCATTGCTTTTCCTTTTTGATAGCCCTTATTCATCCCCAAAGCATAAATCTTGCTTACATAGAAAGTTCTAAATGCATTATTATTGGCATGCACTATTAAACTGGGAGGAAAATACATTTCTCTAACTTCTGAGCAAAGAGGCAAAATCAGTTTTCCTCAAGTACCTCACAAACGCTTTTAGGCTCAGGAAATGACCTAAATGAATTTCCTCAGTCCAGTAATCCAGTTACCCTGATGGTACATGAAATCAGGACATTTAGGGGATGGGGGAGATTTAAGAGATCACTTACTCCAGCATCCTTATTTTTACTGATGGAAAACCTGAGATTCAAACAGATGAAATGATTTGCCCTACTTTGCTGATTCTTCCCTAGCCACATTGCTCATCACCCCACCTTCCAGTCTGCCTGCTTTCTCCTGTGTAAAGCTTACTGATGGAAAATAGGCACAACCTGCTGGATTTTAAATTGGAAGAGAGGCTCTTGGTGTTGGTGGGAAGAGCCAGAGAAAGTGCCTGAGTTTGTGTTTGGTCACCAACATATCCCCCAGCAGCCCTGATAGGACGGATGTGTTTGAGGAAAGATCTGAGGGGTGTCTCTGCCATTGTGGCTCATAATGTCTCCTGAAGGCATTCTGATAATCAATCACTGTTGGTTGGTTCCACTAATTCTAAAAGGGTATGGGTAAGACTTTTCTGTTAATATTTAGCTGTATCTATTGAATTCCCCACATAAACCTAGTGTTTTAGATTTGGGGAGGGGGAAACTTGGTATTGGCCTGTGTTCAATTCTGGAAATTTAAGATGAGTTTACTCAGCCAGGGTCTGTTTTGTCTATTCTGTCTCTTTCTCTCTTTCTCAGCCTGTATGAGAAAAAATCCTGAAGAATGCCCTCCCCACGCTTGCGCCAAGTAATTCAGAGCTGTTCAAAACTACAGTGTTGAACAGTTGAGTTTGGGATTATTTCTCCTTTTCCATTTATACATAATATACTATATATATGTATATATTATATATATAATTATATAAGTATACTTTTTAATTTTAAATAAATTATATATAATAAATTGTAATATACAATAGATTAACATACAATAAATTAATATATATGACTTGTATCCTAAACAAGACATACTTTGATGACCAGATTCTGGATTAGTTGAAGCTGCCATGCCAGATTTTTAAAACTAGGTGTTAAGCACTTTTTCTGGAATGCTTTTCCTGGCAAATGTAACAGGCAGAAGAGTGGCCTGTGGAATTGAAATCTGTTTTTCTATTTTTTCTTTTCTTTTTTTTTTTTTTTTTTTGGAGATGGAGTCTTGTTCTGTCACCAGGCTGGAGTGGCACGATCTCTGCTCACTGCAACCTCTGCCTCCTGGGTTCAAGCAATTCTCCCACCTACAGCCTCCATAGTAGCTGGGACTACAGGTGCATGCCACCATGCCTGGCTAATTTTTTTTCTTTTTTTTTTTTGTATTTTAGTAGAGACGGGGTTTCACCATGTTGCCCAGGCTGGTCTTGAACTCCTGAGCTCAGGCAATCTGCCGGCCTTGGCCTCCCAAAGTGCTAGGATTACAGGCGTGAGCCACCGTGCCTGGCACAGGTCTGGTTTTACTTTGTTTTTAGTTTCTTTTCATCACTAAAAAATAGCTGGATTTTTCTTTTTTAATTGGGAAAAGCAAGTTCAATAGTAAACTTTAGTCTGCGAACATGTCTGCTGTGATTTTTTTCTGGGGGGCGTTGGGGATTTGGGGGTCATGTTTTCATGGTGCCCTGATAGAGACCTTAATTTTTTTGTGTGAGTGGCAGCATTTGAATCTGTCCTGTCTTCTATCCAATTTGAAAATTAGATTATCAAGGCAATCTTTTATAAACATTATATGACTTAAAATAGTTCGTTTGGCTCTTAAACCAAGAAACTTTAATATTTTTTCTATATCTAAGTACTTTTGTACCATATGCATCTAAGATTAATGCCACTTCATATATATATGAATATATATGAATATATATTGAATGAATATATATGAATATATATTGAATGAATATATATGAATATATATTGAATGAATATATATGAATATATATTGAATGAATATATATGAATATATATTGAATGAATATATATGAATATAGAATGAATATATATGAATATATATTGAATGAATATATATGAATATAGAATGAATATATATGAATATATATTGAATGAATATATATGAATATATATTGAATGAATATATATGAATATATGTATATATGAATATATATGAATATATGAATATATATGAATATATATAAATATATGAATATATATTCATACATCTAGATATATGAATATATATATTCTAACAAAAATGTAGTTTTTGTTAGAATTTTTGCTTCTGGGGTTATTTTTCTAAAAATGCTAAAGTGCTTTATATTTATAAAATACTTGGAGTCTTAAGATCTCCAGCATCTTTTCATGCACAGTACTTTTTTTAACCCTGTTTTGCCAGAATAGAATTGGAAATAAAAGTTGTTGACAATTTGAAAATATTATTATTATATTTGTACTATGGAAGGCCAGGAATTAGTAGAGAAATTTTACTATGACTAGTAGTGGAGAAGTGGGGGTGGAGTCATAGAGGGAAGAGAGACAAGCAGACAGATGCACTGTATGTTTCAAACAGTACATCACTTCATATGTTGTGATGGGAGACAGATTTATTTTTAACATTCTGTGTGACATAATCTATGGTTTAGCAAGAATGCTTGTACCAATATTTTTTATTTTAATGAATTTCCCTCTTTATTGATGGTAATACATAGAAAAACAGAAGTTTTAGCTGTAGGTCACATGTGTTGCTGCTACTGATGGAAGCAGGGCAGGCTCTCCTGACTCTAATATGAATCAGGATCTTGGCAATGTCTTTCATAATTTATTAGTTTTTAAAATGGAGCACTTTGCTTATAAAGCTTTGGAGAAACAAGACAATAAAATATACAATTAATTAAAATCTTTAGAGCAACCAGCAGCATCATTAATAAAGCATTACACTCTAAAGCACATAAGAATTGCAGCTTACTCTCCCATCTCAGTGGGAAAAACCAGGATAAAAGAGCCTGTCTTTCATCATAGTGAATAAACTGAGTTTATTGGACTTGGGCTGGTAGATTTTCAAAGAAATAGGCTCCTGGCCAATACCCCATTCCTCTCTACATGAAACATCTGGGTTAATAATAACAATCGCCTGCCTTCATTTGGCACTTACTTCATTGATATGTTCTTGTTTAATCCTCACAAGAATGCAGGGTAGACGTTAGGAATTCCATTATACAGATGAGAAAACAGAGGATGGCATGAGTTACAGAAGTGCTCCTCACCATGTAGTCCGTGGACCAGCAACATCAGCAGGAGCTTGTTAGAAGGGCAGATTCACAGCCCCACCTCGGACTCACTGAATCACAATTTCCAGGGGTGGAGCCCCGTGGCTTGTTTTTTCACAAGGTCTTCAGGTGATTCTTATGCATGCCAATGTTTGAGAACAATTAGTTTATAAGACCTTATGGACACTACTGTGTAGTAGGAGCAGAAACTGAGACTTGGTACATTGGATTTTACTGTTCATAGGGAGCATCTGCAAGAAATCTCTGAAGGATGGATTCTTCAGAACTATACATGATTTATGCTTGCTATAGATTTTCCTTTTCTCTTTATCCTTAGCGCTTGCCTTTCCAAATAACTTCTCTGTCTAGTGTATATGCAAAAAGAAATAATTTTAAGAGAGAGATCCTTTTAAAACCTTTCTTGAGAGAACCCCCTAGCTCTAGTCTCTTTCCCCTTTGTACCGTCATATCTCTTTCCAGAAGATTATTTTGAAACTTAAATGTGACCATTCTGGTCATGCCTGTTTGAAAGCCTCTGAAATCATTTATTGTCTTTGCTATGTATACTTTTGTGTCTTCACAGAAATAGACCAGTGTTCATGTTGGCTGACTGACAGGATGGTACCATTTTTATCTCATCTCAAAGAGCTTATTCTAGAATGTTGGTGCCATGCCGGTAAAGTGTGAAGATAAATCATGGCATTTGATCATATATCCTGATTTTACCATTTACTGGTTAGTTGCATGATCTGCATATATCATCTGACTTTTCTGAGTTTCTATTTTAAAAATGGAGGTGGCAATATGGTGTAAATTAGAGTCAATTCTTTGAGAATACTTTGGAAGCCATTGGGTGCTATGCAAGTGTGAAGTAATGTTCTGGCATGTTTTGAACAATGGCTTCTGAGGGCGAGTCTACAGAGAGATTTGGGGATAAATGTTGTGTTACTCTTCCCTGTGATGGTGACTGAGCTTGTCAAATGAGTTTGTGTACAGAAGGGAGGAGCAGAGTGTGCCTGGTGGAAGGATCTCAGCCTTTGGACTCACCCAGGCTGACTGTGAACTTGCTCTCAGCTTTATCTCTAAAACGAATGCCAGAGAACCTACTTGTAAAAGTTGCTATGAGGAAGGTTGGAGTGGAAGACAAAAGAATCGAGAGTCAATGGTATATTCATGGGATTTAAAGCCATGAGAGGTTGGATGCAGTCACTCAGGGAAGAAATCTACAAGAGAAGACAAAAGGGCTGGAAGAACCTTGTGTGAGAAATTATGAACCACCACACCGCCCCCCCACCCCACCCCACACCTAGGGCTCTGGTGCTGACTTTGTACTGTAGCTGGGTCCCTGGAAGGCTCACTTACTCCAGCCTCAGCTCCCTCCCAGGCCTGCCAAGAAGCTACAGAGGCATTCATAAGAAGTCACTTTGATAACCAAACAGCAGGGGTTCCAAACCCACCTGACTATGGCAGCCCAGATGACCACACATGGATGGCAGTCCTGGCTTCTTAAAAGTGCGTGTGCCTGTACTGTGTATGTGTGTGTGTGTGTGTGTATGTGCTGGTGAGGGAGGGTTGGCAACATGAGGAATGTGTTCCTTCTAAAGGGGCAGCTACTTCCTGGCTCGGTGGATTATTGCCCTGAGGAAATATGAATCTGGAGTTACCCAGTCATCTGACATTTAAAGACAAGCCAGGGATCTGGATTTTTTGGTGACATCTTCAGATTTTTTTTAATGTTGGCTAAATGAAAAACAACAACAACGACAAACCCACTTTGTGACCCGAGTAACACACATCTGTGGGCCAGATTTGGCTGCCAGCTGGTGGCCTCTGCTGCAGAGTGTATAAGCATGACCTATTATTATTGGATGTTCTGGAATTTATAATAACCTCCCAGGAACCTTTATGCTGGGGCCCTTCTAGGAATACATCCATGCTTTCTTTGCTTCTCTTGAAACTCCCCCACTCCCCCAAGATGTACCAGACCTGTTTTGCCTCAGACTCCAGGGACTTTAAATTTGTGCTATGTAATTTGGAGAGATTTTGAGTCTGGGTGTGCAGGCAGGCTGGGCAACTATAGCTCCTTGGAGAGGAGAGTTGAGAGATTGGCGTTATAGTTTTTACCTCTCCTCCTAGAAGGTCAAGGCGTAAATTGTCTGCTGCAAATAGTACCCCGGTGCCTGCTGGATCTGCCGAGCCACTGGGATAAAACTGATTCATTGCATACCCTTAGGATGTGTGTGTCTTCCTTAGGAAAAGATTTTTCATGGCCTTATTTTTTTATGTGTTACAGAAAAAAGAGTTTGATGTGGATACTCTCAGTAAATCCGAGCTGCGGATGCTCCTCAGCGTGATGGAAGGGGAGCTGGAGGCCAGAGACCTTGTCATCGAGGCCCTGCGGGTAAGGACGACACAGGAGTGGGTCTCCATGCTGGATCATTTGCTTTTTTCAAAGAGCCATTGGCAAACCTTCTTTTTCTTAATTTTTGAATCAAATAGATTTAAAATGTTACATCAGGTCAAAATGTGCTCTTCACCCCAAACACTAACCCATAACTTTTATAAGCCCAAACAAACACTGAAGTCAGATGGTCATTGAAATGCTGGGGGCCGAGACGAAACTGTTTAGTACGGGAAACTTGAGGAGTCAGCTGTACTCGTTCAGAAATCCTTTTATGTTTCACATGTTTATTTGGTTAGAAACGTGTTTTCAGAAAATTGCTAATTTGGTATCCTACATGTATGTGAGGGCAGTGAGGAAAAGTTGAGGTTTATAAAAAATATTGCTGGTAATAGATATTTTTCTTCCTATAAAAATTGTTATTTTTTTATTTTTAGAAACTCATGCATTAAAAAGTAAATGTTTATCCATACCTTCAAAGTGTTAATTTTTTCTGGTCTTTCAGTAATTTTGAAATATTTCTGTAATTGCTTACAAAGAATATATTACTTAAATGTCTCAATAAAATTTTCTTTTTGAAAAAACAATGGTGAATCCCAGCACTTTGGGAGGCCGAGGTGGGCGGATCATGAGGTCAGGAGATTGAGACCATCCTGGCTAACACGGTGAAACCCCTTCTCTACTAAAAAATACAAAAAATTAGCCGGGCATGGTGGCGGGCGCGTGTAGTCCCAGCTATTCGGGAGGCTGAGGCAGGAGAATGGCGTGAACTCGGGAGGTGGAGCTTGCGGTGAGTCGAGATCACGCCACTGCACTCCAGCCTGGGCGACAGAGCAAGACTCCATCTCAAAAAAAAAAGAAAAAAGAAAAGAAAAAACAATACATCAAGAAAGTCTAATCACCAATTTTCCAATTAAGTATTCTGGATCTTGCGTTTATTTTGGTTTGTAGATCAAACATAATTTGGTGCTTGTTTTTTTCCTTCTTTTCTATTTAATACTTTGTCTGTAATTAGTTATTTTTTGGTTCTTGGTCATTTGGCCAAGAAGGATATATTTATTAAGTATGGGTTTATCTTATTTCATCAGGGAATTGTTTCCTCAAACCTTGTCTTAGGAAGTCTAATTTAATGTACATATGAAAATCTGTGGAATGTTAACACATTGTTACCTGTGACAGGAGCGTATATGGTAGAGGAGGGAGGTGGTAGTGCTGGATGGTCAGACATAATAATGGAGAGGGTGGACATGGGGAGAACTCAGTTGTGTGGGAAGAAGAGATAGTTCCTGAAGTCATGTCTTCAATGTATTTTCATAAACCAGAAGTTGGCATAGCAGATGTAGTGATTATCCATCAATTTGATTGCAGAAACAAATTGCCACAGAAAAATGGTAGTATAGTTAAGTATAGTGGCCGATACTGAGTTGAAGGTGTTGCCTTTTGAATGACAAGTTCTGCTCAGTAGACATTTGCAGTTTGCTTATATTCATCCTATTCCACATTGAGAACATCTGTATTGCTGGCAAATGTAAATTTTCCTGAATGAAATTTTTGGGAGAAATGCTGAGGCAGCATGTAACTAACATATGTGACCCTTAGCCCAAGGACAGAACAAGGGCACAGTCAGCTGCGAAGGCCAGTAGTATAGCCTCTTGTGGTGAGATAGAAGTGAAGGGCTCCAGCTGTGCCTTAGATATATATATATATTTTTTGGTCCTTCTGTGTTAACTTGTGAAAGGCATCAGCACTGTGGAATTCCCCACTACTCACATCAATGTTTGAACATTTAGTGAAGTCTGTGTTTTTATGTATCACCTTAGCAACCACATGTATTTCTCTTTTTAATTTAATTGCAATACTTTGAAATGTTGAAATGTGAGAGTAGACGTAAAGGCTTGCTAATAATCAGCACTTGCCGAATGAACATTTTTCATAGAGTCAAGGAATGTTAGAATTACAGGGAGCCTTAGATGATATTGTAGGTCAGTGTTTTGCATCCCTGTCAGATGTGGTGTCTCCTTTTCATAAAATATGTTATCACCTTCTTACTATCCTGCAATGAAATTTATGGAGAATTGCATGTATAAGTAGGTTCTGTTAAAAATTACAAAACCAATACAAAGATACCAGGAAAATATTTAAAATAAAATATGATGTACTCAATATATAAATGCTCAGACATGACTGTACTGAAAGACGTGATAAAACACGTGTCTATTTGAACCTATTCATGGCATTGACATGAATATAATAGTTGCAAAAGAATCCTGATCCCATCCTGCTATGTTGTTTACTCTGAGTCAGCAGATTTGTGGTGGGTGAGGTGATTTTCTGAAATGGTGAATGACTTAGTAAAGTTGCAAGCAAAAGTACGCACATACACAGGAGTTGAATCCCTGGAAAATTCAGTTTGTTAAAAATTATATTGACTTGTTTAATAAGTAAAAAGGAGTTACCCTCTAGACTGGTCATATAGAAGGTTCCAGTGAAAGGAATGAACAGAGAGATATTTGAAACATGGCACAGTTCCTGGATATGTGGAAAGGAACCACATCTTTTCTCTGCCTCCCTAAGTGCCAATCACTGTGAAAACCAAAAATGCTCATCTGTTTCCAAAACACATCCTAGGGTACTGCTCCTGTGGAGAACCACTGGCCAAGACCAGTTTCCTTTTTTTATAGATAAAATCAAACAAAAAGCCTGGAGACTTCTGACTTATTGAAGGCCACAGATATGGCATGCATAAGAGCTTCCAGTTCATTTTCACACAGCCTGCCCTGTGGAACTCGGTGTATATGGAGGCTCTTTGTTTTGTTTTGTTTTTTGTTTTCTTTTTTTTGAGACGGAGTCTCACTCTGTCGCCCAGGCTGGAGTGCAGTGGTGCGATCTCGGCTCACTGCAAGCCCCACCTCCCGGGTTCACGCCATTCTTCTGCCTCAGCCACTCAAGTAGCTGGGACTACAGGTGCCTGCCACCATGCCCGGCTAATTTTTTGTATTTTTAGTAGAGACAGGGTTTCACTGTGTTAGCCAGGATGGTTTTGATCTCCTGACCTCGTGATCTGCCCGCCTTGGCCTTCCAAAGTGCTGGGATTACAGGCGTGAGCCACCGCGCCCGACCTATGGAGATTCCTGAAGCTTTTTTGGTTTAAAATTGAGAATTGTGATTTCTTTATTTAGATGATTGTGTTTTTTACAGTAGGTAATAATGTCGTCTTCACATACCTGTGGTAGCCATCATAGTATCACTGTGGTGATTTACTGATTGAGTGTTCCCTGGGATATTCACTGGTCACAGTATGTCATCTGTTTGCCTTTTCCTATAGGGGTGGAATGTAACTGAGTGACTAATGCCCCAGAAAGAAATTGGGAAGGAGAGAGGCTGTGAAACTGTCATTTTAATTTTGTTTTACATTATGAGATCAATTTACTCCTAAATCAAGAATCAAAATTTCCTCAATCGGTAATCAGTGTGCTGCTATTCAACTGTGAAGGAAGTGCATCTTGGTTTTTTTTTTCAGCCAAAATTAATATTCCTCTGAAAATAGTAAATAGTTTTGAACTTAATATATAAATTATAAAGTTACCTAATTTGTACACTGAACTTTATTAAATTTAGAAATGATTTTGTTGTGAGACAAATTCTTTAGAATTTTAAAATCTTTAAACATATATTTCAGATGAAGCTATTTTACTTTAAATCATGCTATCTTTAAGCTTTGATTTCAAGTTATTAAAAATTGCATACATCATTGAATTAATTGCAATGGACTTTTCAAAGCAATCCATAAATATAATTTTGGATGGGGAGGATGTTAAGAGATTGCAATATATATCTTGGTACCTTTGCTATTTTCATATATTTAAGGTATAGATACTTCCTAGTATAAAAAGCCCATGATAGTATTGAAGACATTAATTTTTTAAAAGAGCAATATTGATGGAAAAATCTGAATTGCATAAAGCTGATTAACTGAAATGTATTTTAATTGATTCTCATGGGAATTATTTAGTTTGTCAACAATTCCTCCATATTCACATAGAGTAGGAATAAATCTTTGAACAAACAGATAACATTCAGATAAAGTCCAAAGAAAAATATTTTGCAGTTCAATAAAGAATGTGCCCAAAGAGAAGCAGCTGCATTTTCTGAACACCAAGATAGGCACAGAAGCTTTTGAATTAAATTTAATTGGCTATTCAAAATCTGCGTACACAATTTATACAGAAATCCGTGATTCAAGATTAATTAACTTTGTGGAGTCTTCTGGCCTTTGTTTCTTTTTTCCTGTTGCTACTGGTATTCTTACAGGTATCTTAGTCAAAGAGAGACAAAGTCAAGACGATGAAAATGCTATAATCATAAAATTTTAAAAGTCAAAATTATGTGCTTAAGCCTACATTTTACAGTGCCCAGCCTGCCATCATTAGCATGAGTTTACATAAATATTATATCATTTAAACAATGAATTCCTTTGGCAATTATCTTCAGATTTTTTCTGTGCCTTTTTCCTTTTAGATTGGATAAATGAGATTGACCATAAACCCATGGCAATTCTTCCTCCTAACCTTCATATAAAGTAACTATATAATCTAGACTTTAAATTATTATTTGCATTGAAACTTTTAAAAATTAGCCAGTTTAACATTTCTTCAGATAGAATGCATTTATGACCCCAATAACATAGGAAACTATCAGTTATAGAATTGCCTTGTACAAGTGGCTGTAAGAAAGAGACTCAACATAAATAGATTAAATAAGTTCATTTCTCTCACATAACAATCTGGAGGTGAGTGATCCCAGCTGGAGAGGCAGCTCCATGCTAAGTGGTCATTCAACAACCCATGTTATTTTTGTTTTACTACTCTTCTTAGGGAGTTAGCCTCATCAGCATGCTTAAAACAGGATCAGTGCCAGCTCCACATCCCAACATATGGTAAGGGGGAAAGATGGGAAATGGAGGGCAAGCATTTCCTCTAAGTATGGTCTTTCTTCTGCAGAGTGCACACAGGTGTATCGGTGAGACCTTTCATAGACATGGAACTTTTCCTAGTTGCATAGGAGCCTGGAAAATGGCCATGGCTGGCTGTAGTACTATGGAAGAAGGGAGGACTTGGGGCAACATTAACAACCTGCTGAAGTCCAAGAGGGAGGGACCCTATCTTGATTTCAATATTATCTTTCAAAATATCCTGGGCTAAGATATAGGAAGATAGATCTTTCCCTCCTTCCTTCCTCAATAAGGATTTGATGAATACCTATTATGTAGCAGGCATAAAAATAACGTTTGAAGTACATGTAAGTGAAGATGTATTATGCCAAAATTGTATCTGTTTAGAAAATTCTGTTTCTTGGCTTTATATATTTAAAATTAATTGTTCTGTATAGTGCCATCTAGGCCTAAGTTTTACTTTTCTCAGACCGTGACTCAGTATGTTGAGTTTGCCTAGAATGATCTTCCTTTTCAAAAACTTGACTGTTCATTGGGTTCAAAATTAAAAATAAAATGTAAAGCTCTTAAGTAATTTTGCTTTAAAGCAGGTTTTCTCAACCTCAGCACTGTTGATATTTGGGACCATTTATTTTTTGCTGTTTGGGGGGAGCTGTCCTGCACATGTAAGATATTTAGCAGCATCCTTGGTCTCTACCCACTAGATGCCAGTAGCAACTCTTTGGTTGTGACAACAAGAAGGTCTCTCCATGGGGGACCAAATTGCTGCTGCTTGGGAAATGCTGTTTTAAGGAGGTAATACTAGTCAAGGAGGGACTATTTTTAAAACTGATTTTGCTAAAATTGGCCAGGCGTGGCAGCTCACACCTGTGATCCCAGCACTTTGGTAGGCCGAGGCGGGCAGATCACTTGAGGTCAGGCGTTCAAGACCAGCCTGGCCAATGTGGTGGAACTCTGTCTCTACTAAAAATACAAAAATTAGCCAGGCATGGTGGCAGGCAAATTTGGGATGAGGTCCCTCTATTTATGGCTATTAATGCAAACAGTCCGCATGAGGTAATAGCTTGTTGACCCCCATCCTCTCTATAGAACTGAGCCCAACCACTTGCAACAGCGAGCCCTTGCCTTGGGACAGGCAGATTTAATTTGCCAGTGATTATAAGATATATCTCAGGCTGGGCTTGGTGGCTCATGCCTGCAATCCCAGCACTTTGGGGAGCTGAAGCAGGTGGATCACTTGAGGTCAGGAGTTCGAGACCAGCCTGGCCAACATGGTGAAACCCTATCTCTACTAAAAGTACAAAAATTAGCCAGGTGCAGTGGCACACACCTGTAATCCCAGCTACTTGAGAGGTTGAGGCAGGAGAATCGCCTGAACCCGGGAGGCGGAGGTTGCAGTGAACCAAGATCAAGCCACTGCACTCCAGCCTGGGTGATAGAGCGAGACTCTGTCTCAAAAAATAAATAAATAAATTAATTAATTAATTAAATCATCTATTTTTGCTAAAATAAATGTAAAAACTATTCAAATACGTTGCATAATGATGCAGTGATTTTCTTGAAAAAGTATACCTTTAAACTAAAAGTAATTATTCTGAAAATGCCCATTTTAACAACTTCAGGGCCCTTTCAAAATGTATTACATATTTTACTATTTAAAATTGAATTACAGTTTCTTATGCAGAAATTAAATGCCTTATTTTTCAAATTAAAAAGCCTTTATGGTTGTATGGTTCAGTGCTAGAATCTTGACATAGAACAAAGGCAATCACTTTAAATAGAATAATGGTTCCACTCTAGTTTTAAAAGCAGCCGCAGAGTATGCTACAGAGTATTGTGAATGTTTTCCTCATATGACATGTCTGCTAAATCCTGATAAAAGAATAACAATCTGGCTTTTTATTGGTTTCAGCTAAGTAAAACATGCAGTCTTTTGTATTTCAGAATTCTCCTGTGAATGCAGGCATTTGATTGACCAAAACATACCCTTTTTGTGCTGTTCATTATAATTAATGAATGAATTAATTTGCTGAGCAGAGCTGAATTTATGAAAACAAAAATTAATTTAAGTTTCCTTTCCTGTCTGTTGAGATAATGCTTTTGTGCCATGCTAGAGAAAGGAAGAAGGGTGTTGACCAGATTTTGTGTTGTTTCTGCAAGCAAATCAGTTTTCAGAAAGAACAAATAGCTGATGATTTTTAAGTAGCATTGTATTTGTTCCAGCAGGACAAACACTGAAATAATCAACTTTGATTCTTCTGGTCAATGTTTTCTTTGATAAACATTTACCATTAGTAAAAAACAAACAAAAAATAGAATACCATGCAAAACATTGCTTTTCCATATATTAGAAAATGCAGGTGATGAGGTCATGAAAGCAAAATGTTTATGATCACCATTTCTGGCCCATATAATAAGCAAATGAAGTAACTGCATAGCATTTGCCTGCTGATTATTAATAAGTTACCAAGATATATGTAAGGAGAACACACTAAAGATGAGGCTTTTCGCAGCTCAATCTCCCACATACCATTTGATCCGTTCTGGTGCAGGATAGAATCAGGGTTACAAATAGAATGAAACCAGGAATATATTTTTGTATACTATGAAGATGATCACAATTATGGGGACTGTCAGTCTAATTAACAGTTCATTTTTAGAATTCCATGTGATCTGAAAATACAAGGTATTCCTTTGAGGCATTCTGATTACATTTTAGCCAGCTCATGGGTGGCTAAGCTACAAGTCATGGGTTTTTGCAGAAATTTCTTTTGCCACCTTTATGAGGAATTCTATGTTTTGATTATAAGAGGAAACAAGGGTCTAATGCAGTGTGCTCATATACAGTGTGCAGCATCATCTTTATTATGTAAATTTTTAAATTTTTTGTGGCATTATTTTCAACTTTGCATAAGTAATTCTGTTTGCAGCCACCTCTGTTCACAACCAGCTAAAAGTAAACTAAAAAATGAAAAAGGAAGAGGGTGGTTTTATCATTTTAAACTAAAACAGTTTCTTTTCTACAGCCACCTCCATCCATCCCATGATGGTGGGTTAGGCATTAAGCAAACCAAAGTCAAGAAAAGGGTAATTCCATTTGGCTCATGCTTTGCAGGAATCCTGAGGTTAACTGCTATTTACAACAAGCTAGAGATTGAACAGGGGATGGAGATGAAGCTTAATATTGTTAGGTTTTCGTTATATGTCCGGCACTTCATAGGCATTATTTCTTATCCCTATGAAATCTCTTGAGATCAGTGGTAGTACCCCTACTTTAGGAACAGAGAAAGTAAAGCTAATAGGATATATGCCATTTTCTGTCTGACTCCTAACCTTAGCCCTCACCATGTCTCTCCCCCAAAGGCAACATTAATGAAACTAAGCATTTTCCTAGAGCTGAAAGTTGTCATTTATGGATTGTTTACTTTACTTTAATTGCTACGAGGGCTCAGACCATTTCTACACACCTGTAATCAATTGTAAATTTCAAAAGCTGCATAGAAATTGAAGCTACAAAGAAATTGTTAGTATTCTATGTTTAATCATTCATTTGCTGTTCCCTTGCAATTGAGCGCAGGTAATTATAAACAGAAGTAAAGCCTTGAAGATTTTTAAGATCCTATTGAATGGCAAGTATAATAAGGTAGAGGAACATCATTGATTTTTAACGTGTCCTTCTTATTAATTATACCAAAAGCTTGTGCTTTTCTGTAATTAGGGTATGATTCTAATAGGATGAGAGAGAACATGCTGGTGCACTTGAGAATGCTGCATAACCTGAGTTTAGGGAAGTGATGGAGATTTCTGAAATACACAAGGACACAATTACTAAGGAACTGCTCTTTCCACCCTGACCATCTTTGCATATTTTAGTCATTAAGTCTGTCTCTTGTAGTTGCATTTTGTTTTTAAATTTGTAAATCTTTTAGTTTTTCATATTTGATCTTTTTTTTTTTTTTGGTTTTGTATATGCAAAACATCAGCAGGTAGTAAATTCAGTCCTTAAATAGAAATTTGGTTTGGTTTCCATGAAAGGCTGTTGTATGGATTTCCTTGATGTTATAAAATTCTTTATTTTTTCCAATCAATAAAAGTTGAAGTGAATTTGCGAGGGTAGATTATGTAAGCCAGGGTCATGATAGAGGCACTACCAAGGAAGAGTTCAGTATTTTAAGTAATTGATGTATTAAAATGCGGATGTGTCATTGGCCTTGTTAGAAAGTTCAGGTTTCCTTTC
Organism: Homo sapiens; assembly: GCF_000001405.40. Lineage (NCBI taxonomy): Eukaryota > Metazoa > Chordata > Mammalia > Primates > Hominidae > Homo > Homo sapiens. The sequence continues at coordinate 117,852,020 of NC_000007.14, read as the reverse complement.
ATGAAGCCTGAATCAACAGAATCTAGTTTTAGATTAGACTTTTTAAGACAAACTTTTAAGTAATCCTGTCAAGTTAACTTAGAGTTGATGATTTTCTATTGATGAGTCTCTTTCCGTGAGTGCCTGGGAATACATTTTTCATAAAAAAGTCTCAAAAGTGTATTGGGCTTCCTTCTGGAGTTTCTTGACAAAATAATGAGACTTGACTGGCATAACTGAGAAGCAACCTTCCATCATGTCTGCTTGGCTACATCAGAGGTTCCATGTGTTTTTGTGCCTGTATGGGAATAGTAACAAGTTGTGAGTTTGGTTTGGTGGACTGTAGATAGGACAACTAATGGAAGAGCTTCAGAAAGTCTTAATAGATACTGTGAATATGTTAAACTCTTAATAAGTTTAGATTTCAGACAGTTGACAATTAAGATTCACTGTAGGCTCCGAGGTAGGAAACAGATGTGGTAAAAACAGTGTCTAAGGGAGATTACGTTAACCACTTTTGGAAATAGATTGACAGTAAAAGGGAAAGAAAGAATCTGAGGAAGCAGTTACAGTTGATGTTAATTAAAGTATGGTTCCATGAAGCTCTGAATTCTGGGTGATGGCTCTAAATGTAATTTGTTGTGTGTGTGTGAGGGGGTTGGTGGGGAGGTATTAACAGGACTTGAATAGACAGAAGAGATTGGGAATAAAAGTATCTCCTCCAGCATGAGTGCATTATTTTCCTTTATTTCCTCTCTTCTTTTTCTTTTTTTCCCTCTATTTTCTTTTCTTTTTTTCTTAAATAGAGACAGGGTCTTGCTATGTTGCTCAACCTGGACTCAAACTCCTGGGCTCAAGAGCTCCTCTTACCTCAGCCTCCCAAGTAACTGGGACTGCAGGTGTGTACCACCATGCTAAGCTTAAGAGTGCATTATTTTCTAACTGGTGACAGCAAATAGTTGCTCCTAATGCAATTTCTGTGTCAGGGTAGAAACTTTGTTTTTTAAGGACATTGTGTTTATACTCCATGTGAATTCATGCTCAATTAATTCAGGCATTTGTTCTAGTTCTTCCAACAGCCTTTTTAGTGCTTAGCTGTTCAACGTTCACCTAGTAAATATTTTCTCAGTGTATATTTATCATATCAGGTGTTGCACTGGGAAGAGAGTGTAAGCTAAATAGTCCTGGTACTTCTAAAATTTATTGTCTAGTAAAGAACACTAACCATAATAAGTTGCATTTGTGATAAGTGTGACAATGGAAAAGTACTGGGCTGTTAAGATTATGTACCATGACTGATATGGTATTTTTCTTAGACCCACTGTGGAGGGCTGTGTAATAATAGGGCCAAAGTAAGAATACAAAATATTTGCAAAATATTAATATTTATAATATATCTAATAAAATAAAAATAACCATGTTTCTCTTGTTTGGTCCCCACCTACTTAGGTTTCCCTGGATTTTGTGCAACTCCCTCAAAGTTGTTTTATTTTGTGCAACTGCTTTGCCGTGTCTCCTTTTGATCTCTCCTTGTATGCAGATGATGGCCTCATGAATTTCTTGCTTTTCAAAGTGACTGTTAGTCTCTCCTATTTATCTGTCATTCTTTGGTTACTTGAAATTACAAAGCAGTATGGCTGTTTTGTACCAATGAATATAGAGGTGGTTTGTTTGTTTTGTTTTAAGAAGGGGTCTCTGTCAACCAGGCTGGAGTGCAATGGCACGACCATAGCACACTGCAGCCTTGAACCAAACCATATACATAGGTCCCATCTGTGGTTTCAGGCATGCACTTAGAGTCTTGGCACATATTCCCCATAGATAAGGGGAGGCTATTGTATATTCTACTAATCAAGCAGTCACATAGCTCAGATTCAAGGTGAAGAGACATAAACCTGACAGGGGAGAAATGTTGAAGAATTGGAGGATGTTCCAAAACCTCCAGGTAATACCTGCCTTTGTTTGCTGAGCCCTAACTGCTAGGCATGCTATTTAGTATTTTATGTGGATTATGTCATTTAACCTTCATGAGTATCCCTGGAAGTAGGTACTGTTGTTATCTCATTTTAAGGCTCATGGTTAAGGAAAGTGTTCTGTGTCACACAGCTAAGTGCCAAGCCAAAGTTTGGACCCAGGTCTTTCTATCTCCAAATGCATCTTCTTAACTACTCTTCTATATAATCTTGTGGAAGAGAGCTAGGTAATAGCTACTAATTAGAATGCAGGGCTGGCTTGCGTGTTTTAGTAAAGCCCAGAGAAAAGAGTTCTAATGAAGATGAATTATGGACGGCTTCTGGGAAGAGGTGGCATTCTTGTAGTCTTTTAAAGAATGAGTACCTTAATGAATAGAACAATGAGAAGTGTGTTCTGATCAGAAAGAGCCAGAGCACGGGATCTGTGTGTGCTCTGGGCAGAGTGAGGAGGTAATGGATGAAGGCACAGGGGTATGGACTGATGGAGTAGGAGTTCCTATGGGCTCTATCCAGGAGGTTTTGAATGCCAAGCTGAAGCATTTATGTGCTTAGCCTGGTAGGCAGTGCAGAGTCCCTGAAGATTATCAAGCAGGAAAATGGAATGATCTGAGGCTTTTGTTCTCCAAGTGTGGTTTCCATACCTGCAGCATCAGCTTCATCTCATTAAAAATGCGAATTCTTAGAATCCCTACCCTAGATCAACTAACTCAGAAACTCTGGGGATAAAGCAAAGTGTTCCATTCCGTGTTTCCACAAGTCCTCTGGGTGATTCTGATGCATGCTAAAGTTTGAGAACCGCTGATCCAAAGGACGGTCACTCATAAAGCTGGTGTATTTGTGTAACATCACATCGGGTTTGCGGTGAAATCGCTGATGCTGATTAGGTGTCAGGGTTGGAAAGGCTTTCTGCTCAGTAAGCAAGACGGCCAGTAAATTTGTCTAGTCTTTTTCTTTTGCCCATCTACTTGATGAGAAAAAGAGGCAGTGGCTCTTCTCAGGACAGCTTTTTCAAAAGTCAGCAAGTGCCTCAAAGTGACTCAGCCTGGAAACTTTCTTAAAGAAGCCTGTGGAAATAGCACTAAAGGAGCTTTCTTGAATTGTTGGATTAAAATAAAACATGAATTATTAAGACATTAAGAACTGTATGCAATCGACTGATTGCTATTACAGTTGATATAATTATTCACGTACACCTCTAATGGTTTCACATAGGAATTGAAGTGGTTTACAGGAATAAAAACAGCAAAATGGGAAAATGTAAGTCTATAAAAATTAGGGAATAGAACAGTAGTTTACAAACCTTTTAATAATAAGACCTTTTCTTCCAATGAAATCTTACTTGAGTCCCAGTACATAAACCAGAAGCTGAGCTCTTGGGTTGGAGCAAATGATTAGAGTCCTAAGTTTCCTGAATCAATTAAAACGGAAAATAAAATAGGAGCAGCTTGAGTTACACATGATGTGTTGTTGTTTATAAGGTAGAAAAAAGCTGTAGCAATTACTTCCTCAGGGAAGAGAAACTTTTCCTGATACTGGGCTCTATAAAGTTTTTCATCTCTGCCTCTTCAAATTGGAGATATTGGGTAGTGTGGTCATGTTTTCCACAATATCACTGTAAAACTGTAATGGCTGAGTATAAATGGGTGCTTTTGCATAAAATTCATTGATATAAGTGAGAGGCAGGATGCTTGGGCAAAGTAGCTGGGGTGGAAGTGATCAGGTGGGGTGGTGAGGCGTGGGCAAGACAGTGGGATTTCGAGAGGGATGGGCACCACAGCAGAGTGGTCTGCTGTGAACTGAATCTGCAGCAGATCATCTCAGGAAGCAGATGGGGCTGTGTGACCTTCAAACCATTTGCCAGCTTGATCTCATAACATTTGCTAATGTTCCTTATTTAATCATTTTATGTACATGTTTTCTAGACTGAACAAGTATTCAAATATGGTTAGGCAGGCCAGGCGTGGTGGCTCACACCTGTAATCCCAGCACTTTGGGAGGCCGAGGTGGGTGGATCACGAGATCAAGAGATCTAGACCATCCTGGCCAACATGGTGAAACCCTGTTTCTACTAAAAATACAAAGATTAGCTGGGCGTGGCAGCACATGCTTGTAATCCCAGCTAGTCGGGAGGCTGAGGCAGGAGAATCACTTGAACCTGGGAGGCGGAGATTGCTGTGAGCCAAGATTACACCACTGCCCTCCGGCAAGACTCTGTCTCAAAAAAAAAAAAAAAAAAAAAAAAAAAAAAAGGTTAGGCAAAGAAGATCTATAAAAATTTGGACATGGAACAAAAGCATGGAAAACATATCAGTGCTTCTACAATAAAATGAGGGTTGATGTCAAATAATTTTGGCTTATGACACTGTCAGAATGTATGATGACTGCTCATAACACAAATTATGTTATGAATTTATGAATATACTTTATAGTTTAAGTACTGGTAGTTGACAGTGAACAATATTTTTCTATAGCCCTGAAATAATTTGGCTAGTTATTTTCTCTAATCAACTTATTTCAGTTTAGAACATTCTTTTTCTTTGGAGTCTTGCTCTGTTGCCCAGGCTGGAGTGCAGTGGCATGATCTTAGCTCACTGCAACATCTGCCTCCTGATTTAAGCAATTCTCCTGCCTCAGCCTCCCAGGTAGCTGGGATTATAGGCATGTACCTCCACGCCCAGCTAAGTTTTCTATTTTTAGTAGAGACAGGGTTTCACCATATTGCCCAGGCTGGTCTTGAACTCCTGGCCTCAAGTGATCTGCCAGCCTCAGCTTCTTAAAGTGCTGGGATTACAGGCGTGAGCTACCACACCCGGCCTAGTTTTCTGCATTTCTGCTTTTGAACTTTCCAACTCTCTTTATTGTCCTACTTTTCATTGCTTTGAAAACCAGCTTGTGCATTTTTTTTTTTCTGGATGCCCCTGAAATGATTTAAAATGTTAGAAGCATTTTGGTAACCCTGTAATCTAAAATTTTGTTATTTAGCTCCTCTTCCTGTTGGTGAGTTGAATATTGACTTTTGCAGGGCATCATTGCTCTTTCTGTGGTGTCTCTTAACAGTCTCAAATTGTCTCTAAGTCAATTTGTCTTTACGTTGTAACTAACCAAGTGTAACTCCTGGTAAACATTCACTACCATTTTTTCTTCATAACAAGTTAAGCTGCCCCTTTAATATGAGAGTATATATATATTTTTTTAGTTACAAGAAAACATTAAATTATATAAATATTTGCTTAAGGAAAAAAGTCACAATGTTTAAGAAGCCAGTTTTTAAATCTTGATACATTTAACTAAGGAATGAAGATGGTTAGATCGTAATAATAATGGAGCAACTTTTAACATTTTTGTTAGTAATTATAATTATGAGAGTTGAGTTTATAACAGTTTTGTAAAATGTAACAATTTGATTTACAGGCAATTCAAATGTTTCTTCATTAATCCTTTTCTTAACAGTGTAAATAGCATTATATGATATTTTAAAGTATATTTCTTTTTTTTTCTTTTTTCTTTTGGTACATGAACAATGACTCTGGGTCCATGTGGGATTAGTCTTTCTCCATGGATTATTTTTTCTCACTAATAACAGAGTTCTAATTCTTTATGTACCAGAAAGTTATACTTCCTTTTCTTAATGGAAATATATATCATTTGATTGTTAAATTACTGACTTTAAGATTTACCCATAAACCTACCACCATAACATAATTATAAACGAGTTATACAACAGTTTTATATTTCTCATTTTTTTTATCAAGCATTTTAACTATTTTTAGTGTTTCTAGTATTAATAAATCATAGCCTTCTTGACTATACAGTATTTCACATGGTCGAAGAATCAAAACCTTATTATTCTTCTATATTCTGTCATCAGCTGTTTTTCCATTAGCTATGAGTAGGGATGGCATTCAAAATATTTAACAGGACCGGGCGCGGTGGCTCACGCCTGTAATCTCAGCACTTTGGGAGGCTGAGGCGGGCGGATCACGAGGTCAGGAGATCGAGACCATCCTGGCCAGCACTGTGAAACCCTGTCTCTACTAAAAATACAAAAAAATTAGCCGGGCGTGGTGGCAGGCGCCTGTAGTCCCACCTACTCGGGAGGCTGAAGCAGGAGAATGGCTTGAACCCGGGAAGCGGAGCTTGCAGTGAGCCAAGATCTCGCCACTGCACTCCAGCCTGGGCGACAAAGCGAGACTCCATCTCAAAAAAAAAAGAAAAAAAAATTAACAGAAACCACACAGGTAGCAGTAAATCAGAAAGGATGCTTAAAATACCAGGACAGATCACATTCGTTACACCATCTTGATGTGTACTGGCTGAACCACAGCCCTTGCTGTGGATATCCTTTGGTAATGTTTTAATTTTGAAAACCCTCCATAGAGAAGCACAGCCCAGTCAAATGTATTTGCTTATAAAAACCTGTGTCATCTCAATGAGCATTGGTAGTGCCTGCTAGAATTTAGCGTAGCCAGAAGTGTGTAATTTAGGTAGGTACAATTTTAAATGACATAATCTGCAAGATATTTTAATAGTTGTGCTATTTAAGATATCCTTTTTTTTAATTATTAATGTAATAAATGCTCTTCATTGAATATCTTCAAAGACACAAAAGAGGAAATTTTCCCATCACTCAGAAGTAACCATTTTTCTCTGCATTAATGAACACATATAATACAGATCTCTCAAAAATGGGAACATGCTCTACACAGTAATGTGTGCAGCCTGCTTGCATTCTTAATATATTGTGAGTGAACATATCCCTAGCTATTCTTCAACTTTGAGATTTTTCAATCACTGCATGTCATTTATTTACTGAAACCTCAGTTCTTGGACATCTCCTTACTCCTCTTAGACCCCATGAACTATTGCTGCAATTCCTCCTTTGCAGATGCCCCCAATTCCCTTGGTCCTCACTTGGTAAAACCCTGGTGCCAGTGAAATTAAATTCTCTGCCTACCTCATGCCCACACCAATAGGCTTGCACAAGCCTGGAGAAAAAAAACATCCAACCTTGCTGACTGCCCTCACTTTAAATTTACCAAGTCCTCCTGTTGGTCCTTTTTGCTGCTTGGCAATTGTATGGCATTTCTCAATGCTTTTACTCACCTGTTCTCCTAGATTCTTTCAAACTTTCTTCACTCTTCTGAGACCTTCAGTACCTTCTTGCTTTACTTCACTCTCAGCTGCTTTCAGTTTCATTGAGAACATTGAAGCAATCAGAAAGAGCTTCTGGACTCTCCCATCAGCACATCAACCCACTCATGGGCACCAGTACCCATGTGCTCACTTTTCCTCCCCTCGCTCTGGCAAACCGTCCATCTCTGAGGCTTGAGTCCAGCTGGTTATTGTGCACTCAAGTCTGTCCCACTCACATATTCAGATATCATCAAGTTTTTCCTCAAATCCACCCTGCCTTCCCTTTAGCTGTTGTGACATTGTTTCCTTTTGCCCTATTGCAGCAAAAGTCCTTAGAATGGTTGCTTGCTAGTTGACTGCAATTCCTTTTTGTCCATTCTCCCTTGAACCTACTGTAATCAGATTTTTGCCAACACCGTTCTAACCAAAAATCACTCATTTTTGTAGTTTTCAGGAAAAAAATAATGTTGGACTTGATTTCTCCTTTTCTCCCATACCCTACATCCTGTCTCTCTGTACATCTTGTTGGCTCTAGGAATAGGATGTATCTTAAATCTTCCTGCTTCACCCCATCTCCACTTACCCCAACCTGTATTAGTTTCCTATTGCTGCTATAACAAATTATCACAAACGTCCTGGCTTAGAAGGAACACAAATTTATTATCTTAACAGTTCTGGAGGTCAGAAGTCTAAAATGAGTCATCAAGGCTGCATTTCTTCTGGAGGTTCCATGGGAGGATCCATTTCCTTGTCTTTTCTAGCTTCTAGAGCCTGTCTGCATTCCTTGGCTTATGGTCCCTTCCTCCATCTTCAAGGCCAGCAGGGTAGCATGTTGTAGTATCTTTCCCTCCTGCAGTGTCTATCTGTCCCTGTCTCTCTCTCTCTTCGTTTCTGCTTCTGTTGTCATGCCTCTTTCTCTGACTCCAAGGTTCCTGACTCCCTCTTATGATGACCCTTGCTGTTACATTTGACCAGCCCATATGGGATAGTCTTCCCATCTCAAGATATTTAACTTAATCACATCGCAACATCCCTTTTGCCATGTAAGGGAACATATTCACAGGTCCCGGAGATTAGGATGTGGACATCTTTGGGGGCCATTATTCTGCCCACTGCAACCCTCTTGTCTGAATTATTTTGATACCTTCCTAACTGGTCCTCCCACTTGTGTAGCTGCCCCACTCCGGTTTCTGTTTTCCATAGTCATCGAGTTATCTTGTTAAAACAAGATCGGGATCATGTCACCCTTCAGCTCACAGTCTTCCAGTGGCCACCATCTTGCTCAGAGTAAAAAGCCAAGGCCTTTCTGTGGCCTCAAGGCTGCATAATCTACCTCTCTTATGTTTCTGAATTGCTTCTTAGCATCATTCCTATTCTTCTACAGCCCTACTGGCCCCCTTGCCTGTTCCAGCCCTAGAGCTTTCATATTTGTTTCCTCTGTCTGGAAAGCTCTCCTAAATGGACCTGTAGCTCCTTCCCTCACTGTTTTAGATGTTTGCTGAAATGTCATCTTAGTGAGGCTTTCTCTGACCATCTATTTAAAATGGGAACTCCTGTCTACACTACATGCAATCTCCATCCTTTCTTGCTTTATTTAGCTCCACTACATTTATCAATATCTGATATGTAGTCATCCCTCAGCATCAGTGGGGATTGGTTTCAGGACCCCCTAGAACACTGAAATCCACAGATGCCCAAGTCCCTGATATAAAATGGTGTAGTATTTGCATGCAGCCTACACATATCCTCCCATATACTTTAAATTTTCTCTATAATATTTAAGTCAGTGTAAGTGCTCTGTAAAAAGTTGTTATACTGTATTGTTTAGGGAATAATTACAAGAAGTTTGTACGTGTTTAGTACAGATTACAACCATTCTTCTCTCCCCACCCCCAAATATTTTCTATCCTCAGTTGAATCTGTGAGTGTGAATCCCCAGCCCATGAATACAGAGGGCTGACTATACTATATCTTTTTACATGTTTATTGTTTGTTTTACTTTTCCTACTAGAATGTAAGCTCCATGAGGGCAGGAATTTTATTCTGTTCACTGCTCTGTCATACCTGGCTCAATAAGTATTTGCTGAATGAAAGTATTTAGATTGACTCCAAATTTTCCTTGTTAAATATAGATGCATCTTTATATCAAGGAGTTTAGATTAATGAATATTGTATAGACACAGAAATAATTTCTTGGTTTTGTCTTTTTTGTGTTATACAGAAATACCCATTTTTTGATTTTAGGTGAATACATTTTTTCTATCTCTATTTTCTTCTTCCATAGATGAAACTGGAGCCAGTGAGGAGGACACTTTTTACACATTACCTAGTTCTGTTGTTTGGTTGACTATATGTTTCTATGGACCCTGGAGTACTTTACTTTACTTTACTGTGATGGTTCTTTTTTTCTTTTTTTTTAATGCAAGACTATTTTGCCGGTCACAGTGGCTCATGCCTGTAATCCCAGCACTTTGGGAGGATAAAGTGGGCAGATCACCTGAGGTCAGCAGTTCAAGACCGGCCTGGCCAACATGGTGAAACCCCGTCTCTACTAAAAATACAAAAAAATTAGCCAGATGTGGTGGCAGGTGCCTGTAATCCCAGCTATTCAGGTGGCTGAGGCAGGAGAATTGCTTGAACTTGGGAGGCAGAGATTGTAGTGAGCCGGGATCGCACCATTGCACTCCAGCCTAGGCAACAAGAGTGAAACTCTGTTTTAAAAAAAAGACTTTTTCGGAGCAGTTTTAGTTTTATAGAAAAATTGAGTAGAAAGTAGAGAGGGTTCTCATGTGTCCCCCTCCACCAGTTTCCTCTATTATTAACCTATTTTTTAACCCTATAGTATGTACAGTGGTTAGTAGTTAGTGTGGTACCATGAAGCCTGGAAGAGCTTGTGAGAAACTGGGGTTCAACCCAGGTGTCCCTTTTTCCAAGCGTCTCTCATGCTCTCCCCCAAGCCAGGGAACTGCTTTTTCTTTTGTCTCTAGGTTCTAGTGTGTTTCTAGTAACATCCCTGCTGTTTGCTGTCCTGCTTGTGGATTCTGATGGCAACTTCCTCTGGTTGTTACTGTTCCATTTTTTCTCTTTTATATTTTGACTTTCCATTCTTCTTAGTACCTCATCATTTTTCAGCCATCATGAAAAAGAGAAGTAATCTTTTATCTGATGACACCAGTTAGTAGTGGTCTCTGCCTGTATAATCATGCATTCATCATGCCTATTTAATTCCCCTGCACTCCTATGCATGCAATTTCTGATGAGGAGAAGAGATTTGACCGAAAGGTCATAGCTTTCTATCTGAGACTAACTATCTTTGGAGAGGTATGGGGAAGACCCTTTGGGTCCTGAGGCAACCACCACATTGGGATTCAATGTGTGGGGGATGTTGTACTTTCATTAACTTTCTGGCACATGTATATATAGAGAGAGGACTCTTCATCCTCTATAGCAAAGCTGATACAAGGCTAAAATGTTCCAAATGGCTTAGTGAAAGGATGGAGATGAAAGGGAAAAAAAAAAGACAGAAAGTAGAGTGTAGTCTTTCAAGGTATGGTCCAGGATTCAAGATCCCCAAGACCCTACCAAGTAGTCCATGAGTTCAAAACAATTTTCTTAATAATAGTAAACATTATTTCTTTTTTCACTCTCATATCCCATATGTATACATTGGAGCTTTCCAGAGGCTACAATGACAGATGATTTTTTTAACAGCTCAGATGAAGAAGCAGATACCAGACTCCAGATGTCTTCTGTGAGGCCAGATAGTAAAGAAGTTTGCAGAACTACAAAACAATGCTATTCTTCTCACTTATTTAGGTTTGGAAAATATAGTGCTTTTTTCCCATAAATATGTTGTTTAAGTTAACACATTAATTGATTTATAATTATTTTAAAATTAATGCATTTATTTAAAATTTCTCAGTTTTACTTTTTAATAAGATAACTAGCAATAGCTATAACCCACATAAACAAAATCTCTATGTGTTTTTAATAATTTTTAATAGCATTAAGGGGTCCTGAGACTAGAAAGTTGGAGAGCTGCTTAATTTGATTTTTGAAGTACAGCTGTATTGCACTACCCAGACCCATTCTTCCTTCAGAGTCCATGCTGGGCTATTTCAGTCCCTCATGAGAGGATGAACAGTCTCTCTACTTGAAGTTTGCCCTCACCATTCAGATTTTCTGCTGGAGAACATAGCTTTTCCCAGTGATACTGGAAATAATTGCCTGCAGGAGAGACCCAGACTTCTTCCTGAAGAGATAATAGTTATATGCTTTGCAGCCACAGCAAACTAACTATATCACAAATGCGTATGTGCTTTACAATAAGGCACTTGTGTGGTAATGGTTTACATGTATGGAAAGGACATTGGAGGAGGCAGGAAAAGAATTTTTGTTGTTGTTGTTAAGACAGTGTCTCAAACTCTGTCACCCAGGCTGGAGTGCAGTGGCGCAAACATGGCTGAATTGCAGCCTCAATCTCCTTGGCTCAAATGATCCTCCCCAGGTGGCCTCTCCAGTAGCTGGGACCAGGTACGCCCCACTGCACCTGGCTAATTTAGAATTTTTTTTTTTTTAAGATTCTATTATTTGCCTGACCCCAACTTGATGCTAGGGATGCTCACAGGTATCAGAAATATCCCCTTACTTTTCAACTTTTTTGGACAGGACTATTGGTTGTTACCAAGTGTCCTGCTTTTCCACAAAAGATATTTTTCTCCCTTCTAGGCTATTTCTGGAACTAGCAATGATTCAAAAGCCGATGGATTCATTAAAACTGTGATGCTCAGTTATGGTTTTGTACTTTGTAGCCTTCAAAAACCTTTAAAATATACCCTAGATATTTGTGGATTGTATGAACAGGTGTGCATGTATGTATATGTATATATTTGTGCATGCATACATATAAACGTGTGTATGTATTTATTAATCTATATATCCCACATAAATTTGGAGTAGTGAATCTTTCAAAATCAGGAAAATAATTTCAGTCTTTAGATATTTATGTTAACCAGACTTGGTTATTTGGTAGTTTATTATTAGTAGGGAGAGTTATAGTCATAAAAAGTTTTATAGATAAAGCCTACTTTAAAACTATTTTAGGGAAATTTTGGAGGAGTAAAGGTGGATTATGCCATGGGGCCCTGTAGATGATAATAAAGCTAAAGTAGGGAGGTGGTACAATGTGTGCAGAGTTCTGAAAGCTGGTCAGGACCACAGCAGGAAGTAGAACTAAAACTGGGCTCTGGTTTCCTGCCACTCTTCAGTCTGAAGTCAGAGATTTGACCTTGCTTCTTCCTTTGACAGAAGTAGCACTTTTATTAAATTCACCATGGGGCTGAAATGCTCCTAAGAATCAATTAACAAAAAGTACCTGTATTAAAATGAATAGTCCACTAGCATATTAAATCTAACAATTTGTCACATTACAAGTGTGTTGAAGTTTTCTATTTATTATGATCCCTTAGCTATGACTAGAGGATTTTGCCAAATTATTAGATGCATTATTAAGGCAATTCTGTGGTTCTGACACAGGGCTTAGGAACTAAAGTCCAGACTGCCATTATTGGCTGTGTGACGTTAGGAAATTTCTTCCTGTTCCTTAAATCTCAATTTACCACTCTGACTAATGGCATATAAAGAGCTATCTTAACATGATTGTCAGGATTCAATGAGACTACATATATAAACTCAGATAGTTGTAGGTAACTCTTGATGACTGGGTGCTTATCTGCCAGACAGGTGAGGAGAACACACTATGAAAATAATCACGAACTGTGATGAAATTCTGTACTAAGAAAATTACAGGCAGGTTCCCACTTTAGGTAGGGTGGTTGGGGAAGGCCTTAACTTGAATATTAATGTTTCTAGGAAAGGACCATAAACCTATGGAAATTGCACTTTGGGAGATATTTTTAAAGATTTTAAAAAAATCCTTTGGAGGATTTTTTTTAAAAGCCCCCCCCCCGCCCCCGCAATGTTACTATACATTATTCAACAAAAATGTGGAAATCACTTTAAAGAAATGAAGAAATTCTAAGTAATAAAATGGTACTGTGGTTTCCAGCTGCAGCTACATGAATGCATATTATTAAAAAGATTAATAAGAACAAGCCCAGGAAACTACAGTAAATCCTGAAATCTTTATTTTAGTGCGGGTTTCTTTCAGTATTTTATATGCCACTATTTGTGTTAACATTTTTGTAAAGGCAAAATCAAAGGTGATATATGACTTGCCCCTCATAGATTAAAAAATGGAGATTCGTCTGTCTCCAGTCTTCCAAGCTGGATCATTTGTTAAATAGCTGGTCAGTTGTTAAAATGACTGAATTCATGTCTATTAATTTTTTGAATATCTGAGGTAGTTTTTACAGATTAGTCCTGTGATTAATGCAGAGTTACTCTGTTAATGAATTTTTAAAATTTTTCTTTCCTTTTTCTTTATAGTAACAAATAGTGTCTAAAGAGAAGAATTGGCTGTAGTCTAAGTTATCCCCCCAAACAAGGTGTCACATAACCACATTAGACTCCTTGATGATATTAGCATTAGAGACCATGCTCATGTTTTGTGCCATGCCTTCTTTATAACAGGCCCCATTTTATGAGATCGGAAATTGAAGCTCAGCAGCTGAACCCTCCACATGGTCTTAGTAGCAGAAATACCATCTTTGGGCTCAGAGTTTAGTTTATTTTTCCTGGTGATTGCTAACACCAAAGATGGGCTCTGCTACTTGGGGAGGGTTTTATGGTAAGCATTCAAATATTCAGTGCTGCCTAGCAGCTTGGTAGGTGGTACTTATCTCTAGGTGAAGAGTATCTCATCTCAGGAGATTACATCCTTGAGGCTAATGTTTCACTTATCTATGGTCACATAAGAAACTACACCAACCAGTTTTGTGGCTTTAACCCATGAGTGATTAACTCTCAGATCTCTGTCTCTGGAGGCTGCCTGGGCTTAGCTAGGCTAGTGTAAGGGATAGGGTAATAGGTAGTGAGGCCACAAATGCAGATGGGAGCCAGATGTTGAAGGATACTGCAGGTTACAGTGTCAGGTGGATGTCACTTTTCTGGGGTATCTGGGCGGTCCTTTATAGACAGGTATGAGTCGAGCATCCCTAATCTGAAATTCAAAGTTCTCCAAAATCCAAAACTTTTTGAGTACCAACATGATGCCACAAGTGGAAAATTTTATACCTGGCCTCATGGGATGGATCACAGTCAAAACACAAAACTTTCATGCACGAAATTATTAAAAATATGATATAAAATTACCTCCAGGCTATGTGTATAAGGTGTATATGACACATAAGTGAATTTCATATTTAGACTTGGGTCTCATCCCTAAGATATCTTACTGTGTACATGAAAATATTTCAAAATCTAAAAAATCTGAAATTCAAAATAATTCTGGGTCCAAGCATTTTGACTATGGGATCTTCAACCTGTAGTTGGTATTTTCTCAACTAAGAGAGGCTGGTTAGGGCAAATGACAGGGAGGAAGAGAGAGCAGAGAAGGTAGCAGGGGTATACTGAGAGAGAGGCAGAAATCAGAAAAAAATATGCAAAGAATGCTGTCAAAATTAGTGGTAGTGAGAAAAGTAGTAAAAGTGTATTAGGCTGGTGGATGTTAGCAAGTGAACATTTTGTTGTTATTGGTGGTTTTGTTGTTGTTACAATAGTCTGGCATTCAATGGCTTAGGGGAATTTTTGGTTGCAAGTGACAGAATACCTCCTAAGAGATATATTGGCTCATGTAACTGAAAAATTACAGGACTAAGTCTAGCTTTTAGGTTTGGCTAGAAATAGGGGCTTAAATGATGTCAATCAGAACTCAGTCTCACGCTCCTTGTCTCTCAATCCTGATTTCTTTGGGTTAACTCTGCTCAGGCAAAACACTGACCCTGGATTCTCTGAAAAGTACAACATTGGTAGAATTGGATGGTGATATGGTTTGGCTGTATCCCCACCTAAATCTCATCTTGAATTATAGCTCCCATAATTCCCACGTGTTGTGGGACAGACCCCGTGGGAGATAACTGAATCATGGGGGCGGTTTCCCCCATACTGTTCTCCTGGTAGTGATTAAGTCTCACAAGATCTGATGTTTTTATAAAGGGTTTCCCCTTTCACTTGGTTCTCATTTTCTCTCTTGCCTGCTGCCATGATTATGAGGCCTCCCCAGCCACGTGGAACTGTGAATTAATTAAACCCCTTTCCTGTATAAATCACCCAATGTCGGGTATGTTTTTATTAGCACAGTGAGAACAGACTAATACAGACGCTTAAGGTATTTTGTACAAGAGTGACGTATTTCTTAACCCTCTCAATCAGTATTCTTAAAGACCACTCTCTTCAGTTTTGTTTTGTTTTTTTGAGACAGAGTCTCGCTCTGTCGCCCAGGCTGGAGTGCAGTGGCGCGATCTCAGCTCACTGCCAGCTCCGCCTCTGGGTTCATGCCATTCTCCTGCCTCAGCCTCCGGAGTGGCTGGGACTACAGGCGCCCACCACCACGCCTGGCTAATTTTTTGTATTTTTAGTAGAGATAGGGTTTCGTCGTGTTAGCCAGGATGCTCTGGATCTCCTGACCTCATGATCCGCCCACCTCAGCCTCCCAAAGTGCTGGGATTACAGGCGTGAGCCACCGCTCCCAGCCACTGTCTTCAGTTTTATAAAAAGAAAAGTGGGGTGGAAGGGGACATGAAATGCTAAGAAAGTAGCAACAGTTCTCAATTTACTAATCCAAGAATGGGCTTGTGCTTCAAACTTGAAGTAGCGTGAGAAGGTGGAAACAACAGTCTTGGTAATGAAGCCTCCCCTGTCCAGTCCTCCAGCTCAGACTTAGTCTGGGTGGTAGTTCATAGGGAGATATCAATTATCCTATTCCCTCTTCTTGAAAGTGACAGAACTCGACACTTTTCCTTGTGTCAGGCAACATGGCCTGTGCTGTACGTTACTTCTTTAAGCCTTATAGTAATCCCGTGACTTAGGTATTAGTTGTAGGTATTATTACTAATATTAGGTATTATTACCTAGTTTACACATGAGAAACTGAGGCTTAGAGTGGTTAGCAACTTGGCAGAGATCACAGAGCTAGGAACTTTAGAGCCAAAACTCAAATCTAGGCAGTTGAAAACCAGAGCCCCCGTTGTGGACTGAATTATGTGGCTCTGCATCCTTATAATCTCCAGTCTCTTTCCAGATGCACGACCAGACCCTCTGGCTTTAATCAAGACGAATGCGTGTTGAAAACTTTAAACAAATTAAATTTAACAATTCAATTGAGCAAAGAATGATTCTCAAATTGGACAGCCCCTGAACCAGTATAGGTTTGGTAGAACTCCAGAGTGGCCACATGGTCGATAACATTTATGGACAGAAAAAGGAAAGTGACTAGAGAGAGAAAAGGGAAGTGAGGGAAACAGCTGGATAGGTTACAGCTGAGTGTTTGCCTTGTTTGAATCTGCTTCTAACTGTTGACCCCCTGTGGTTGACTGAAGTTTGGCTGCTGTGATTGGCTGAGCCTTGGCTACTTGTTAGAAAAGTAGGTTCCAGTCTGTTTACACATTAAGTTGGGTCACAGTTCACTACATACAGAGAAACCTTTAGGCTGAACTTAAAACATATAAGATGTCAGCTTTGGTCTAAACTTAATTAAACATGAATTAGTGTGCATATCTTTCATGTGGACAAGACACACTGATAATTCACCATGCCATCCTTAGGGCTCAGAGAGAGACTCATTCCTATTTCTGCAAACACTTTTAAACTGCAACTTCAGCCGTCCCCTGTGGGAGGCTTAGTGTTGAGAGCATCCATTCATGTGTGGCAGCTGAGCTGCTCAGGTTTAGAATTCCACCTACGGAGGTGTGCACTGCAAGCTGTTTTTGCTTTTATTGACGCTGGCAATTATCTGAAGAGTTTAGGAAAATTGGAACACTGCTGCATCATTTTGAGGCATTTCCAAGAGGCAACTCTAAGTAAACAAATGAAACCTGAAGCAATTTTCCTGTGTAGCTTTTGAAGGGCCAGAATTATTTTGTTTTGAGTAAGTAAACCCAACCTAGCACCTTCGGTGTGGACTAAAGAATTAGTACATGCATTTCTATCCCTATGTTTAAACAAAATAGAATAAATTATAAAATCTCATCACTTCTTGAAAGCAATATTGAATGTTCTAAATAAGATTTCTCTTAATGTAAAATGGAGAAGTTTATGACTCGCACTAAAAAGTAAAGTGTGTTCATTTATCAATACTAAAAGTATTAGAGTACTTTTAAAAATGAGTTAGGTACATATTCTTTTCTTTATGTATTTACTAGAATTCTAACAATTTAGGATTTAAATACTAAACTGACGTTCTTGAGAATGAAGAAAGATTAGTTTGTTTAGATCTGCACTTTCCCATCATTTCCTAACTGGGGTGAGTGGTAAAGGAGTCATAAATAGGGAAAAAAAGGATATTAGCATAAGTTCTCAGTTCAGAGTCAGATTGTCTTCTCTGTTTGTTGCAGGTATTGTATTGCAAATTCCAAAATTGTATCACATACCCTTAGTCAAATATACATATGAAAATACATTCCAGCCCTGGCATGGTGGCTCACACCTGTAATCCCAGCACTTTGGGAGGCCAAGGCAGATGGATCACCTGAGGTCAGGAGTTTGAGACCAGCCTGACCAAAAAGGTGAAACCCTGTCTCTACTAAAAATACAAAAATTAGCCAGGTGTGGTAGCAGGTGCCTGTAGTCCCAGCTACTTTGGAGACTGAGACAGGAGAATTGGTTGAATTCAGGAGGTGGAGGTTGCAGTGAGCCAAGATTGTGCCACTGCACTCCAGCCTGGGCAGCAATGGAGTAAAACTACATTTCAAAAAAAAAAAAGAAGAAAGAAAAAAGAAAATATGTTCCAAAGTGAATATATTTTACTAGCTAAGCCACCATTAAGATGTTGTCTGTCTATGTATATATTTTTTAAAGGACTGTGAGTAAGCAGCATCTAAGGTTATTACTGATTAACATTTTTTTCTTTCAGCTGAGAAATTCTTAATTGAGAATCTCTATTTCAAAGCAGCAAGGCTGATCATTAAGTACTAACTCAATACTGGCATTAGCAATGGACACTTAAACTAATTGAAGAATTCATTGAGTGCTTGTTGTGTACTAGGTAAAGTGCTCACAATAAACATGAGTATGGCTTGGTCTCTTTCTTGTAGCTCTCAGCCCAGCCTTGGAGGACAGAGAGGAGATGGAATTGCAAACAGGTAACTAGGTTGTAGTGGAATATGAAGAATTCAGTGAGGATCTACGTACAACATATAGTGATCAAGGAGAATGGGCTCAGCATTAGGGTGGTTAGGAAAGGCTTTTTAGAGAAAGACAATCTAGACACTGTGGCTCTTGAAGGATGGATGCAGCTCACCAGCTGTACATACACAGGCATGAAACCACATGGTGAACTCAGGACTCAAAATTGTTCTGTAGTTGGAACTTGTTTTAAAATGCACTCAGGATTTGTTTTAATCAGATAAGACACACAAACACAGAAATGACTGTCATGAAGGAAGACGTTTTTATTCTCAGAGATTGCTAGAAACAGGAGGCAAAGCATGCCAATAGGACCACACGGGGAAGCACCAGGATCAGTCAGGAGGCAGAGAGAGTGAGGAGAAGCATGGCCCAGCACCTTCATTGTGGTTTCCATGGGAAGGAACGAATGAGGCAGGGGAAAGCAGGATTGAGATTAGCTAGTTTGAATAATTTCAGCAGATTCCTGGGCTGTAGGGACTGCCTCTGTTTGTGGGACTTATGGGATACCTGGACCTGGGGGTGATTAGTACAGGGAGATAGTGGCTTGATGTATGAGTTCCATAAAAGAAGGTTGATGGGCCAGATGCGGTGGCTCACGCCTGTAATCCCAGCACTTTGGGAGGCCGAGGTGGGTGGATCACAAGTTCAGGAGTTTGAGACCAGCCTAGCCAACATAGTGAAACTCTGTCTCTACTAAAAGTACAAAAAAAAAGAAAAAAAAGCCGGGTGTGGTGGCAGGTGCCTGTAATCTCATCTACTCAGGAGGCTGAGGCAGGAGAATTGCTTGAACCCAGGAGGCAGAGGTTGCAGTGAGCTGAGATTGCGCCACTGTACTCCAGCCCTGGCGACACAGTGAGACTCTATCTCAAAAAAAAAAAAAAAAAAAAAAAAAAAGGTTGATGAATGAAGGGCTATAGATTGATTGGTAGTCATTTGCTGTCTCTAAGAATTGGTTTCCCTGGGAAAGACGATCTCTCCCTAGTCAGTGATATCTCAGATAGTAGAGCATCAAGAATACAGAAAAAACAAAAATATAGTTAATACAAAGCTTCACAGGGAGAAAGGAGGAGATGAGTGGTAGTATGTAAAAAAAAAATGAGAGTAGAGAGAGAATAAAGAGTCAGATCATGGAAGAACTTGCTTGGTGAGGGTTTGGGCTGTAGTATTATTAGGTATTGGAGAACTCTTGACAGATTTGGAGAAATACGGTAATACCTTAGACCTACGTTTTAGGGCAGTCCCTCTTATCAGCAGAGAGGAAGGTTGACTGAAGGAGTGTTATGTCTGAAGATGTAGGGACTGAGCAGGAGACAGCTGAAAGTGTCAGTGTGAAAGATGCTGAGGGATAGAGTTGCATGGTGGCGGCTGGGATGGAGAGGAGGGGTTAAAGATGAGCGGGATTTATAATAGGATGTAGCCATTATAGTCCTTGACTGACTAGCTGTGGGCAGGGGGGAAGTGATGTCTCTGTGGACACTCAGGTTTCAGGTGAGTTGTAGGATGGCAGTGTCACAGCCAGGGCATGGAATGTGGGAGGTAAAAGGTGTGGGGTGGGAAAGATGAAGAGTTCAGTTTAATTCTTGTTGAGTTTCAGGGGGCTTGTTGAAATGTCCAAGCCAAGTTATTTAACAGGTAGTTGAATTTAAGGGTTTGGAATATGTCATTTTGGTCATAGAATACTGTTTCTAGAAGCTTAGAAAAGGAAGTGGAGAAGGCAGCACAGATAGAATTAATAACCTTAGAGAGGGGCAAAGAAACGGTTTCCTTTAAGAAAGAGAATAAGGTTGAGAGCAGAACGTTGAACATACTTGAAAAAGAAACTGATCTCTAGCATGAAGAAGAAAGCAAGATTGAATGTCACGAGGAGGATAAGGGTGGGTTAGGAGTGCAGTGAAGGTTTGGAATGTCCACCTCGAGCCACAGACCCAGGAGAGAATAGGCTCCTTCTAGCCAACATGATCCATTGAAACTGTCAAGTCTTGGCTCCTGGGACCCAGGTGAGTTTGGAGACCTCAAATGTATACAGTCTTTCAAATGTGCTGTTGTGTACTTTAGAAAGAGCACAGATGGCAGATTCTGGATGGACCCAAGCTCACAGTATTGAGAAATAATGGCTTGAATCATATTGGCAAGAAGGAGCCTACCCTCTCCTGTGTCTGTGGCTCAAGGTGGACATTCTAAACTTCACTACACTCCTTATCCTCCTCATGACTTTCAGTCTTGCTTTCCTCTGGAGCAAAAGATGATTCTCCAGAATCATCTGGAGAAATGTTAAGAGCTCTACACTGGATGGAGAGAAAAAGTGCTTGGAGAGTGGGAGATAAGTTGGGGGAAATGCTGAGATCTTTGTGTAGTCATGATGAAGCCCACAGACATGAAGGTGTCAGGGAGTTCTAATGAAGGCTGTTGGAGCCAAGGATATTAAGAAATAGTGAGCTCTGATTCTTTTGCTTATCCACATGATTCAGGGACTCCTGGATAACGACAGAGTTGTTGGTGAATGAGGGGACTTAGGTCTTTAGATAGCCATGTTTATGTTTTATCTCTTAAGTGCTTGAAAAGTTTAAAATGTAGGTTTAATAGCCAATAAATATTTCATACACAGTTAGAATTACACTTTAACCCTGAAGTTCATTTACTTTAAGAAACAAAAAAATTAAAAAAAAAACTTACATGTGAAAACATTATCTTTTTTCTAGCCAAGAGGATTCTTTGACTATTTGGTAGTCTAGGCTATTCATCTCCAAAGTGGAGTTCAAATATAAATCCTTGTTATGACCTTGTGAAACAAAAACAATCATTACTTCCTCAATTAATTCAGCCAGAGAAGTGTTTATTTTCTGTGCAGAGCAGGCAGCTTCCAGAAGTGCCAAGTAGCCAGGGAAGGGTGGCGTTCATTCTAGAGAGGGAGGCGTTCCTAATAAAGAAAGAGCAGTCAAACAGGGTTGCAAAACCGTCAGCTGTTTAATGACTCTAATGTCTTCTTGGGTCTGTTCTCCCTCCAAATAATATATCAGCTCTAAGGATATTTCTCCCAATGGCTATGTATTTGGCTTTCTAATTCTTTACTTTCATTTCCAAATCAGTTTGAGTGTTCATGACACTCTAAGAGCAAGGAGGAAAGATTAGGAATGCCAGACGCATTGATGTTCGGTATGTCTCTGGCTGTTCACTCATTCACAAGCTAGCAGGTTAATTGATCTTGGGGTAGATTCTTAATATATCATGGTGCTAATGAATTTTTTGACCTTAGGAGGTCTCCATGGAGCCCTTGCTGTCGGCCGTGTAGTATGACTTTGTAGCTCAACAGAATTATAGTGAAACATTGTAACTTAGGTCAGCTTTAGAAGTACATTCAATTAAAAATAACTTGATTGCCTGTTGTACACGCTGTACATGTACTTGTGCATGTATTTTAAAAATCTATTTTTAGAGTCATTTTAACATTGAAAAATGGAAATAAAATTAAGACTGTTGCCAATACTAAATTAGCTTCCAAAGTAGTAATTTTGGAAATGGGCTATCAAGATATTTACTTGCCTAAATTGATTTTTAAAAATCATTTTGGTGGACTCTTCTGTTGATACTCCTGTTTCTATGGAATGGAGTAGGAATTGTTTCTATGGATGCCAGGCTTAATTCTCAAGTACATGTTATCTTTCTCAAACACAGCTGCAAGAATCCATGTGCTTGGTACCAATATTTAAAAATAGACTACACAGGCAAAACAGTCTGTGCATTCACAGGCAAGCATGATATTATTTTAGAGGGCTCTTCTAAATTGTGTGGCTGTACTGAGACAGCTCAAACTATCAGGATGCCTCATATATACTCTGACATCTCCTCTTGTATGAATTCTGATGTGCAGTTGGTCAATCAGTTTGAGCATGGAGCTATTGTGACCAGAGCTATGGATGTAATTCCTATTTGGGGCATTTACTGTAGCACAGAGGCAGTTAAATTATACCTGGGTCCTTTTCCACTGGCTGGCCACATGGGGAGATAGTGAGAAACAGGAATAGGGCGTGAGCATATGTGGATCCCTCATTCCTAGAGCATATGTGGATCCCTGTGTCCTGAGAAGGTCCACAGCATCATCTTCCCAATACAAAGAAAAGGTGTGCAGGTGAAAAGGAAATGAGTACCTTTAGTCTGAACTGGTAGTTCTGTCTGCCCTGGCTGAGAGACTGACCACAGGCTTTAGCCTTGCCTAAACCAACACTTCCATGTAACTGATGGGTTTTAAGAACAGACATATTTTGGGCAGAAGCTGAGGACCTTAGTCTCATCCTAACTTTATTATTTTTGCCATCCTTTGTTCTCTATGAATATTAATGAGAGACTAAGGACATTAAAGGACAGAGACAGATGCCTTCAGTAGCTGCTCCAGAATAGAGGGAGTGGGAATGGTCAGGTCCTGACCTCCTTCCTGCAGCAAATTCCAACAAGCGCTGTTATGTGCCACCTACACAGAAGAGTGGTGTCATATGCTCTGAGGCCACTGAGGCCTGCAGGCTTGTGCTCCACTTTCAGTGAGAAAGTGGGTGGCGTAGCTTGGAGAAGAGAAAACAGATTCCTACAAGAATAGATTTTAAATATATAATTCAGTTTTAGTCTTTTCAGAAATTGACCACAGCCAGTCATAAATCATGTTGGAGAGTCAGGAAATGATTAGCATCTGTCTTGGGCTAAACTCCTTTGGAGCAGACACTACATTTCACTGTTTTATAATGTGTAACACATGTTTACATTCTTCTAGCATTTATTCTGTGTTACAGACTATTTAATAGACACCACCCACTTCCCATTCTGCCCCCAAATGCCCAACATAATAAGGAAGACAAGGGAAGCTGATTGCTGGAGAAAAATTGTATACACATAGACAGTTCTTGATGAATTTTCATTGAATAAATGATGTAATATAAATAGCAGAAATATAAATAGTTGAGCTTTTATCAATGTGAACAAACACAAACAGGCTTGTGACAAATGGCCTGTTCAGTTTTACATTGCTGATACCAATTAACCTATGCACTACACTTGATGGTTTGTAAAGCATTTTTTACAGCAGTTCATACATTACCTACAATGAAGGAAGACAAAATAGCATGATCTGAAATAGATTCTTACCCTGTTACTGCAAATGATACTTGTCCTGCTGCGATGTGCCTACCCTTTAAGCAAGACCAGCTCTTCCCTTCACCTTTTGCCTAGGTCCCTGTACCTCTGACTTAACGGTAGCCAGGAGTGCCCTACCCACAGTTTGCACATATGCCACCCATCTGGGGGGCACACATGTTCTTTATTCTGGGAATAAGATGAAGTTACCCTGAAAGGACTCTTTGCTTTCTAGTCTGCCCCATGATCCTTTTCTGTCAGCCTCCAAGGTTTTCTGGTTTGCTCTGGGAGTAGCAGGAGGTATACCTTCTCTCAAGGACTGGGGAACATTTATTTAATGGTGGTAAAATTACTGGCAGGGTTTGAATAAAGACTGCTTTCAAACTGTTGACATTCCTTTTCCCTTGATTGCTTTTGATATGGAGTGAGTCATCTTCAGCTGGTAGATGGTGAGAATGTTAAGATCTTTCTGTTTATTTTTTCCAGATGCTCAGTGGTTCATGCAGTTGGCGAGTTACTCCTCAGTGGCCAAGGCTGGTTCTTTAGGGAGTTTGGGGCTGGGCATAGTGGGAGTACAGGAGAACAACTGCCCCCACCATTCGCTCTTAATGTCCTGGGGAATTTAATTTTTAGCCAAGTCAACTTGTGTTTCTTGGAGCTATAAAAGGGACTGTATTTAAAATTTTTAATCACAACTTCTGCCTACAGAAATTATCTGTTGTATTATCCCTAGTAGACAAGAAACTACCTTTATTTCTGTGTTTTTCACTTTTTAAATTTTGTGTGTGGGAATGCTTCTGTTAACTCTTGTTTCCACAGCCACTACTGTTTCCCCATTTCTTTTCTCAAGTCACATATAAGTAAGCATTTCTGGAATTATCATACTGCAAACTACATTCTCCCCGAAATATTGAAACACCTCAGGGAAACTTCCTGCATTCTCTTAAAGGTTTTCACTTGCTTGCTTGTTTGTTTGTATACGTGCTCATGTGTCTATTTTTTGTAAGAAGCTTAATATTGGGAATTTTTTTTCTGTTATGAGTTGAAATGTCCTAGACGATTAAACACAAACACACATGATCAAAGCCAAATAAGAAAATGCTTCTGTGCAGTCATAATGATGAGAACAACATACAAGTGGGGGAAACTCCTGTTTGAAAATTTCCAAAACAGGAATTTGGTCTAGCAAACATGAAAGCAGTACCTGCTAAATCCTGCACCAGCCCCCACTCCCAGTATGCTTGCTACAGTGATATTCATCTCCCACAACATGATGATTGCTTCTTTGGACAATATCAAACCCTTCTTCAGAAGCCTTATTTTGTAAACACTTGCTTTAGAAGTAATGGTCAATTGGCCAGGTGTGGTGGCTAATGCCTGTAATCCCAGCGCTTTGGGAGGCTGAGGCAGGCAGATCAATTAAGGCCAGGAGTTTGAGACCAGCCTGCCCAACATGGTGAAACCCTGTCTGTGCTAAAATTATGAAAATTAGCTGGGTGCAGTGGCATGCTCCTGCAATCCCAGTTACTGAGGCTGAGGCAGGAGAATTGCTTGAACCTGGGAGATGGAGGTTGCAGTGAGCTGAAATCGTGCCACTGCACTCCAGCCTGGACAGCAGAGTGAGACTCCATCTCAAAATAATAATAATAATAATAATAATAATAATAATAATAATAATAATAATAATGCTCAGTAGAAATTTTAACTTTCTTTTAAATTATTGAAAGAATATTTTCTTATAGATGTTCTAAGTCATCTCTTTATAGGAGCTATTACTATAATTAGCTAGTTTATTATAATATCACAAACTTTGATAAGTTTTATGGGATTAATGTCACAAGTGTTGATAAGTTTTATGATAGGATTGCTTAGAAAATGGTATCAATTCAGGATTTAGAAGCTTGAGAAAACAAAGGATATGATTTAGAACTTCAGTAAGTGAATGGCTTTTGTACATTTGTTATTTTAGGGCTACAAACAATATTTATACATTCATATCTAAATTTACCCTGAAAGCTGAAAAACATTTATTAATAAGGGAAAGACTTATAAAGTTAATGGTATATCTTTTTTTCCTAAATGTGATGCTTTAGAACACATCATTTGACTTACGTTAGAACTGATTTCATGTATTAAAGAATGGCATTGAAACAGGATTCTGTTTCATTTTTTAAGTCTTTTTTGCTCTGTAATCCTTTACAAACTATCTCTTGAAAAGATTTATTATTTATATTTTCTCTCTGCATGGAGTGTTATGTTCATGCATGTTTCTGTAAGTGTTGATAATGGTGAGTTCATTTTCATCCTTGGGCACGTGGATTACAGTTGACATAATTGGCTATGTTTCATGAATGCCCCCATAGTTCTTGGCCCTCAAAGGTGATGAGGGGCTCTAGAATAATGGGTGGTTGGGAGTGCTGAGGTTTTCCCTTCTGGAATGTGATGCAATTGAAGAGAAAGAACAGTTGTGACTGTGTGGACACACACATGAAAACAGTCACCCAGCATGCTAGATACCTGATAAACTGCAGCTGGGAGTTCTAAATAACATGGAAGCTTTGGCACTGGCACGTGGCTTCCCATTTCCCATTTCTCTAATGAGACATCCTAAGGATATAAGAATAGGGAAAACCTTACACCGCCGCTACAAACTAGAAAGAGCATCATCATTATCATAATGATAACTGATTTGTTGCATGCTTCCATTTGTTTAGGTACCCAGCCAAGTGCCTTACATGCATTATTTCTTTTTCTTCTTCAAAGCAACAACAAAATTCTGGTTTAGGTACATTACTGCCTTCATGTAACTGATGAAGGCTCAAGGGTAGTCAGTCAAATAACCAACCCAAGTTTGCATAACTTTGAAGCGACAGATTCTATATCCAAATCCAGTTTGACCTCTGAGCCCATCCCTCTACTGTTGCACTAGCTGTATCCTGAAAAATAAAGGAATGCCTGCTAGATTTAATGTCTATATAACCAGGCTGAAGGATAAATGAGAACTGACTCTTCCTGAAACCCTGTGATGCTCTGGAAAAGAGCTAGCCAATGCCTACCCTCTTGTATTTGGAGAGGCCAAGGCAGAAAGTGGGATAGGTAGGAGTTGCTGATTGAAATCCCTTCTGTGACTGTGAAGGAGACGTACCAGAAAGCAGCATTGCAACAGTGCATGACTCAGACAGAAGCAACAACCAGAGAGCTGGTCATTCCCTTATACTCTGCAAGGACAGACGATGAGAGACTTTTCCTTGTACCTAGTAAGGAGACACAGCCAAAGAGACTGCATATCCTTAACACAGATGGGGGATAAAACCTGTCTAGGAGCCCATTTGTCTTGAAGGGCCTGCCATTGGCCTTTACTCTCTCTCACTCAAATGAAAGGAGCAATGAAATGTACATTTGTACCAGTCTACCCACCGACTCCTGGTATTAAGCATTTTAATGGCAACCAGCTGGGCAGTAAATATATTCAGAAAGATTCTACCTGCATGCCCTGCTTATGGATAAACACCAGATCTGAGTTAACTCCTACTGGTCCAAGGATGGAGTAAACAAGAAAAAAGAAAACATAAGGCCCATGAGAGATCTTGCAGGATAGAACAAGGAAGATAACGTAACATTTAAAATGCAAAGGAACAACTTACATTTGACAAAATTATTACAAGAAACAAATTTTAGAGTGTCATTTTTAGATACCATCTGTCTTGTGTCTTACAATTTGAAGAAACCTAGGCGTTGAAGTGAAGGAAGCCAGATTGTGAAGGGTGGACTAGCTGTGAAGCTAGGGAAGAGAAAGCATTGAATGGGACATAGATCTTGGAGGCAGATTGCTGGGAGTGAGTCCAGGCTCCAAATTTCTAGCCATGCAGCTGTGGGCAAGTCCCTTGCCCTTTCTTGGTGCTACAGTTTTCTTATTTTTAAAATGAGCATCACAGTACCTACATAGTGTGATTGTTATGAGAACTTAAAGTATATCAGCAGAATTAAAGCATGTATTGGAAATAGCAGAAAAAATCAACACTGTTAAAAAATTGAATCAGTAACAAACTTAAGAAGATCTCCCGGAACCCAGTGGAAAGGATTAAAGTGATAAAGTAGAAATGAAGATTCGTGTATGTGCAAGATACAGAATGGAGATCCACCAGGAGAAAAATTGATGTTCCTCAAAGAGACCAGAACAAGTGGAATGAATTCTACCACCAAGATTTCACATAATTTTTAGATTAAAAGGGCTATATGCCCAGAATATACCAGCTGATGCCAAGAATAATCTTAAAATATTATGTATTTTAAGGTAAGAAAAAGAATTGGCTTAATAAGGTAAAAAAAAAAACCAGAAAGTTTACTGAAA
Source organism: Homo sapiens (assembly GCF_000001405.40). Lineage (NCBI taxonomy): Eukaryota > Metazoa > Chordata > Mammalia > Primates > Hominidae > Homo > Homo sapiens. Next base: position 117,824,162 of record NC_000007.14, on the reverse strand, counting down.
AGGAGAAAAATCTACCTGACCTCAGGCTTGCTCTTGCATACTCTTGAATTCAGGAGATGTTGAAATTAATATCTACTGTTGTGAGGGTTACCGCCTAAGCATGTTTTTACCAGACCAAGGCAGTGTTTACATAAGAAGAAAGTAGAAATCATCCTCAAAGTGGAAAGAATATAAAATATTTCCACCTAATAGCTGCTTGAAAAAAAAAAAAGACCTGAAAGATTCCTTAGTTGGAAATAAGCATAAAGAAATTAGGTGAGCCTGGACAACATGGTGAAACCCTTTCTCTACAAAAAATACAAAAATTAGCCAGTAGTGGTGCTGTGTGCCTGTGGTCCCAGCTACTCTGGAGACTGAGCAGGGAGGATCACTTGAACCCAGGAGGTCAAGGCTGCAGTGAGACATGATTGCACTCCAGCCTGGGTGACAGAGCAAGACCCTGTCTCCAAAAACAAACGAAAAGTGTCCAAGAAGAGCAAGAAATCAGTTACTAGTTCTTATCCTTGGCTGGGGCATCAAAGGACTTAAGAGAATCAAGTGGACTTGCCATTGAGTGTTGACCTGACTCTGAATGTTTGTGGAGTTATGCAGGTGATTCTTATGCGTGGTTAGGATTGAGACCTGCTTTAGCAATTTTATTCAAGATAAAATAAATACAAAGAAAATTAGGCAAGTGAGGATATTACCAAATATATAAAAATATTTCTTTTATTTTCAAATTTATGCAAATTTATTTGAAAACATAAACCTTTCTAAGCTATTAAAGCAAATTTTAATATATTAAACAATTTTTTTCAACCACAAGACTTAATTTTATGAAAAAGTCTTTTAAATGTATCTCTAATTTACGTATAATTCCAATCAAAATCATAATTGCTTATTTTTCGAAGCAGATGAAATCTAAATTGCATCTAGAAGAATAAGCTGGTTGCATAGCAAATTTTAAGAAATGAACATTGTGAGAGAGTCTTGTCCTACTGGTTGGTAGCATTTACTAATATAAATTAAAACATTTACATTGGGGAATTATAAATAGAAAGACAAAGGAAACAATAGAAGATTCAATAACAGGGCCAGTGTTAAAGAGATAATACAGTTTATAATGATAAAAGGGACAATTTATCACAAAGACATAAGTGTTTATGTGGCTGATAACAGAGCCTCAATATACATGAAGCAAACATTGACAATTAAAAACAAATAGACAATTTCATAATCATAGTAGCTTTTAATACCTCTCTCAGTAATTAATTGAACAGCTAGAAAACTCAGTAAAAACATAGAAAACATAAACACCCTCAGCCACCTTGATGAATTGACATTTCTAGAGTATGAGATCCAACAATGCAGAAAACACACTCTGGTTAAGTGCATGTGGTGCATTTACTGAGGTAGACCATATGCTGGGCCATAAAACAAGTCTTAATTTAAATAATATGTATTCAGTGACCTCAATAGACTTAAATGAGAAATCAGTCGCAGTTAGCTATTTCGGAAAATTCCAAGTATCTGTGGATTTAAAAATATATATATCATGTGTCCAAGACAAAACCAAAAGGGATTTAGACAGTAATTTGAACTGAATGGCAGCAAATATACACGTCAAAACATTTGAGATGCAGCTAAAACAGTGCTTAGAGGAAAATTTAGAGCTCTAAAGGTTTATATTGAAAAGGAGAAAGATGTAAAATCAATGACCTATGGTTCTACTTTATGAAATGACAAAAAAGGCAGGAAAGTAAACACAAAGTAGAAGGGAAAAACTTTTTGTTAAAAGAAGCAGTCAATGAAATGCAAAATAGACATACAATAGGAAAAATAATAATAAAGAGTTGATTCATTGAAAAGATCAACAAAATTGAAATACTCCTAGCTAGAATGAACAAGAAAAAAAGAATGCAAATCACCAATATTAAGAATGGAAAAAGGGGATTAGCATTATAGATTCTACAGACATTAAAAGGATATTCAGTAAATACTATGAATACTTTTGACAACTTAGATAAATAGGCAAATTTCTTGAAAAAATACCACTTATAAAACTAATACAGGAAGGAATAAAAAATCCAAATAGCCTTGATTCTATTTTAAAAATTGAGTTCACTATCAAAAACTTTTCCCAAAAGGAAATTTCAGGCCTAGATGGTTTCCCTGGTAAATGGGTGAACTCATTTTATGAGGTCAGAGTATCGTAATCCCAAAACTGCAAAGGTATTAAAAAGAAAAAATTACAGAGTAATACTCATAACTATAGATGTAAAAAATCCTAAACAGGCCAGGCGCGGTGGCTCACGCCTGTAATCCCAGCACTTTGGGAGGCCGAGGTGGGTGGATCACAAGGTCAGGAGATCGAGACCATCCTGGCTAACACAGTGAAACCCCATCTCTACTAAAAACACACAAAAAATTAGCTGGGCCTGGTGGCCGGCGCCTGTAGTCCCAGCTACTCGGGAGGCTGAGTCAGGAGAATGGCTTGAACCTGGGAGGCAGAGCTTGCAGTGAGCCGAGATTGCACCACTGCACTCCAGCCTGGGCGACAGAGAGAGACTTCGTCTCAAAAAAAAAAAAAAAAAATCCTAAACAGAATATTAGCAAATTGAATTTCAAGCAATATACCATAATCAAAGAGTTTAATATTCAAACATCAAACAAAATTCAGTGTATTAACAATATAAAGGATAAAAACCACATATTCTCATTAATAGATGCAGAAAAATATTTGAAAAATTTCAACAGCAAACCAGGAATAGTAAAGAACTTCAAAGTGATAAAGGGTGCAGCTATTAAAAAACAAAAAACAAAAAGAAAACTGAAAAACAACAACAAAAAAAAAACCACACAGCCAACATAATTGAGGGATGCAATTTAGACAGGAATAAGAAAAGCACTTAGCACTTTTACAGCACTTTTGTTCAAGGTAGTGCTGGAAATCCTAGCCATTGCAAGATGGGAATAAAATAAAAAGCATAAAGAAGTAAAACTGTCACTTCCACAGATATTGCTTATGTAAAAATTCTACGTAATCTTCAAAAACAACTACTGAAACCAAAAAAGGAATTTATAAAATGTGTAGAATTAAGAAGTTTGTATTGAAAAATCAGTTATAGTCCTACATACTATTAGAAAAATATTTAGAAAGTGAAATTTAAATAATTTCTTTGCAGTAGCATAAAAAATATAAGAATAAACCTAACAAAATATATTCAAAACAAAGCTTTTATGCTGAAGACAAAATGAAAATTGCTGAGAGAATATAAAATGACTTACCAAACTCAATTAAAATTTCAGGAGACTTTTAAAAATCTTACAAACTGATTCTAAAATTTATGTGGAAAAACAGAGATCTTGGAATAACAAAAGCAATTTAAAAAAAGAATTTTAAGGACTTAACCTGCCTGATTTCAGCACTTATTATAAAGCAACGAAACCTACATATACCTCATGGAATAGAATAAAGAATCCAGAAATAGAGTCACATATGTGGTCAGTTGATTTTCAACAAAGGCATCAGAGATATTCAATGGGGAAAGGCTAGTCTTTTCAGCAGATGATTGAAAAATTGAATCTATATGTGGAAAAATTGAACATCAACCCTTTATTTCTAACACCATACACAAATATTGCCTCAAAGTGGATCATGAACTTAAAAGCTAAATATATGCAACTTCCAGGAGAAAATCTTTAGACTTCAAATTAGACAAAGGTTTCTTGCTATTAAATAGAAGATAAAAAACATGAAACTTTAAAAAGTGGTTAAATTGGATTTCATCAAAATTAAAAACGTATTCTCTGGAAGTAAAGATCTAACTAATGGTAATATTTCAGTGCCCAGGGCAGAAATAGTGGGTTGGTTAATCTGTGCTCCAGTTATTGACAGGTGGTGGCTGTCTGGAGTCTTAATAAGACAGTTGGACGTTGTTCTGGATTCAGCTTTATGTGCACTGATAATTTAATAGTATCTACCCTGGGCAAGAGAGTGGAACAGTGCAGCACTTGTATACCATTCTTGACCTAGTTAGGGAATAAAGGTGATGTTATTTTCTACAAATGAGCATGGGCTCCCACATCAGAGCATGAGCACTAATGAATGTGTGCAAGGTGGTAAGTGGCATACAAGGTCAAAAGAAAATGGTAGGAGATTTCGGAAAGGAGAGAGATTACTTCTGGCTCTGACTTCTGTGCAACCAAGCCTTTCATGAATTCTGCTAATATGGTCTACACTTTGAGAGAAAATTGGTGGTTTATTGAAGTATGCCTTCCAGATTTTAGCTTTGGGAACAAAATAAATCAAAGTCTTGGTATGATTCACAATATGCATTATGTATATTCCTGGCATGACAATTTCCACACCTCCAGATTATGATGTCTATGAGCAGGTAGGACATTGTAGGTGGCAGATAGGTTGGGGGATGAAGGTGGGAGGTGAGAGGGAAGAGGAAAAGCTTACCTCTTCTCTGACATTCTCAGCATTGCACAGAAAATCATTTGACGCCATGACATTCTCCTTCACTTCTGTGGCTCAAGTATATCTTCACACACAGATGCAGTGTCTGAGATGCAGACACTGAAATGAACCCTTCCGTTCTTTTCTCATTTAAGTCATAATTCTAGAAGTTATTTTTCATTCCTGGCCAGTGAATTTCTAAGGCTTTCTGATCATTGAAGGGCATTGGGAAGTAATTATCCTTCTCCAGATGACTGTGTAACTTTTATATTGCTATTCCACTCTGCAGTCACCCAGCCATTCCGTGTGTGTGTGTGTGTGTGTGTGTGTGTGTGTGTGTGTGTGTGTGTGAGAGAGAGAGAAGGAGAAAAGAGAAAGAGTATGTGAATGTGTAAACTCACTCCTCTGCTATTCAACCCCTCTTAGAGCGAGAATGAGTTCTGAGGACCATGGCTTATCTCTGGCTTCCCATTCCCTTTTATTTACAAATAGGATTTTCCCCCTTCCTTCTTAAAAGAGCTTTTAATTTTAGTGTTATTTAATGTTGGTCTACTTGAACTCCTTTACACTAAGACAGAGAGTTACAGCTGGATAGATAAATTTTTATGTTGACTGTTTGGAAAAATCTCTATGTATTTTCTATCCTTTTTGATTTTGAGTCATAGAATTTCAGGGTTTGAGAGGGATATAACAGTTTAGAAGCCAAGGACCTTCCTGACTTTTGAGACTCCTGAGTTACATTTCTGTCATGTGTTTTTTCAGCCTGTGTTTGAAACACAGCTGGAGACAGAGATTTTGTTCCAATCAAATGCAGCTCGTTGTATCTGTGGAAAAGCTTTGACCCTTAAAAATTCTTTATTATATTAGCCATAATTTTATTCCTTGGGAATCATGTAAATAAATCATCAAACACCTCTTCAAACATAAAATGCTTTCAGATATTGAAAGAGTACCATCTGGAAGGCTTTTCCTCTTTCAAGCATCCCTAGTTCTTTCTGCTCTTCCTCTTCAGTCTTGTTTTCAGATCCTTTTGCTATTGGTTGTTCTTTGAATACTTCAGCCAAAAGTGAGTCCAGAAGTCCAGTTCTGACACCTGTTCTCTACTGAATAATGAAGTCTGGGGTTGAGTTGCTGATTTGGAGGAGGGGCAGTGTCCATTTCATGGCTTGGTGGTTCAATATCTTGTTAATTGACACCCCTAAGTGTTTTTCATGCTTGCTTCTGTGTTTGTACTCAAGAACTGACTCACATTTCTTCCTGAAAAAGTCCATCTTGTCAGAGTTGACTCAACATTTTGCCATCCGCTGTGGCTTTTTGTATCATTGGCACCCAAGATAGTGACAGCTGTGTTGAGCGGGTTAGAGCTGAGTACAGAATTCCTTAGCAGTCTTCTTACAGTTAGATCTATATTAATGCTGGTTTTTGGTTTTTTTTTATTATTCTTAGGTAACCAGTGGTTTGTGAAAGCATATCTGGAAACCATTTTTATTGTTGGATTTATACTTAAATAATATATTCTGTGCAGAATCTTGAAAAACTGTTTAAGTCTGATTAGATCATGTTAGTATATGGTCAGTAATAATGGAAGTACAAATACAGCATATAGAAAACTAACTTTTGAGAACATTGTCATATTTTTGTCTTTCTTTTAAACCTAATTTCTTTGTTCTGATTTAAAAAGTGTTGTAAACAGTAATTATTTTTGAAGCCTTTTCTAGTGTTCCAAAATACTCTAGTCATAATTATCTTTCCATGCTTAAAAATGTAGGCTTTAGAGTAAGACTTGCCTGGGTTGAGTATCAGCTGCTGTTAAAGTGACCTTAGGCAAGCAAGTTAATTTTTGTAAGCCTCAGTCTGCTTATCTATAAAATGTGAATTAAAATAATGGCTATCTCCTGGGCTTATTTTTAGGACAAAATGCATAAAAAGCACCTAGCAATAAATAATGTCAATAAAAGTTTTTTTTGTTAGTATTATTTTTTAAATTGTTACAGAATTATTCTGGCTTTTCATAAAATGAAAAGCTTATAAGCTTGTCAGTATGTTTTGAAATTGGTAGTGTTTTATAATGTTTTAATTATGACTCACAGTGCAAGTTCTAGTTTCTGTTTCTCAGAGGATTACATGCTATAGGAAAGGTTGGATATTTTAAGTACGCTTTCTTTTATTTTCACTAATGTGCAAACTAGTTCAATTGATTATATCAAACAAGGAAAGCCAAAGTAGGAACCTCATGTATGTGAAACCCTCTGGTAATAATGGTCAACTTTCAACTTCCTGCTTACGACATTCTCAACAAGATTTTCTAAAACTTCACATTCTGATGAAATTATATATATATATATATATATATATATTTTTTTTTTTTTTTTTTTTTTTTTTTTTGAGATGGAGTCTTGCTCTGTCACCCAGGCTGGAGTGCAGTGGCACAATCGCAGCTCACTGCAAGCTCCGCCTTCCGGGTTTACGCCATTCTCCTGCCTCAGCCTCTCGAGTAGCTGGGACTACAGGCACCCACCACCACACCCGGCTAATATTTTGTGTTTTTAGTAGAGGGGTTTCACCATGTTAGCCAGGATGGTCTGGATCTCTTGACCTCGTGATGTGCCCATCTCGACCTCCCAAAGTGCTCGGATTACAGGTGTGAGCCACCACACCCGGCCGAAATTATATTTTTATACATCAGTGTGGCTAGGTTTAAGAGTTCCTTTAAGAGTCTGTTTTTATTATTAAAACTAGTTTATGTCTTCATAATGACTCATTTCCCTAAAGTGCGTTTCATTCTCAAGTAATTCTGATCCATAAACCAAGTCATTCTCTACATATTCAGCTCTTCCTTTTTTAGGGTCAGGCCTCCTCAAACCCAGCGTAATAAACATTTCAAGTCATTTTTTGTTACATGGTCTCCTTACCTATTAAAACATGTCTATGTTGTTGATCTGCCTTTATTAAACATAATGTAATACATTAAAAATTAAAAATAAGCACTCTGTTGCAAAGTAAGATTTTAAGAGCAGTAAACTTTTTACAAGAACGTTAGAAGGAATACACATTTTGTTTGTTGAAAAGCAGGTAAACTGAAGAGATTTCAAGTGGCTTGGACATATGTTTCATTACAGATGTTTCCTTGAATCCAAATTAGGCTAAACTCTGAACCTTTTGACATGAGCACAAGAAGAAGAGGGGGCAGTGAGGGTTGGCAGTTCATGGGGAGATATGTGGGTGAAGGAGGGGAAGCATCCCAAGCAACACAAAGGCCTGGGGCAAAAGAGTGCTGAAAGGCTTTGAGCAGAGAAATGACTGAGAAGGCTTCCATTTTAGAAAGACTACTCCAACAACTGTGTGGTGTACAGAGTGCCTCCATGCTGCACAGTTCAGGGGGTGCAAAGAACAATGATCATTACAAAGCACGGTGAACCATAGAAAACCAACTGATATACCCTGTAGTTCTCCTGGAACTGCTCTCACCTGGCTTTAGGTTGGAGAGCTGATGAATCCTTCCTGGGATCCCAGCTTTCTACCTTAGGCAGTGGGTGAACTGATCCTTAGCTATCATTTTCTCTAGAATTAGTCCTGCATAGAGGAGTCTGACATTGGCCTAACTTCCTCTCCAGGTTCCTGGGAAGATTGCCCCCCTGGGAAGGAGACTTCCCTCCAACAAGGAAATGTGGTCTGAGCTCTTTCTTCAAGGATACATCTGCTATTTTCCTAAGTCTGTTAGATGCTACCTTTATTCAGTCAACAAGTATGCATTATGCACCTGTTTTTTGCCCTGTAGTGGGTTGGATGCGTCAGTTAAATACAAGTACCCCCACTTAAAAGGAACTCAAGGCAAAATGCTTAGGAGAAGATATAGGCCAGTGAGCCCCAGAGTCCCTTAATCACAGATGATAAACTGGGTGTCCTGCTGTCCAAACCAGGCCTGCCAGTTGTATTTTGTTTCACTGGCAGTGTCATGATTTTTTAAAAAAACGTGAATGCCTTTTGTTAGAACATATCATCTCTAGTTCCTCAAAAATCTGCCATTTCACACTGATTAATAGCATGCCAAATATACACACTGATGTTGGCTACCTGGCCCCTGCATACATTTGTGGGAGTCAGCGCTGCCCAGCATCCTAATAGTGGGGAGCCTGTTGTTGGATCTTGAAATTTCCAAGTCACCGAAAGTTCCTGGTTAGATAATTGGATCTACTATATTTTCTATTCCTCCATCTGGGAAAACTCATCCACTGGGGGTAGGATATATTTATATAGAAAAGTAACTTTCTATTTCTCTCTGGTAATAATTTTAAAAATACATTATATTATTCCAACATTAAATATATCAAAATATTTTTTAAAATTAGTTATTAGTGGGAGATTTGTCATATTCTGTGTTGTGAGTGCACTGCATTCATATTATAGCATCTTGTCTTCATGTCCTATTCTTATTTAATCTATGAGTTTTCACCATGGAATCAAAATGGGCAACTGCATTCTAATTTATAAGCTTGATAGAAAACTGTAGACCGAAAAGCACATTTTAATTGTTAGAATTACGTATTTCTAGAAACCCTTGCTATAAGACAAGAATATCAAAAGTACATTTTGAATATATGTAATATACACAAATAAATGCATATGTGGTCATAGAACAACATTATTACCTGGCATCTCTGAAAATAATAAATATGAGTTTAGGATGTTAATGAAGAACACGTGGTCTTTGACATTCATTTTTGCCTGGTTTTCATGCTTTTAGGGACTTAAAAATGAAAGAATGAGATCAGGTTTTTTGTCTAAACTCAAGGTGTCTTAAGCAACAAATAATACTGCTTCATTTCTCTCATTTTGACAACTAAAGATATCAGCAACACAGTTGCATAGCTAGTTAGCAACAAATACAAAGCCACTGTTTTTACCCTTAAAGGAATCTAATGTACATATTTTATACTTCGTAAAGGCTAAATGTCAGTCCATATTTGTGAAGCAAATAAATTGGTGGTTTTAGGCTGTCACGGAGGCTCACTCCTGTAATCCCAGTACTTTGTGAGGCTGAGGCAGGAGGATTGCTTGAGCTTAGGAGTTCAAGATCAGCCTGAGCAACATAGTGAGACTTCATCTCTACCAAAAATTTAAAAATTAGCTGGGCGTAGTGGCACGTGCCTATAGTCTCAGCTACTCGGGAAGCTGAGGTGTGGGAAGATCACTAAAGCCTGAGAGTTCAAGGCTACAGTGAGCCGTGATCACGCCACTGCACTCCAGCCTGGGTGGCAGAGCAAGACCCTATCTCAAAATAAATAAATAGGCAGTTTTATGTTTATGAACCTGTACATGTATTGTTATACAACATTTTCAGCAGAAAAAAATTCGTCTGCATTTAACAGTGTCACAATATGACTCAGTTAAAACTAGTAATTTTAAAATAAAAAAACACAACAAAAATACACATGTAAAAAACTATTTCACACCAGTAAGAAAAAAAAAAAGAATTAAATGCTTTTTGACCATAAAATCTGTTGGGTAAAACTGGAACTAGGTCTGTGATATATGTATTTACCTCTCATATTATACAAAAAATTAATTTTAATTTTTAACCCACTTATCAAAAAGTTTACTCAGACTTAATAACCTGTGTGTTAAGAAATTGCTTGATTAGTGTTACAAGTACTGTACATCATAAAATATGTTGTGTGGGTGAGTAGACACCAGGTAATTACAATGAGTTGTTAAAATGTCAGTTTCAGCAGATAACTCATCATAATAAATATCAGATACCAAAGTGAGGAACAAGATGCAAATTATTGTAAGAAATATTTAAAAGCTAGTGTTGACTTTTAAACCTTTCATCCACATTGAGGGTATAAAATAATGTAGTTTTTGGAGATTAAAGAAAGATTTCTATCAGAGAGCATTTCTCTGCAGAGAATTGTGCTGTGAGTCCTGCCTCATCCAGTTGCTTCTCCCTTCATCTGAAGAGAAAAGGGGTTCAGAGAGACTTTTGAATGACAATAGGTTTTTCCTGCAGATCTTGGTGGGCTCAGTGGAGGTGGGGCTGAACAAGCAGTCATTCTGCAGACGTGAAGGAGAGATAGACGCGGAGATCTTATTGTAGAGACTCCCAGCTTTTGTTTAGATAAAGATCCATGAGTGTTTCCTGTAGACCATGTTGGGCCATGGTCTTGAAATGGTAGGAATGAGATTGATTCAGGTCCTGTTCAATAGGGAAGTCTGGAGAGAACATGGGACCTCAGTTGTCAAAAGGTGGATTCCAAATGCTAATGAGAGTATGCAGGGCTTGGCTTCATGGGTGTGCAACCTGTACAGTCGCAAAGGCCATGCATTTAGAAGGGCCCCTTGTCTGGTTAAATGCTGTGCTGTTGCCATATTGAAATGCTTAATAATTTTGAACAAAAAGCCCATGTCTTCATTTTGCAGTGGGTCCTGCAGATTATGTAGTTTGTCCTACATTTATGGCCTACATTGAAGAAACTGTAGATGAAGGGGTCCCAGCAGTGCAAAAGGGGGTGTTCCTCTAAGAAATCACCAGGCACTTCATGGGAAAAGAATAGACTTTAAATATTCTTCACACTGGGTTGGTAAAGCTAGCTGACCACCTGAACCAGTCCGGTACGACATTCCTGCTCCCTTCACCTCTCCTGTATCATCTACCTCCAGTCCTTTCCAACCCAGAGGTGACTAAAACAGCTTAGAAAGAGGAGGAGAAGGTTTTGGGAAAAGGAGAGAGGTTTTCATATATACCTCTTTGCTGAGTGGTAAATGTTAGCCTGCAGCAGATGCTAGCTGATGAAGGAAGCTGCCGTACCACCGAATGAAGATGGACATTCTAATAATCAAATAGAGGCTATTTTGGCTCAAAGTGACTGTAGGTCTTTTATTAAATTAAAACGATTAGGAAAAAACATAGAATTATCCAAGTGTTAATCCAAGGGTGGGAGAAGAACTGCTACACTGAATAAATATTAAGAAAAATGTGAAGGGCAAAATGAAATTGCTTTTGAAATTGCATCTCTCAAGTGATACTTATTCAGTGTATTGATTACATGATTGAATTTAAAGAATCTAGAAACACCGAGTGCTTTTAGCTCATAAACCTTACCTTTTAAGTTTAAAGTGGTCTTCTGAAAGCTAGCTTAAATTTAATTGTGAAACTGGACTTTTTGTAAATTTTATTTATTAATCTAAGTTGATGATAAGGAAAGAAATGTTAGATTTTTCCCATTTGTCATTAGATTTGTGTTTATCTAGTTGTTGGCTTGCTGATAGTGGCCTAAAATGGAAAAGTGTAGTTTTCCAATTCAGTTCCCTTTAAAGTATGGAACTGTATGCATTAATAATATTTCTTCAGAAGACATGTTTAATGTTTTGGACAAATAAGCTTGATTTATTATAACTTAATTTTTTTACTGGCAGTGACATAGATTTTTTTTCATTCTAGTGGCTATTCCAAAATGACCTGAATTAGGAAAATGTTGCTAGCTTTTAATACATTTCTACTGCTATTTTCCATTTTTATGCAATGACTTTGTAGGCTAATTATAGAAAATTGCATTTGGTCCTCATTGCGTGGGTGTGAAATTAACTTTGTCGCTGATGGACTGACATTTAGAGTATAATTAAGTTGCATACTTTCCTGGGATTCTGTGAACTATATTTTAATGCCCTTCAGTGAGAAAGAGATAGATGCCTTTTAAAGTTTTTTGAAGGCTGTTGTAGTTGGTCAAATTTTACAAACTACGAATATTGTTATTTATTTTTACATTAAAAATTTTAATTTTTTTAATTAAAATTTTTACATTAAAATTTTAATTTAATTAAAATTTTTACATTAAAATTTTAATTTAATTAAAATTTTTACATTAAAATTTTAATTTAATTAAAATTTTAATTTAATTAAAATTTTTACATTAAAAATTTCACAAAGAATTTTCTTCTTACCAGACATCCATGTGATTTCCTTCTGGCTATAAAAAACCTATAGGGGATTTTTTGTATGCGTGATTTAACCTGATATTATTTTAAATGTAAGTTCTATCGATATAGAGATAATTTTATTTTTGAACTTTAGCTAAAAATTATTTTAATTGTCAATATTTCTGATTTTACATTAAATTAGAAAAGACTAGGTGGGGCATGGTGGCTCCCAGCACTTTGGGAGGCCAAGGCTGGGGGATTACTTGAGCCCAGGAGTTTGAGACCAGCCTGGACAACAAAGTGAGATCCCATCTTAATTAAAAAATCAAAAAAATTAGCTGGGTGTGGTGGCATGCACCTATAGTTCCAGCTATAAGACAGGCTGAGGCAGGAGGATTGTTTGAGCCCAGGAGGTTGAGACTGCAGTGAGCTGTGATTGTGCCACTGCATTCCAGCCTGGATGACAGAGCAAGACCCTGTTGGGCGGGGTGGAGGGGTGGGGGTGTAAAAAAAGACTGCTGCTTAAATTCTGATCCTTGAGGAGTAGGGCACCATAGGAAATAACTATATTTGCATCATTTGTAATGTAAAATTCAATATTCTTGAAGAAAATTTGAAAGCAGATGGAATGGCATTCCAGGCTAGTGGAGACTGGGGGTCACATTTGCCTCTCACTCACCACTGACATCATAAGCCATTACTCACAGCAGTTGAGAATACCATTTGGAAGTATAATCACAAAACCTTCTTATAAATATCTTTCTGTATATTTTCATTTCTTTCTTCAATACATTTCTCTAATTTTGTTCCAGGCTCGCAGGAAGGAGGTATTTATCCAGGAACGGTATGGGAGATTTAATCTAAATGACCCGTTCCTGGCACTCCAGAGAGACTATGAAGCAGGTGCTGGTGACAAAGAGAAGAAGCCAGTTTGTACCAACCCCCTCTCCATCCTTGAAGCAGTCATGGCCCACTGCAAGAAAATGCAAGAAAGGATGTCCGCACAGCTGGCTGCTGCTGAGAGCAGACAAAAGAAGGTATTGAGGCGTTCAAATGGTCATTTTCCCCACAACATGGTGTCCAATGAGGAGATCACCTCCAAAGTTGTTTGTTCTTCAGTATTATATTTTCAGACAGGATTGCAATAAGTACTTAGAAGTGCAAGAGGCTGACAGATTCTTTAAGCCAATGTAACCTAGTGTTTAAAGTGTAACTCAAAATAACACTAAACCATAAAGGAAGTATAACAGAAAAATTATGTTTCTGATAATGGTTACTTTGATACTTTCTTTAAAATCTCTCTCTATATATATGTTTTTGGACTTCCTAGTGCCTTCTAGAAAACATGCTTAGCTGCTAGGTAGGTTAATCCAGTGATGCAACCAGGACTCTTTGATCATATAGTAACATCCCAACTTACTGTATCTAGCTTCTGTCTAAAATAGTTATTTGCAATTAGAAATTATTTTATTATTTCTTAATTTTGGCGGGGGGAAATGAAAATAACATGAAGAAAATGGAATGCATGTTTGCGTGGTATGTCCAGTCTCACAATGTGTCATCTTAAAGTCCTGGTTAGTGTCAGACTCACCTCTGGGGTGTGATAGCTGTGTCAGCTGCAGACCTCAAGCCTCCTGCTCACATGTGTTTCATTTAAACCAACCTCCTCCTCCTCTCCCCCTCCCCCACCATCACACACATATTCCTTTCACTTGAGTATCTGCTTCAAAGAGTACAAAGTTCAATGAAAACTTGTGGTGATAATAAGGAAATAAGTAAATAGAAATTTAAATTTTGCCCTTCTAATATGCTGCCAAGACTATCGATGCCTTTTATTAGAAAAGAGAGTGAGAAAGCTAGAAGCTCATGCTGTGTGGTTTGATTAAAATTAAAACTAATATGTTCTCTCCACCATTATTATTAAAGCATAAATTAAAATGTTTCTTTTATTTGGCCTCTTCAGAGAACTTCTGATATCTCATATGTAACACCTAGTTGATGGTTAACCTGAATGCACTATACTTATAAATATTTATGATACATATTGTCATTTCATGCGTGTCTTTTCCCTGAAATTTCATCTTTACATTAACATATAAATGTTAGTGTTCTGGTGTAGGTGCTGCATAAAAGGAAACATTTTTCTCAGTATGTTGCATGGTAGAAAACTAAAGCACTGAGTAAAAGAAAAATAGAAGGCTTTCCATAGATGTAAGGCAAAATCAGAATTTTACTCTGGACTCTACAAAGCCCTGCAGACAACCACTAAGATATGTGGAGGTTTTCAAAACTCCCCACAAACCACATACACAAGAGCCAATGAATTTCAGCTGATGTCACTGAAACTCATTTGTATTTCTTGGATGGGATACATTTCAATTATGCCTGTAATGTGTCAAATGAGTTATTTCATAATAAATTATTTCTGCTGGACTTTATATTGTGTTATAAAAAATTAAGAAAACACTTTGTTGTCATTGAATATATAAAAAACACTTTCCTAAAATTTTACTTCTGTTCTGCCTTTAACAAAACTCATTTCTCTTTTAGGAGAAAAAAAGAACACTTCTAGTTGGATCAAAGATTTTATTATCTAGCTGATTTTTTTTTTTTAAATCAACTTACATCCTGTTTGTTTCTGAATGACTGGGTCATTTCCAACCTGGCTGATAGTGAAAGGAAATTGTTTCTGTCCTATGGGTCCTGAGAGGCTAATATAAAATGAGCCAGTGGTGTGTCTCCCATGTATAATGGGAATACAGGAGTCCTTTATAGCCAACTTCATTGGCTGTGTCGTCTCAGTGAAGGGTTTCTCTGACAGGGAGTGCTACATTTTGTCCTTAAAAAATATTATATTTTAGTAGATTATAGTGTATGCGAAGAGTTATAATTTGTACTCTTACCCTGTGTCTTAAAAAGAAAATACCGTATCAGCTGATGAAAGCAGAAACACCAAAGTCATCTCTTTAACAACAAAATTACCTGTCACCTTTAGTCCTCTGAAAGCAAATATTTTAACCAAATGTCTTCAGTTCCCTCGCATGTAGAGTAAATTGCAGCTTTAGACATCTAAAAGCCATAAGGAAAAAAAATCCATTATTTTAAATGAGTTCAGTTCTTTAAATCACTGCCAGAGCAAATGTCTGGGAAAGCAAAGGCTCCATTAGCTATGATTCAAGTATTTATTATCTGACATCGGTCATATCTCTTTGGTAATTCTAAGACACTTGGCCTGAGCGCTGCTCTAGTTTGCCTCTCAAGGCAGGAGAACAGGGTCTGTGCTCATTCATGCGTTGGCTCCTGCTGCGACTACGAATAGGCGGGTTAACTGTTTGGTAATTTGTGTGCCAGGGAAATTTGGGCAAGAGTCAATTTGGCAAATGGACTGAGGCTCTGAAGCCACTTTGAATAAGCTAATGAGTAATCATCATGGGGAACTTTGCCTCCGGTAATCCACTTCCCATTTTGAGCCAGTAACCCAGGATGGAATGATATTTGGAGGTTTTTTTTTTTTAATCTTGTCTATCATCTTTTAATAGAATTTCCATTCTGATTTCTTTGAACAGTAGGGAGGAAATCTGTATATTTTCAAACATTTTCTTCGCATTCAGGAAGTATAAATTCTGGCCCTGAAGAAGGAAAGACCTTTTAATTTGATCAGAACTTTGAATCTGTGTAGCCAAAATAATAACCAGGAAATTCAGAGGGGGAACAATTCTTTTCACCAGTGAAAAAACTAAAAATAACTGTGTGTATTAGATACAGCTCCTTCTATGTGGCAGCGCAATATAAATAGGTGAGTTGCATGGCAATAGATGCCTCAGACAGGATTCTTAGTTTTGAGCTGGTGAAGCCAATGTTCATTGAGAAGGCAGAAAGGGCATTTGTTGTCTGGTTTATAGAAATAGTTGGCTTACATCGTGGTTCAGCATGGCTAGCAAAGCCTAGAGGACTAGCTCTTCCCAGCCAGCATCACAAACAAGTACCGTCTGCAGAGCTAGTCTGCAGCAGGAGATGCTTCTGCTGATGAGAAATGGATGCTGCAGCTTTCTTTTCACCCTGTTGATGCCAGACAGCACTGGTGCCCTCACTGCTCCAGATCCTGAGTGGTCCCTCCCCAGGTCCTTCTTTTTTGTATCACTCATTACCTATTTGAAGCCTAAGACAGGTGCATTTCATTAGCCAAGCTTAGACTACACAGAAGACCAGGAAAGCAACTACTGGACATATTTAGCTTCTACAGGGGAGAATCATAAAGTAGAGAATTCTCCTAACATAGGAAGGAGTTTCCAGTGCTAGACAACCGAAGAAATGGAAATGGGTCAGAAAAGAACAAAATATTTGTTTTGTTTCCTTGATTTCATATGCCCATTTCTTCTTACAATTGTACTTTATTCTGCCATTTTTATTCCATGTTCTCTACTTCATTATATATTGCTTACCACATATATAAATGTATTTTCATTTTAAATTGCTTTTTAGACTTTCATTCAGTAATACCATGGTAGAGAATCATATGTAATAAAATTGTCAGGAGAGGATTTAGGACATTTTGCACATGAAAGATTATTTAGCTCATTCCTGAGTCTTTTTTGTTGCATTGTTACATTAAAAAATGCATTTTGATTCCCCAGGAGCATTGCAGAGCCATTGTCAAGGGGGAGTTGGAGATTGAGATCTGTGGCTCTGAGTAGAAATTTCAAGGAGAGAGCAGTTTGCCTGATCCATGTAGATAGAAATGAGCCAGCCGGGCATGGTGGCTCACCCCTGTAATCCCAGCACTTTGGGAGGTCCAGGTGGGCGGATCACAAGGTCAGGAATTCAAGACCAGCCTGACCAACATGGTGAAACCCTGTCTCTACTAAAAATACAAAACTTAGTCAGGTGTGGTGGCATGCACCTGTAATCCCAGCTACTCAGGAGGCTGAGGGAAGAGAATTGCTTGACCCTGGGAGGCAGAGCTCACAGTGAGCCGAGATCGCACAATTGCACTCCAGCCTGGGCAACAGAGCGAGACTCTGTCTCAAAATAAAAAAAAAAAAAAAAAAAAAAAAAAATGAGAAAAAGAAGAAAGAAATGAGCCAAACCTCTGTTTCCAGGGCTTGCCTTCCCACTCTTGAAACTCTAGATTCTAGATTAAGAGGGAGGGGCAGATGAGAACTGTATAGCCCAGATCACTGAATGTTAGCCACAGCCCCTTTGAAATTAAAAATGAAAGGAAAAAAATGAAAAGATCTCTTAATATATCTTGTTGTTATGTATTTGTTTATCAGATTGAGCAGATGGGTTGGAGTGCCCAGGGAGAGAAGAGGACAGGGATGCAACGAGCCTTAAAAGATTTTGGGAGAGCAATCAAGAGTATGGTTAAATGTCGTAAGAGTATTTTGTGGTGTGGCAGATATGCACTCTGCTTTCTCAATTTATAAATGGCTGTAATTGCTTTCCTCTCAGTTTTCCACTTTGAATTAGAACTAATTGCCTTTACAGCGCTGCTTTGCTCCCACCTACATAGTTTTCCCTTTCATTCTATAAAACCATGTGTTTGGTGCCTCTTCATTCATAGCTTCCAGTTTGGGTGCTATTCTTGGAGCAGCCACCCACTTTCTCACTACCAGTGAAGCTGCGTTCATTCTTCTGAGCTCTTCCACACAATCCACTGCTTTTTGCAAAAGAGTTTGGTGTTACTGCTCCATGCAAAGTTTCCCTCGGCCCCTGCTTGAAAGTGGTTCGAAGGAGATATAAATTCGACAATAACATAACAAAGTCACCTGGAACTCCATAATTTATGTATACTGTGGTTCCTTTTTAACTTAGTATGTGGTCCTGCCATCTGATCATCTCTTTAAAATTTGTGTAGTCCTACAATCAAATAAGTGGAATTTATGGATTTTCATATCCTTTGTAGTTTCTAGTGTGGTTCCTTGTACACAGTTTAGATATTTTCTCTTCAAAAGTTCTTTAAGACATTGCTTGTGATAATGTGTGAACAAATTAATACCAAGATGACTCAAATTTAAACAAGTGCACATTCACTGCTGTTATACTGACCTGAACAATTTTTTTAAAAATCTGTAAAAGTAGTACTGGAAACTACTTTATTGATGATAGGAAAAAATATAGGAAAGAGCCAACGACTCTTGATGGTGATAATGACAGGAGGTTTCAAAATTATATGATTAAATTCAGAGAGCTTAAGGGATTCCCCGGAGATGTAATGAGCTCGCAGTGTATGCCATGTCCTATTAAATCAACTCATTTGATCCTTAGGATGTTGTTATTACATACTGTAGAGGCTATTATTATTGCATTTTAAGCATAAGTAAATTAAGGTCACAGAGAAGTTGAACAGCTGTGCCCATTGGCTTGAAGACAAGCAGTCTGCCTTCAGAGTCCACATACTTAACTGCTGTGTGACTTTCCTATAGCCACTCGGTGGTAGAACTCAGATCTCCTGCTTCTCAGGCTTCCTATATGTACTGTATTTCTTCCTTACTGCTAGAAAAGTGGAAAATCCTTAATACTTTGGATTCTTTGTGATTTTTATGTCATTCCCTCAAGCCATTTAAGATTGAGAGACACAGATTTTAACACATGTATTCCCCCATAGCTCTACAATCAAGAGAATATCCCAAAGTTTAGAGGGAAAAAATGCCTATATGATATTGGATCAAAAGACCAGCTCTAAAACTCTTATTAAATATATGATCGACCTAGTTCATGCTTCAAAAAGAGCTAAAAACATGAAGGTCAGGTATTCAAAAGACATTCAAAATGTATTAATAAAGATTGAAACAATCAAGAAGAGAGACCACAGAAAAGATTTTGCTTGAAATGGGTCATTTTTCTACATATCATGGAGAATGAACATGCAGGAAATTTTTTAAGTTCCAGGGCACATGTGCAAGATGTGCAGGTTTGTCACATAGGTAAACATGTGCCATGGTGGTTTGCTGCACCTGTCAACCCATCACATAGGCATTAAGCTCAGCCTGCATTAGCTATCCTTCCTGATGCTCTACCCCTGCCATGCCCCAACAGGCCCCAGTGTGTGTTGTGCCCCTCCCTGTGTCTATGTGTTGACATTGTTCAGCTCCCACTTATAAGTGAGAACATGCAGTGTTTGGTTTTCTGTTCCTATGTTAGTTTGCTGAGAATAATAGCTTCCAGCTCCATCCATGTCTCTGCAAAGTATGTGATCTTGTTCATTTGTACAGCTTTATAGTATCCCATGGTGTATATGTACGACATTTTCTTTATCCAGTCTGTCACTGATGGGCATTCGGGTTGATTCTGTGTCTTTGCTATTGTGAATAGTCATATATGAAATTTATAATAATGAGTTAGGACTTTTCAGTTTGATCACAGTTTGATCAGCTTTTGCATTTTTGGTAGAAATACCATGTCTGTGGTGTTGTGTTTTTCATAGTACATAAGATTCAAAAGGCGTATGATCCCCAGAAAAACAAATGTTTGTTATATACACTAGTGGTTTGAGAAACTTACTGGCTCATAACATTTATTAAAATTGAAGCCAGGCTTGGTTGGGTGCAGTGGCTCACACTTGTAATCCCAGCAGTTTGGGAGACTGAGACAGGCGGATCACTTGAGATCAGGAGTTTGAGGCCAGCCTAGCCAACGTGGTGAAACTCCGTCTCTACTAAAAATACAAAAATTAGCCAGGTATGTTCTCGCATACCTGTAGTCCTAGCTACTCAGGAGGCTGAGGCAAAAGAATCTCTCGAACCCAGGAGGCAGAGGTTGCAGTGAGCTGAGATCACCCCACTACACTCTGGCCTGGGCAACAGCGAGACCCTATCTCATTCATTCATTCATTCATAAATAAATAAATAAAGGCCAGGCTTTTGAACATCAAAAAGCAGTTATTCAAATTTAATCTACCATATGAAATTATTAAAAATCATGTATCATGATTTGCTTATATTTACCTTTTTTAAGGACAAAATATAGTTCCTTCTTCAATGCCATTTGGTACCCATTTCTTCAAGAATATTATTGGCTCTCTTCTCCCTGCAGTAGCCTTTTCTGGTTTCCTGGGGTAATGCTTTAACTCTATAAGTCTCCTGGTGCATTCTTCTCTACAACCTGATTCTCACCCTCTCTTTACTTATGTCTCTTGATGGGTTCCAGACATACCTTTTTGGATGAGTCACAACTCCCTTAATACATAAAAAAGTCATTCTTCCTTGGTCTTTCTTTTCTTTTCATTTTTAAACTTTATTTTGAAGCTTTTTAAAAAATAATTTCGATTTTATTTTAGATTTAGGTGGAACATGTGCAGGTTCACATTGGCATATCGTATGATGCTGAGTTTTGGGGTGTGATTGATCCTGTCACCCAAGTAGTGAGCATAGTACCCAATAGGTAGTTTTTCAGTCCTTTCCCCTTTCCCCTCTTTTGGAGTCCTCAGCATCTATTGTTCCTATCTTTTTATGTGTACCCAATGTTTAGCTTCTACTTACAAGTGAGAACTTGTGGTATTTGGTTTTCTGTTCTTGCATTAGTTCACTTAGAATAATGACCTCCATCTGCATCCATGTTGCTGCAAAGGACATGATTTCATTCTTTTAGTTGGCGTATATGTGTATACGTATGGCGTATATGGTGTATATGTACCGCATTTTCTTTATCCAGTTCACTGTTGATGGGCACCTAGGTTGATTCCATGTCTTTGCTGATTGTGAATAGTGCTGAGATAAACATAGGCATGCATGTGTCTTTTTGGTAGAACAATGTATTTTCCTTTGGGTGTATACCCAGTTATGGGTTTGCTGGGTTGGATGGTATTTCTGAGTTCTTTGAGAAATCTCCAAACTGCTTTCCACTGTGGCTGAACTAATTTACATTTCTACCGACAGTGTATAAGTGTCCTCTTTTCTCCACAGCCTCTTCAGCATCTATTATTTTTTTGACTTTTTATTAATAGCCATTCTGACTGGTGTGAAGTGGTATCTCATTGTGGTTTTGATTTGCATTTCTCTGATATTAGTGATATAGAGCATTGTTTCATGTTTGTTGACTACTCGTATATCTTCTTTTGAGAAATGTCTGTTCATGTCCTTTGCCCACCTTTTTAATTGGGTTATTTGCTTTTTGCTTGTTGATTTAAGTTATTTATAGATTCTGGATGTTAGACCTTTGTCAGATGCATAGTTTATGAATATTTTCTCTTATCTTTTAGAGTGTTTACTCATTGAGTGTTTCTTTGGTCATGCAGAAGCTTTTTAGTTTAATTAGGTCCCATTTAACAATTTGTATTTTTGTTGTGATTGCTTTCGAGGTCTTAGCCATAACTTTTTTTTTGTTTTTTTGTTTGTTTGTTTTTGTTTTTTTTTTTTTTTTTTTTGCCAATGCTGAAGTCTAGAATGGTATTTCCTAGATTTTCTTCTAGGATTTTTATAGTTTGAGATGTTATGTTTAAATATTTGATCCATCTTGAGTTATTTTTTGTATATGTTGAAAGGTGTGGGTCCAGTTTTGCTCTTCTGCATAGGACTATTTTGAAGCTTTTAAAAGAAATCCTTCCTCATATTCAAGTGATTACTATATCTGTTTCTTATATAATTGTAATTTTCCTGTATTGAATCATCATTCTCAGTAAACTATCGCAAGAACAAAAAACCAAACACCGCATATTCTCACTCATAGGTGGGAATTGAACAATGAGATCACATGGACACATGAAGGGGAATATCACACTCTGGGGACTGTGGTGGGGTGGGGGGAGGGGGGAGGGATAGCATTGGGAGATATACCTAAGGCTAGATGACGAGTTAGTGGGTGCAGCGCACCAGCATGGCACATGTATACATATGTAACTAACCTGCACAATGTGCACATGTACCCTAAAACTTAAAGTATAATAAAAATAAAAAAATAAAAAAAATAAAAAACATTTTCCAAACTTTTAATTTTTATATAATTTGAACCTTACAGAAAAGTTGCAAGAATAGTACGGTATCAGCATTCTTTACCCAGATTCACAGTTGTTTATATTTTATCTAATCTGCTTTATTTTTTCCTTCTCCTTTACACACATACATGCGTGAGCGCACACACACAGATGTTTTTTCCAAACCATTAGAAAATAAATTAAAGACATATGGTTTTTTACTCCTAAATATTTTGATGTATATTTACTAAGAATAAGGACAATCTCTTACATAATCACCATACAGTTTTTTAAAATGAGGAAATTTATAATTGAAACAGCATTTTTTCTAATCCACATATTCATTTCCCCCCAGTTGTTCCAATAATGGTCTTTGTAGCAATTATTTTCCCAATTCAAGATCAGGCATTGCGTTTAATTGTTATTTTCTTTAGTCTCCTTTAAGCTGCAACAGCTCTTCAATCTTTCTTTGCTTTATTTACCCTGATATTTCTGAAGAGCATGGGCTAGGTATTTTGTAAAACGTCACTCAATTCAAGTTTGTCTAATGTTTCCTGATGATTTTATTCAGCTTTTGCATGTTTTCCTCACTGTTTAGTTGTTATTGTTCCTTTTGTATTAATAACTAATTTGTGGAGAAATATGTTGATATTCTTTAAATATCTTATTCATTAAATGTTCACCTGCTAGTTTTAGAATCCACTGATGATTTTTCAACCCCATTATTCCTTCTGCATTTTTTATGTGGCATTCTACTGTAAGGAAAAGCTTTTCTTTCTCCCCTGTTTACTTGTTTATTACATCAGTGTGGAGTCATGGATGCCTATTTGATGAGTTCAAAACTTACCATCACTATCTGTCCCCGATTTGGCCACTGGGAGCCCTCTTAAGCTGGCTTCTTCTATATATTCTCATCATTTTTTAGCACTTGCAGCAAGATACTCCAGGCTCATTTTGTGTTTTCTTTAATCCAATGCTTGGAATTAGGTATTTCTTCCAGGAGCACTGTTTCCTATTTAATGGGAGATGGTACTTAGCAACAAATCTGGAGCTAGGAAATTACATATATTTATCATATTCATATGTACACAAAACATAGCTATATATCTTGTCTGTCTCTCTATGTATCAAGCTGTCAGTATACTGACACTGACATTCCTGAATCTAATTCCAAGCCATAGAGTATATGCCAGTCCTTTTTCTATTTATGACTCCTTTTTTCCACCAGTGAGAAACCCGATTTTCACTGTACTTCAGTATATTTACTCATTTACTGAAGCGTGGAACACACAGAGTAGTTTCAGAATTACTTACTCATACCGCTGTATAAGGCCAAAATGAAAACCTGGAATTCAAAATTAGTTTACAGATTCTTAAGGAAAAGTTTACAGGAAGTACAATTCACATATCTTAAGTCTAAAAATTAATGAGTTTTGAAAATGCATACATGTGGGTAATCTGTGCATCCCCCACCCCACCAACAAGATATAGAATATTTCCATCACCACATAAAAAGGTTCCTGCAGTACCTACCCAATAAGTCCCTCCCCCAACTCAGGAAACTGCTGAGCACTATTCTGATTTTTTCATCATGGATTAGTCTTACCTATATTAGAATTTTAGGTAAACGATGACTATTGTTTTAATAGTTAGCCTTAAATTCAGGAGCTGTTAGTCTTCCAGCTTTGTTTGCTTTATCTAAATTGTTTGGCTAGTCTAAATCCTTTGGGCTTCCCTACAAAAAAAAAAATTAAAGGCAATTTGGCTTCTCCAAAAGTTTGCAGGGATCAAAATTTCATTGAATCTATAGACTAATTTTGTGAGAACTGACATCTTAGTAAAGTAGAGTCTTCCAACCCATAATTATAGTACATTTCTCCATTTATTTAGATCTTTAATCTCTTAGCAACATTTGGCTTCTATCAGTGTGGTGGTCTTAGAAGTCATTTGTTGCTGTTACTCATATTTTATTTTTTGATGCTATTGTAAATAGCATTATTTGTTTAAGAATTTCAAATGTTTGTTGTTAATGTGCAGGTATTCAATTGACTTTGTATGTTCACATTGTATTCTGTAATCTTGCTATATTACTTAAATAGTTCTAGCCATTATTTTGTATATTCATGATTTTCTAGGTTAAAAATATAAAATATATGATCTATAGAGAACATTTTACTTATTCCTTTCCAAATGATTTGCCTGCCTGCCTTTTTCTTCTTCCCCACCACTGCCCTGGAATTATTGCAGTGACTAGAACCTCCAGTGCAATGTTGAACAGAAGTAGTGAAAGTAGACTTTATTGTCTTTTTCTTAGGGAAAAAATATTTCATGTTTCATCATTAAGTACAATGTTAGCTGTGCTTTTCATAGATGCTCTTTATCTCATTTGAGGTTTCATTCTATTCTTTGTTGGAAGGTTTTTTTTTTATCATGAATGGTTTTGATTTAAAAAATAGTTTATTTGCATTTGTTGACATAATCCTGGTGTTTCTCTTTTATCTTTTAATATATTGAGTTACACAGATTGATTTTCAAATATTAAACCAACTTAGACCCCTAAGGTAAATCTCACATGGTCACCTTTTTATTACTTTTTTTATATATTGGTGGATTTCATTTGCCTATATTTTGCTAAAGAGTTTTGTGTCTGTGTCCAAGAGAGATGTTTTCTCTGTAAATTAAAAAAAATTTTTGTTTTGTATAAAGGTAATTTTTTGTTCACAAAGTGAGTTGGAAGTCTTTTCTATTTTCTGAAAGGGTGTAAGTTTGGCATCATTTTTTTTTTCTTTAATGTTTTCTAGAACATCAGTACAGCCTTATAAGCTAGGAGTTTTCTTTGGGAAGAAGTTTTTAATCGTGAATTTAGTTTCTGTTAAAAAAATATAAAGCCATTCCAATTTTCTATGTCATTTTGTGTAATTTCTGAAAGTGTAGCTTTCAGAGGATTTTTTAATTTATTGAACTTATTGGCACAAAGTTATCCTTTTAATATTTCTTTAATCTGTAGTGATATCCCCTCTTTCATTCCTGTTATTTGTAATTTGTGTTTTTCTCTATTTCTAAATCTGGTTTTCTACATATTTAGCAATATTATTAATCTTTTAGATACAATTTTTGGCTTTGTTAATTTCTCTATCATTTATTTCTTCTGTTTCATCAATTTCTTTGGTATTTGATTCCTTCTACTTTGGATTTACTTTGTCCATCTTTTCCTAGCTTCTTAAGGTGAAACTAGGATGATTGATTTGAGGCAGCTCTTCTAAAGTAAACATTTAAAGCCATATCGGCCTTAGCTGCTTTTAGATGCTCTGCTTTCAGAGTCCCACAAATTTTGGTATGCTGTGTTCTTGTATTCATTCAGCCCCAAATATATTCTAAATTACTTTGTGATTTCCTCTTAATCCTCTTTACTATTTAGCAATATATTGTTTTATTTTTGAATTTTGAGGTTTTCTTAATATCTTATGATTTATTTCCAGTTTAATTCTGCTTTAGTCAGAGAACACAGTCTATAAGATTTTAGCCTTTCGAAATCTATTGGTTTGGTAGTTCTCAATAGCTCAGCAAGTACGTTTGAAAAGAATATCTTTTGTAGTTTTGGTATATTCTACCCTATAAATATCAATGGCCAGGTGATTTTTATAGTGTTTTCAGATATACTATTTATATTCTTGCTGAGCTTTTTAATCTAGGTTTTTTAAGTGAGATATTGTTATTATTGTAGATTTGTCTATTTTTCCTGTATTTCTGTCAGGTTCTGCTTTGTATATTTTAGAGAAAATTATCACCATTGCCATCATTTATGTTGCAGATTCTCTGTACGTAATATGTCTTTAATTTTTTGGCTGATTTCAAGATTATTTGTCTTTGTTTTCAGCAGTTTTACTATGATGTGCCTAGGTATAACTTTATATTTTTCTGCTTTGAAATTGCTGAGCTTCCTGGATTTGTAAGTTTGCCTTTTTAATCAAATTTGTAAATTTTGGGGCCATTTTTTCTTCCAAGATATTTTTCTTCTGCATTCTGTCTTTTTTCTCTTTTTGGAACTCCAGTTCATGGAATTTAAACCAGTTTGTATTGCCCTAGATATAAATAAGATGCTGTTCAATGTTTTCAATCTTTTTTTCTATGCTCTTCAAATCGAATACTTGCTTTTGCTTTATTTTCAAATTAATTATTATTTTTCTTCTGCTCTCTCAAATCTGCTATTAAGCCCATTCAGTGAACTTTTTGTCAGTTTAGATATTACACTTATCAGTTCTGTTTGTACATTTGGTTCTTTTTTTATAGTTTTTGTTTGTATGCCAGGATTCCCCTTCCCCTCATTTATTATGACCATATTTTCTTTGAAAATGGCTGCTTTAAAATCCTTGTCACTAATTCCAGCGTGGATCATCTTGGGCCGGTTTTTATTGACTACTTTTCTCTAGACTAGGATTCACTTTTTCTTAATTTCATTGTCTAGTAATTTCTTATTGTATACTGAACACTGAGGATGATATGATATGTTGCAGA
The DNA here is from genome assembly GCF_000001405.40 of Homo sapiens. Classification (NCBI taxonomy): domain Eukaryota; kingdom Metazoa; phylum Chordata; class Mammalia; order Primates; family Hominidae; genus Homo; species Homo sapiens. The sequence goes on along the minus strand of NC_000007.14, from coordinate 117,797,376 downwards.
CTCTGGATTCTGTTACCTGCTGAAGAGCTGTACTTTGTTCTAGTAAACAGTTAACCTGGTTAGATTCATATTCTGTCTCCTTGCAGTTGGCAGCATCTGAGGTCTTTGCTCAGCTCTGTCAGACATTCAGCAGCCACCTTCTGTCATTCTGTGGGGTCTGCCCCATGAATGTGTAATTCAAGGATCAAACAAGGATGCTGGTAAACCGTGGCAACCTCAGTTTCATCCTCTGACTCCTCAAGCCCATATCACCAGTGCATTGTACTTGAGTTTCAGCTGCCAGTGCTACCAGAATAGGGAATTGCCTCCAGCTGAGCAGCTACATGAAGGCAAATCTCATCCAATGCTATTGGCTCCTTTCTTACAGGAGGGTTTACTCTTCTCTCATTTCTACCTCTTTTATTGCTCTCAAGAGCCTTTAAATCACTATGTTTTATATGTTTTTCAAGGGGTTATAATTATTATCTGCAGGAGAATTAGTCTAATAACCATTGCTTCTCCATTACTGGTAGCAGAACTTTCTCTGATATATTTCATAATTGCTAAATTATAACCCCTATCTAACTTATAAAAACATTCATCTACATGTTTAATATGGTGTATTCTCTAGATTTTTGTATGCCTCTAGTGTGTTTTCAGAGGAAGAAATATAGTGCAAAGTCACACACACATTTTAAAATAATACAAATAGTCTGTTGTGTTATGAATTGAAAACTTAGTATTTTTTAGTGCCGGGCACTATGCTATGTGATTTACACGTGTTGTCTTATTTAAAACCATAAAATAACATAATTAGGATCATACAGAACCAATTTTTAGAGAACTTACAAAGGTCACACAGCTAGTAAGTTCGGGATCAGAATTTAGTACTACATCTCTTATTCTCTTAAGTACACATAATTTGTCTCTGAGCTGAAATGGTCAAAGATTTTTTAATATAAAAATTATTTTTAAAGTATGGGAGTATGTTATTTTGTACTACATCTCTTATTCTCTTAAGTACACATAGTTTGTCTCTGAGCTGAAATGGTCAAAGATTTTTTAATATAAAAATGTTTATGTACTGTGCTTATATAATGTGATTGGAAGTCTCCTGTAGAGAAAAAGGTGTTTAATATTTTAAAAAGAGCAACATAATAACTGACGGAGTGAGTCCCAGAGGTGACGGGAGAGAATGAAGTTAAGTGCTGAAGGAAAGTCCAACACTGAGCAGATGGAAACCTTTCCCCCTTAGATTGAAGGGAAGGAAATATAGATTGGTGTTGCTATGAAAAAGCTTAAAGGAGGAGATAGGATGAAGAGGGGAAGTGAGTGAGTTTGAATGTTTTTGATAAAGGAGTCTGTAAAGAGAGACTAAGTCAGTTGAGTGGTCACTGGGTGAAGATTTGGGGAAAGGTAGAGGTTTGAAATATCCCCTGTAGTAAATGGCAGAGGAAGCTAAATAAAGTTAGGTAGAGTGATTGATGATTGGGAGTCAGAGTTTGAGTTTAGAGCCATGTGTTTATAGGTATATCAATTGTGAGGTTTCCTCTGTGCTCTGCTCTCTGCGGTAAACTTTTATTAAGACATGTATTAGTTTGAGATAGGATTTACAAAGCACAAGTGATGGAGGACAAAGATAGAAAAGAATTACAGATGCTTTTATAATAGTATAGTTTTCTCTATAAATATTTGAGATTAGCTGAATTGCTCTCCACTTGGAACTCCTTCTCAATTTGATTCTGAAAGATGATGATCCATAGTGCAGAATTACTGTGGACAAGATGTGAGATACAGTGAGAAAAACCTGAGACAGGTAGAACCCTGAGTGATTGCCATGACTGACACTCATTAGCTGGATGACATTAGGAAAAACACTAATATGGCCTCTAGTTATTGTTTTGTAAAAATGAAGGTAGCTCTTAAAATTCTCTACCTTCAGAGGCAAATGATGAAATTTGTATTTTAATAGCGGAAAACTGGCCTAGTTTATGTTTTTCTTACATTGCTGTAAGAATTTTTTTTTGTTGGGGTTAGTATAAAATACGATTTAAATTTTCTTAATAGTTCTAACTTTGCATATGCCTTCTAATACCAGTCTGTTATTTGGTGCATCTCAGAAGAGTTCAATGTGTTTTAGTTAATAATATGTCAAATTTGTGCAAGGCTCCCACGTGAATAAGATATACATATAAAAACAGTAGGCCGGGCGCGGTCGTCACGCCTGTAATCCCAGCACTTTGGGAGGCCGAGGCGGGTGGATCATGAGGTCAGGAGATCGAGACCATCCTGGCTAACAAGGTGAAACCCCGTCTCTACTAAAAATACAAAAAAAATTAGCCGGGCGCGGTGGCGGGCGCCTGTAGTACCAGCTACTCGGGAGGCTGAGGCAGGAGAATGGCGTGAACCCGGGAAGCGGAGCTTGCAGTGAGCCGAGATTGCGCCACTGCAGTCCGCAGTCCCGCCTGGGCGACAGAGCGAGACTCCGTCTCAAAAAAAAAAAAAAAAAAAAAAAAAAAAGATATACATATAAAAACAGTATATGACAACACTATTGTTCCCCAGTCTTACCTAATCTACTTATGAATTACTCCCAAAATTTTATCCAGTAGAATAAAGTATATATGTAATTAAGCTTGAGGAATAATCTATATTCCTGATTATCTATTTATGGGACACATCCCAATGCTATTTAGCAATTGTTTGTCAAAGCAGGAAGCATCCCAGAGTAAAGAAACACTATCTCTCACCATTAGTTGTATAGCAAGCCATTTTCTCCTTTTGGTCCCATGACTGACTGTGAGGGGAAAGGAGTCGTGGATTTTTGTAACAGGGTAAGAAACAGGAACATCGTCAGGACTTACAGATCATGAGAGTATCTTCCTTTGTTATTGATGACAAAAATTTGACTCAAATAAGTAGTGACTCTCTTGGGAGGATATTTGTGTTTAACATCTACAGGAGAAAACAAGTCCTATCCACATCTTTATAATCAGGTAGATGTACTTTAACCTTTAGGAACCATAAGGCCCATTATGGACCGCCAGTGGAACATTTCACTAGTTGGGGAAGTGAGGCATGTAGGCCAACCTGGCTTCTGTATCCCAGCTTGGGGTGAGTCCTTTGTCCTTCATGAGCCCCTCATGACAGATGCTTCCCTAGACAGAAGTGAGAAATTTGCAGTAACATGTTAGACTAGTGCCACTGTGAGGCTGCCCACTTAGCCAGAAAGCCCATCAGTAACGGAAGTTGATTGTTATCAGTGGAACTATGTTAATTTCAGCTCATTCATTCAATATACAATTTATTAAGCACCACTGTGTGCCAGCCACTGTTCTAGGTCTTAAGGACACAGTCCCTGCCCTCAGTAAAGTCATACTTGGGGTGAGGGGGGGTGCAGGCAGGTAGTGAACAAAGGTTGATAAACACAAGGGTGGGAGTTTATCAACTGTTATTTCCCACAGGGTGGTGAGGGAAGGCCTCATTGTAAAGGTGACAGCTGAGCAGAAGTCTGGAAGAAATGAACAAGCCAACCTCTTGTGCTATTGGGAGCTTTTGTGTATATTAGAAAGCCCCATCTGGAGAAAGAAAGGCTTTGAAAGCTCCCTGTCTAGGCTGATCAGTTAGAAAAATGATTTCACTCTGGAAAGCACCAATCCTAAGGGCCTATGGCTTGGTGAACAGACAGTGCCTTTCTGTGAAGGAAAAGGCACCCCTGTCTTCATGCCTGGGCAGGCAGCTGGGTGAGTAGGGAAATCCAAGGAAGGGAGAGAGGGCTGGAATTTTGCTCCTACTCACCCTCCCACAGGTCACTCTTGTGCCATGCGCACATGGCTTACTGCAGGAGCGCTACGGGAAGGTGTGTGGTGGGAATCCCATGCAGAGAGAACAGCAAGGACAAAGACCCCGAGGCAGGACCATGTTTAGGAAACTCCGGGCATCCAGCGAAGCTAAGGGAGTAAGCAGGATCAAAGTAGGAGACAAGGTCAGGCTCCAGGTTCACTGACACCAAATGTAGTTCTAATAAGATCGTTCTTTAGCTCTTTAGAGTTTTCAAAGAACTTTCTTTCATATATAATTTTATATGATTTCCACAACAACTCATCATAGGAAGCTCAAAGATGTTACATTACTGAGATAGGTAATACAATTAGCAAACATGGGGGCTTAGAATTTAACTGAAGTCCTCGGTTTTCAGTACTTTTCATGATACTTTACCTCAGAGATTAATAATTTTAAAGCATTAAACCTTTTTTAAAAATATCACCAATTCCATCACAGAGCTGTGTTTTTACAAAAATAGACCTTTCTGATCCCTGTGCTGTGATTTAAAGCATCTGGTTATTGTTCTCTTTTTCTGTAGTTAACTTCAATAGACTTTAAAAATTCTCTATTGTTGTAATTTAGATGTCTTTATAAAGCCATTTACGTCTATTTTCTCATTTTAATGTGTCTTTAAAATATTTCTTATCACAACACTTTTTGAAAATGTGGCGTTTTTGCTAACCCGAGTTATGTAATTGTTAGAAAATTAATAAAAATCTCACAAAAAGCATTTCCTTGGTGAAAAGAAAATTCTGTATATTAATCAGGGTTTTCCTGTGAATTTCTTTCAGCTGGAAATGGAGAAGCTTCAGCTACAAGCCCTTGAGCAAGAGCACAAGAAGCTGGCTGCCCGCCTTGAGGAAGAGCGTGGCAAGAACAAGCAGGTGGTCCTGATGCTGGTCAAAGAGTGCAAGCAGCTCTCAGGCAAAGTCATAGAGGAGGCCCAGAAGCTCGAAGACGTAATGGCCAAACTGGAAGAGGAAAAGAAAAAGACGAATGAATTAGAAGAGGAACTCTCCGCTGAGAAACGAAGAAGCACAGAAATGGAAGCTCAGATGGAAAAACAACTCTCTGAGTTTGACACTGAGCGGGAACAGCTTCGTGCCAAGCTGAACCGGGAAGAAGCACACACCACTGACCTCAAAGAGGAGATAGACAAGATGAGGAAAATGATTGAGCAACTGAAAAGGGGAAGTGACAGCAAACCAAGCCTCTCTCTTCCACGGAAGACAAAAGATAGGCGTTTGGTTTCCATATCTGTGGGAACAGAAGGAACTGTGACAAGGTCTGTTGCATGCCAGACAGACCTAGTGACAGAAAATGCTGACCACATGAAAAAGTTGCCTTTAACCATGCCTGTAAAACCTTCCACAGGGAGTCCCCTAGTTTCTGCAAATGCAAAAGGGAGCGTGTGCACCAGTGCCACCATGGCCAGACCAGGTATTGACAGGCAGGCTTCCTATGGTGACTTGATTGGCGCTTCTGTACCCGCTTTCCCACCTCCAAGTGCAAACAAAATTGAGGAAAATGGACCAAGCACTGGCTCAACACCAGATCCAACCAGTAGCACACCCCCACTTCCCAGTAACGCTGCCCCTCCCACCGCTCAAACACCAGGCATAGCTCCTCAGAACTCGCAAGCTCCACCTATGCACAGTTTACATTCACCATGTGCCAACACCTCTTTGCATCCAGGTCTAAACCCACGAATCCAAGCAGCTAGATTTAGATTTCAGGGCAATGCTAACGACCCAGACCAAAATGGAAATACTACCCAAAGTCCTCCGTCAAGAGATGTCTCGCCTACAAGTCGTGACAACCTAGTGGCCAAACAACTAGCTCGGAATACTGTGACCCAAGCACTGTCAAGATTTACAAGCCCTCAAGCAGGTGCTCCCTCAAGGCCTGGAGTGCCCCCAACAGGGGATGTTGGCACCCACCCTCCAGTTGGTCGGACCAGTTTAAAGACTCATGGTGTAGCACGAGTTGACAGAGGAAATCCTCCTCCTATCCCTCCAAAAAAGCCAGGGCTCTCCCAAACTCCTTCTCCACCACACCCCCAACTCAAGGTTATTATAGACAGCAGCAGGGCCTCGAACACAGGGGCCAAAGTTGATAACAAAACTGTGGCTTCGACTCCTTCCAGTTTGCCACAAGGGAACAGGGTGATCAATGAGGAGAACCTTCCTAAGTCATCCTCCCCTCAGCTGCCACCAAAACCATCCATAGATTTAACTGTGGCACCTGCAGGCTGTGCCGTTTCAGCCCTGGCCACGTCTCAGGTGGGTGCCTGGCCTGCTGCAACCCCCGGACTGAACCAACCTGCATGTTCAGACAGTTCCCTTGTCATTCCTACCACCATTGCCTTTTGCTCTTCCATAAACCCCGTTAGTGCCTCATCCTGTAGACCAGGTGCCTCAGACAGCCTCCTGGTAACAGCATCAGGTAAAGGGATTGAAATGTTATACGCTTTTTAAAGAATATGGCCTCTCTTCTCACTTGCCTTGATTTTCTTCACATTGCCTTGAAACTTTTTTTTTAAATTTGATGCTTCCCCCCACCCCCATTTCTTTTCTTTCTCTCTCTTTTTTTGTATTTTTTTTAAAGGCTCCAGGGTATGGTGATTCATCTTGCTATATGAATTGCGGTTTCGCTATGCTAAGTGCTTTCTTCATTTAAGATAACCTGAAAGTAGTGGCTTAAAGCACATGGAGACCATTAATTTAGAGAGACTAAAATATTTACATGGGAGAAAAGAGTATTCCTTCTTATTAAATATTTATCTCGCAAGACCTCAGTGGGTCATGATCAGACAGTACGTGTTCAATTCTGTTCCTTCTGAGATGACATTTTTAAAGACCTTTCAAGTAATTATTAACACTATGTTGGATTACCAAATTGACTAGATTTGTTCCGTAATTGGTATATTTTAAGTTCTAATATCAGTTTGGTGTTTTCGGTTTTTTTTTTTTTTACCTTCAGAAATGGAGTGTGAATATTTATAAATCTGTTCTAAGTTTAGTTTATTTCAAAAGCCATGTACCCTATTTAGTGCTGCCATCTTCCAACACTCGGGCACAGATGGTTAACATAGCATGTGGGCTATGTCACAGAAGGTTTCCACTGCAGGTGTGGCTTATGAAGTCACTGAATCTGGGACTCTTGAACAAAGAAGAGGTGGATTTTTCCCTTTTGTTATACAGTGCTAGAGAAAGCATTGCTTTTTACTGACATGACTGGATTAGTTATTTACTAAGCAAATGTGGCTCTAAAGTAATGTTACCAAAAATACATAATTGTAAATGGCAGAGACTGGATTCCAAACACATCTGACTAACTGCAAAGTCCATGCTGTTTTCAATTCCCAATTTTACCCCTCAAAATGTGGATGACAAAGTTCTGTTGACACTTTGAAGAAGTCTCTCCTACCATGGGATCTTAGTGGTTGGTGGAGATTGTTGGTTCAAATGGGAGAGAACTTTTATAATTACAGGAAGGTTTGAACAGTTGTTATATTTAATACTTTGAGGGGAGAGAGAGAAAAGCAAATAGCATCATATTTGCTAATTATCAGGTGATGACAGCAGTACACTAGGATTTATTTGTCCAATTATAAGCTATCAACTTGAAATTAAGGTCTTTGAGAGGCTTTATCCATATTTTGAGGGGCGAAATAGGGAATTGGAAGCAGCATGGACTTGGAAGTTAGATCTATGTTGAAATCTAGTCTCTGCCATTTACAATTGTGCATTTTTGGTGACTTCTTTTGCTACTCATATGGGGGAGGGTGGCTGTTAGGAGGATTGGATCCTATAACCTGTCAGCTTGGTATTGAGCTTAGAATAGCATGAGTAATCAATAAATAGAGGTGATATTACTGCTTCAATGATATTGTTGCTTACAGTATTTTTGAGAATTTGCTATGGAATTGACTTTAGTATTATTTTGAGATGTCTTTACAGGCATTCAGCATTCTATATTTTTGATCCAAAATGGTATTACTGAGTTGAACAGCTTTTCTCGTGGCCTAAAATAATTTTGGCTGTTTCTTACAAATTAAATCCACCCTCAGAGAGGAATTTTGCTACTCAGGAGAATAGAGAATGTACTATAAGATCTTTGGGCAGTCACAAAACACAAGTTCCAGAAATGTGTGGAGCAGTGGCAGTGCTATTGCCATAAATGCATAGACTGTAAAGTAGAAAACACTTCCTAGGATATAGAAGTTTTGTCACTTAAAAAAAATACAAAGCCATCTTTACTTTGAGACCTTGAGGCTTTGCCACTTGTTGCCTTAGTCATTACTGTGGTCCTGGGTTTAGCTGCATGTGCCCTTTGGTTTCGGCAGAGAAGCTTTAAAACCAGGATCTATGACTGAGGAACATTTTGTCAACAGGATTGAAAAGTTAACGGATTAAAATCTGTTAACTTTTAAAGACAGAGATTTACTAATCTATTATCTATTCACCAGGATATCCTGCCCTAGGATTCAGTAAAATTTTACATAAAAGAGCTATAACTCCTCTGAAAAATGCCCTTCACTTATGTCTGGAGAGCAAAAGACAATATAGACCAGAAACCAAAAAAAATACCAGCGACTGAAGATACGGAAATCGGATTCCTTATTTTCTACTCTCTGACTTTTGCAATTTTACCAAAGTATTTTATTTATTTATTCCTCTCAGAACTTCTGAATTACTTTTGGTAGAATAACCAGTTTCTATGTCATTTGCTTAGAAGATGTGGCTTATTAAGGGAGAACGGAGGCACTGGAGGCCTTGAGTCATTCAGCAAGTGTTTACTGAGCACCTAGACTGGGAAATGGAAGTGTGATTACACTTACACAATGGGGGTGTACGACTCTACAACTCAAGTATAAATGTAGTTCAGCTGATCTTTCCAAATAAGATAGAGGATTTCAACTCTGTTTTGCATTTAGATTGCCCCTATTTTCGCCACTGTGACCATTGCAACTAAGAAACACCAGAGCTGCCTCCACCCTGCTTACTAACCTGTCTGTGCCTGGTTGAGCTTGTGCCTCTCCAGGTCATGAGCCCTTTGAAGGGGATTAACCTTCCAAACAGCCACTGATTCCATTGTGATTGCCCAAAGCAAGGCACAGGGACAACACACATCTGTCAAATACCTGGCAGGTGTCTCTTCCAATTTCAGTGATCAAACAAGCACTGAACTAAGTATAGTAAGGCAGGATTAGTCCATTTCTGCCCCTTTCTAAGTATCACCCTAGAGAGCTAATTCCCTCTGAGCCATTAGCTTTTTCATTTAAAAACAAAAGCATTGCTGGCTGCAGTAATCATACCTGTAATCCAAGCACATTGGGAGGCCGAGGCAGGAGGATCACTTGTGCCCAGGCGTTCAAGACCAGCCGGGGCAAAATGGCAAAATCCCATCTTTACAAAAAATATAAAAATTAGCTGGGCATGGTAGTGTGTGCCTGTGGTCCCAGCTACTCAGGAGGCTGAAGTGGGAAGATCACTTGAATTCGGGAAGTCAAGGCTACAGTGAGCCATAATCATGCCACTGTGCACCAGCCTGGGTGACACGGTGAGACCATGTCTCAAAACATTAAACCAAAATTATATAATAATATTCCCGAACAAAAAAAGATTTAAACTTGCATGATAAATTTTCAAACTACCTCTCCCTCCTTGGAGAACTACTGGCCCATGATCTTTCCAACTCTAGAATCCTGTGTTTCCATGTAAGCTTTTATCTATAAAAATTATGACTAAGTTAGAGCCCCAAGGAAAATTGGAATGACAGAAGTTAGCCTTTTAATGAATTGTAGTATAAATTACCCAAACTCTATTTGGCAACCTTTATAGCCAAATGTTAAATTTTTTAATAACATTCTTAATTCTAAATGAACTAGAATTTCTTGTTCCTCCTGAACTTGCCAAATAGACACATTTCAAATGTTAGATGAACAGAAGCCTAAACCAGAAATCACTCCAGGCAACTGAGTTTCCATACCCTTGGAAATTGTTTTTTCTGTTTTTTCTTTTTTTATTTGATACATTTGATTTAATTTGGTTTACACCTTTTCCCTATTGAAACATATCTTTTAAAAATTATCCTCCATGTATGATTGGCTTAAAGGCTAAATCAGAAAACAAGAATGATCTGGGCTATGACATTAACCTTCTCCACCCTCTGAAGCTGATGCCAGAAGCTGTTCTCACTCCTTCCCTCTGCCATTGCATGTCCAGTCATTCCCTTCCTCCTGGCATGTTGTGCAGGATGCTCACCTTACTAATGTTTGCGTATGACACTGCAAAACTGATTGACCTTTTGCTAACATCATTAGAGTAGCTGTATGAATACCGGTCTGTTCTGTCTTAACCACTATTTAACCTCTTAACTAAGTATTACCATTTTTATGATTGTCGGGAATTTCAGATGAACAGTATAGTCTCATGATGAAGTCCTATTTTTCCCATATTTAGGCAGGATTTATTAAAATAAGCTTGTCTATGCTAGACAACATTGGAAATGTTAGTGAAGATATAAAACATATTTACAGTTTTAAAATACTTGGTATTTATAAAGCATTTTTCTTTTGTAAAGATTTTAAAAATATATTGCAGACCTCTAAAAAAATAAGGCAACTGATATATCTTCTGTAGTTCTGTGTAAGAAAACCCTTGAGTGGTCTAAAGATTGAAAACAAATTGAAAAAAAAATTTGTCTTTCGGATAACTTATTAAAAATAGGGTTTCCCAGGAAATTACAGCTGCAATTGAATATTTCCATATAAGGCAGTTGAAAAATATATTTAAACTGTCTCCTCCCCTCAAAAGCCTAGATTTATGGTGAAAAAAGAAAAATGTAAACAAAACCCAAAAGAATAGCAAACCATTTACATATATTGGTATTCATAAAAGAATATCAACAACCAAGACCCCTTGGATGAGATCTAAAGAGAGAATGAAAGAGAGGCTGAGTATGAGCCCCATTCCCTCCTGTTCCACAGAGGACTGTAGTGCGATGCCTTCATATTGCCTGTGTTTGCTTTGCAGTCGAGGTTTTATGCCTTCGTGTTTATAATTTCTCTGTTTATGCATTTCTAATAAGTACTGATTTAATTTTTGTGGGCCTGTTTTTTGTTTGTTTGTTTGTTTTTAAGAAAATACAAAAGGTAAAATGTACCAGAGAGGAGCCTTCTTGTAAGTATGAAGTAAAAATACTACTTTTGTAAGAAGAGCTAATGAGTATCAGTAGGAAAATATCATAAAGTTTAGATAAATATTGAATTTTATGAGCATTTTAATTTTGTATGTCACTACATGTAGTCCTAATAGGGTTAAAAACAATAAATTATTCATAGACCCAAATAATTGATTATAAAGATATAATATCCAGCTTTTTATTAGCAGTGTAGTTTCATTTGTATAATTGGCTTTGTTTTGCCTTTTTAATAAAGAATTTTTTAAATACTAAGTTCCTTTGATATGTACTTTTAAAATGCTAAGATAATTTAGGGCAAGTAATTTAGGATTTAATCATAAGAATTGAGTATTACATATGTATTAATATGACTCTCATATGCTTAGAATAATTATGCTGATACCAATGTACAGAGAGTATAAAACATCCATCTGTTGTATCTTACTAAAGGGATATTACCACATATCGTAATCAGGTGGCCATTCTGCCTTGTATTCCACTGCTAAGAAAGGACATGCAGGTAAATATGGCAAGATCTTATCTCATCATGCCACACACATGCAAAAGGATGTAAAGTCAAAAGCCCATGTGACCATTGTTATGAGCAGAAGGTTCAATATGGTTTTAATTTTCTTTTACAGGTGGTAGTGGATAGTTACAAAACATTTTAAAAATCCAAATGGTATAGTTCCTTAACATAAAATTTTACTGCAGCTAGTAAAAAGTAATCTTTGTTTTATGCACAATGAGATGTATTGTGCATATAGAAATTCAGGGTCTAGTCATTGTGAAACACTATTTAGAATAAAGCCCTCCATCTGTAATCACTTTGGTCAGGACAAAATAGTCTTAATTGGTCTGTGAAAGTGTGCCCTTAGGGATGAATATATGTACATATGCACAACAATGTTACAGGTATTAGAACCCTATAAGGAAAAAGCGGAAAATGTCTTATTTTGAAAATTCACTGTATTTAAGTCTAAAATACACAAATATCTATATGTCACATTGAATGAACATTTTTTACTTTACTGTTTTTACAGCCTTTTGATCAAGGAAGAATTCAGAAAATTTTTCATGCTATATGCAGCCGATTTCACACACTTAACAGACTCTCTTCTAAAGCTGCTAAATACTGATGAGAAATATCTAACTATAACTCATTGTTTTTGTTAAAATTATATAGTTGAGTGTCCTGTTTTGTTGGCTGATTAAAAGTTTGTTAGGCATTTTGTAAAGGTGGCCAGATGATACAGTCTTCACAATTGTATATTGAATATTTGTGCTGGTGAACTCTAGATCCAGTTATATATGTTATATTTTATTATCTCTTAATACTGAATAGCAGTTGGCCTCCATTATTTCTATTCCCAAATAAGGGAATTCAAGGAATATAAATAGACTCTTTGGTCCATCTTAATGGTTTACATAAAATTTGTAATTAAACATTTTAGAAACCTTGTTGAAAAAGAAAAATCTGTTACAATTATTCCTCTTATACCTAAAAATATCAGTTTACTTTTCCAGATTAATATTGAATTAGAGGAAAACTTTACCTTGTAAAACCTTTACATTTTAAAATTCAAATTGTTTTAAAATCCTGAAGAGAAATTTGAACTTTTAAAATGAGACAGCCATCTTAAGTTTTCCTAAAACCAGTCACCACTTTAACACTTACCTGTGCAAGACTCATGACTAAAAATAATTTTTTACCATGTATGTTGATTTAATTAGCAGCAGATGTAAGATCTGAAATAACAGTCCAGATTCATGCTAAGTAAATATTAACAGATTGATAATGTTAGAAACCACATAATCCTCTAGGGACACATGTTCATATGTTTGTGTGTGTGTAATTCAGAAAGGAATGGGTAATATCTGTCTCTTGTCCTTGCTCCTACTCTCTAACGAGGGTCACTTTAACCTACAGGCTGGTCACCCTCCCTAACCCCTTTGCTAATGAGTGGTGGTCCTGCCCCCCTGGCTGGCAGGCCCACCCTTCTTCAGCAAGCTGCTGCCCAGGGAAATGTCACTTTATTATCAATGCTGCTTAATGAAGAAGGACTGGACATTAATTACTCCTGTGAAGATGGCCATTCTGCCTTGTATTCTGCTGCTAAGAATGGACATACAGGTAAATATGGCGAGATCTTATACCACACACTTGCAAAAGGATGGAAAGTCAAAAGCCCATGTATCAATTGTAATGAGCAGAAAGTTCAATTTAGTTTTATTTTTCTTTTACAGGTGGTAATGGATAGTTTTTTTAAACATGAGATTTAAAGTTTTTATAAACATTTAAAAAATCCAAATTGTACAGTTCATTAATGTAAAGTTTTACCAGAGCTAGTAAAAAGTAATCTTTGTTTTATGCAAAGATTAGTTTGCATTTATGGTCTGTTAGAAATACCTGATATATGAGAAAGTCTAATTATCAGAACTTTAGTGCTACATGCTACAGTGAGGGAAAGTTTTAGCAGTTAGGTAAGGTCATGGGCCTGAAATTGTTCCACAGTTGGAACAATTTATAGTTATTTGAATGTCTTAAAAGAACCGAGAAGTTGTGTAACTATAAATGGTATATCGATGAAGACTGGGAATTATTCTTGTTCTTTAAAATGCAAATCCTGTAGTCAAATATACCAAAACATATGGGAGTGCAGAAAAAGAGAGGACTTGACCGCAAATGCAAAGTCAGATAGCGTTGCATATGGAAGCCCATATGATTGTCGATTAATTCAGATAAATGGAGGATTCTAGTGACCTCAGAGATCCCGTTATTTTTAAAGTATTCTAGAATTCTTCATAATCACCATGGAGATTTTCTTTAATATAGAAGAAGTAAATCTAGTAAGTAACATCAGGAATGTGACATCTAGGTGATATTTATTCCTGAGTTAGGTGACTTTCGATGGGCTGTCCTTTAGCCTCATTCATGGAGTTAAGTGTAGGATGCCCACCATCCAAAAGCAGTTTAAAGATTAAATTAAACATCATAAAGTAATAATTTATTTAAGTACAAAGAATGGTATTTCCGTTTGGTAAATGAATTTGATTCTCCATCCAGGAACATTATTTTCTGGGATAGACTGTTGGAAAGATCTGGTAAAGCATTTTCTGGCACATGACATTTTTTTTTACTCAGCAGCAACTCTTCCCAAAATGCACACACGCATGGGCACATGCGCATGCACACACACACACGCATCTTAGTGAATCTGGGGTATTATAATCTTTGGGAAAATTGGCTGCTTTTCCTGTAAAATAGTCTACAGAGTCTCAGGTCTGCCATGATGGAATTCTGAGATGAACTGTGCAGGGGAGAGTCCCTTTGGGATTAGAATCTATCTACAGCTTGTATAGAATTTGGCACATCATAACTCCAAATGGGGAATTTACATGGCTTTCTATTAAAATCCATAGACTGTGTGAGATTGCTGCTGAGTGCAGAAGCCCAAGTCAATGCTGCTGATAAAAATGGCTTCACACCCTTGTGTGCTGCAGCTGCTCAGGGACATTTCGAGTAAGTTGCTCTTAATTCTTTTTTTCCCACCATCAAAGGAGCCTCTTTTTATAATTTGCACACGTATTTTAGTTCCGGCTGAATGTGTAAACTAGTGCTTAAAATCACTGGCAAATAAATTCACTAAATATATTTGAGGATTTAAATGCAAACTAGGATTCTAAATTTGCTCTTAATAATAGTTAATGTTTGAGGGAAGTGAAGAAGAGAACTGGGCTGTGTCCCAACTGAACGTGAATGAACTTTCTTTGGAAGATCATCTATGGCATATCAACACATATGTCATGAGATGAAGGACTGTTGAGAAGTTTGTTTTTCACTGTTTTACACCATTCCAACCCCCTAAAAGATTTTTTACTTATGATGTCACTAAAAGTAGAACATAGAATTATATTGGTTGTAATAATCTAAATTTCCTAGTGGTAATGTATTCTAATTATTCATCTTGTTTTACCATTTAAAACAAAATGGAAGCATGAATTTTACATACTGAAAGTAGTTTGGGCATTAAGCTAAAGAGACCCTATTAATTAAAATATACCTAACTTTAGCAATGATTTCTTTAGTAGCTTACTAAGTCAGTTAGATATAGGCATGACTTTTTAACATTAAAAGTCATATTTTAACTTAAAAAAATAGAAAATAGCTAAGTTGCTTTCTCTGCCTGTGCTGAAATGGCAGGTTGTGGGAAACGCAAGTTGCTTTTAACTTTTTAATCTAACTGTCCCGATAGGAATGTTCTTTAACAAATTCCAGAATTATTGAAATATGGGTTTTTAAGGTTGACCCCATGTTATTAATCATAAATATAATTTTTTAAAATTCAAAATGAATTATTTATGTAGAGCATGATTCACTTTTCTGCATATCTACCACATACCTCATTACCCTGAGTTTGTCATTGAGAACCCTAGACACTGATTTTGCTGTTACTCTTGGGACATATCCTGACTCCTTCAAAAGGAATTTCTCCTGAGCTGTGCTTTTTACCTTTACTTTCACCAGGCAACCTGTAGGGGCACTTTCTTGGACATATAGCAGTCACAGGAATGGAAGCATGGATAACTTTGCAAACAGGAAGGACCCTGGAGAAATCTGGGGATGGATTTTTTTCTTTCTTTCTTTTAGACGGAGTCTTGCTCTGTCGCCAGGCTGGAGTATAGTGGTGCAATCTCAGCTCACTGCAACCTCCGCCTCCTGGGTCTAAGCGATACCCCTGCCTCGGCCTCCCGAGTAGCTGGGACTACAGGTGTACGCCACCACACCCAGATAATTTTTTGTATTTTAGTAGAGACGGGTTTCACCGTGTTGGCCAGAATGGTCTGGATCTCCTGACTTCGTCATCTGTCCCCCTCAGCCTCCCAAAGTGCTGGGATTACATGTGTGAGCCACCGTGCCAGGCTGGATTTGTTAATTTAAATGTGTCTGATACACATGTATATCAACATGTCACTTAATTTAAAAAAAATGTATAAATCAGATACTGCAAGGGAAAATTAGGAAAAACATTCATTGGAGTGAAAATAAAAGATGAAGTGGATTGCTTCTTACTTTGATTATGATTTAGCCCTCTTTTCTAAGTTTATTCTCAACTAATTTTACAACTTAAGCTCTACATGTTTAGCTAGTAAATAAGTGTCACAAAGTCTTGACTTTACCTCATTTCTTTCCTCCTTGATTCTCAGGACAGTGAGTTTCTGCTTAGCTATCTTTTCCTCATCAACTAGCCTGACTTCAGGAGACAGGACAACCTCTGCTGTCTTTTCTCCCCAAGGCAACCCTTTTCTCAGCCTTTCTGCTGCCTTTTATAGAGAAGGCACATGGTGCCCTGCTGTCTATGCTATTTATAATTATTTTCTCAAGTGAAAATCTCAGAATGACTCAGCAGCCTTTTTTCAGTGTTCAAACTATTTCGAACCAAAATAATATATATTTATCAAGTACAGTTAAACCGTTCATCCCAGTAAGTTAAATTCTAAGGACTCTACTTTCACAAGTTGGTTATAGGGAAGTGTCATAAAGCAGGTATTAGCACTTTTCAAAATTTCCTGGGAGAAATTAAATTTTATGATTAGAATATATTTTCTAGCCTTGTGAAAAAAACAGTAGTCATGTAATAAGATCCATAATAATTGATATATGTAAATAGAAACAATTGATGTATATAAAGATGCAACATTGCTTTCTTTTCTGTATTTAATATCTTGGTTAGGTGGTGCTTCAAAGGTCAAACCCAGGTTTTATGTAATTAATCCTAATCTTGTGTTTAGGTGTGTAGAATTATTAATTTCATATGATGCTAACATTAATCATGCTGCTGATGGAGGACAGACACCTCTATACCTGGCCTGTAAAAATGGAAATAAAGAATGTATTAAACTCTTGTTGGAAGCTGGAACCAATCG
Source organism: Homo sapiens (assembly GCF_000001405.40). Taxonomy (NCBI): domain Eukaryota; kingdom Metazoa; phylum Chordata; class Mammalia; order Primates; family Hominidae; genus Homo; species Homo sapiens. Next base: position 117,780,456 of record NC_000007.14, on the reverse strand, counting down.
AAGTGTAAAAACCACAGTGAGTAGCAGTCTGTTTTTTTCCCCCTGTATATATAATTTGCAATATATTTGTAAACTCTATAACTAGAAAAACAAAATAAATTAAAATAGAGGTTGCTTTATTTTGTTTTGCTTGTAGGATTTGGAAAGTGTCTGACCCTTGTTTGAATCTCTTTCCCGTTAATTAAATGTCTTGTTCATTAGCCTAGCCAGTCCTTTAACCTCTGAGCCTCAGATTAATCTGTCAAACAGGAAAACAAATACCTATGCTTTGATTATTTTTAGAACTAGGGCAGACAAGGGAGGTATAATTTTTTATTCATTCAACAAATAATAGTCTCAGATCCTGGATTTTCTTAAGTAAAGGAGGACCAGTGGTTAATAATATAAGCAGAGATGTGGCTGGGCGTGGTGGCTCACGCATGTAATCCCAGCACTTTGGGAGGCTGAGATGGGCGGATCACCTGAGGTCAGGAATTCAAGACCAGCCTGATCAACATGGAGAAACCCCGTCTCTACTGAAAATAGAAAATTAACCCAGCGTGGTGGTGCATGCCTGTAATCCCAGCTACTAGGGAGGCTGAGGCAGGAGAATCGCTTGAACCTGGGAGGCAGAGGTTGTGGTGAGCTGAGATGGCGCTGTTGCACTCCAGCCTGGGAGAAAAGAGCAAAACTCTGCCTCAAAAAATATATATACATATACATATGTATTTTATATATATATATATATGCAGAGATGTAATAAGCTAGATATAAACATTTTTAATGACTCATTGCTACAGCTTTTTTTCTTAAAAAAACTTCCTATTTTTTGAAAATCTGAGAAAACAGTTTTATATTTTTCATGTTATTTATATATATTACTTGAGAAATCTGTGGTGTTACACACATTCAGTATAAAATTCTATAGTGAAAAATGAATTAATTTTGTATCACAGGGCTGAATGAAAAATAAGTAGTACAGCATAAAAATTAGTCACATCCTAAGTTAGAGAACACAGAAATCCATTCTCTCCAACTAGTTGCTGATGAGCTGAACAAAACCTTTAGAAGTATAGATGCTCAAAACTCCAGAGATAAACAGTGTAATTGGGAACAATTATGTCTTGTGCCTTATAATAAGAAAGTATCAAAAGAGGATAGAAAATAGAAAATTTTTTTTCCAGAAGTGGTTGCATGGCCTTTGTAATATAAATTGGGAAAGGTCAAAAGCACTTACACTCTTCAGTAGTAGACTACTTGTGTAGTATACTGTTATACTACCCAAGTAAAGGTGTCCACAACCCAGTGAAGAACACGCCTGAATGGAGCTGATTGAAGCTCCATAGTCTTGTCTTAGCCAAGTGGAGTTTATTTACCTGATTGGAGCACCATTGTCTTGTCTTAGCCAAGTGGATTTTATTGGTATGAGATACCAAACCAGAGAAAAAGCCACATTATAAAGGGACAGCTTTAGCAAATGGTCAGATGACTTAGCCCAAATTTAGATTGTTCGTATTTATTGCCTATTTCTCTGTCTTCTACCCTATTATTTTTTAAAGTGTACTGTAGCTTACTGAAATATATTTAGTATAGCAATGTGAAATACTGCATGAAAAAGGTATGTCAAGGGGAAATTAAAGGTAGAAAAATAAAGCCAAAATCACCAAATCACCAAAATAAGGCCAGGTTCTTTTATGAAAAATTTTTTAAAAAACTAAACAAGATGGGTGCCTGAGTAGAAGGCAGACCGATTTCTATATAAAGATGAAGAGACTGTAGATAGAACCTAGATTTTTCCCAGAATAACGCTTGTCAAACTTTAGTGTATTAGAATCTCCTGGAGGGGTCGTTAAGTCAGATTGGTAGCCCCATCCCCAGAGTTTCTGATTCAGTAGATCTGAGATGAGGCTTAAGAGTTTACAGTTCTATAAAGTTCCCAGGTGATACTGATGCTGCTGGTCTGGGGACCACACCTGAGAATCACTGCCCTAAAAAGGACTTCTATTAATACCTCTACTCTAGCAACCAGCTAAGTGGGTAATAGAGGCTCCAAAATAATATATTCTAGAAAACAGACACAATAATTTTAGTTGAAACATTTTCTAAGCTTATAATGATCAGTATCCCTCTGCAGTCACAAAACACTCAATAGGGGCCCATAAACCTTCACTGAAATTATTTGGCTTTGTTTTTTCTTTATGTCTACCTTTTCCCTATTATTTAGGATCTTTGCTTCTGGGGTGGTTGGCATAAAATTTTAAGATCACAGAGTTAGGTCAGTGCCTTATAAGTAAAACTGGCTTATAACTGCATTCTTTCAGTACTCTACTAATAACATTATTGCATATAAATTTTTTAATCCCTTTAAGCTAAAGTTCATTCTCTTTCATAGTATTAAATTGAGATTTTGATTTACCATACATAATGCTCAGTTATGCCCTGGACAGTACCTGCTCACCCCAAATGGTTAACTGGTAGGTAGAAATGATTACAAAATAGCAAACATGAGTCACAGCAGTTGGAAATATTGTTAACTGACAGGAGTCAGAGAACTTTACCCAGCTCATCAGTGATAATGTTCAGGATTGGAATGCCTGCTTTTCCCAGCTCAGTGGTCCATGCCCAAGAACATTTAGAAGTGAACTTTCAATAATATTTTCCTTGACATTAATGTTGTTATCAACCCTTTCCCCCTGGTCATTTTATTTTCAGGATGGCTGGACACCAGTTCACGCAGCTGTGGACACTGGTAATGTGGACAGCCTCAAGCTTCTTATGTACCATAGAATACCAGCTCATGGAAATTCTTTCAATGAGGAGGAGTCCGAGTCAAGTGTCTTTGACTTGGATGGAGGAGAAGAGAGTCCTGAAGGCATATCCAAGCCTGTTGTTCCTGCAGACCTCATTAACCACGCCAACAGAGAAGGCTGGACTGCTGCCCACATTGCTGCTTCCAAAGGTTTTAAGGTGTGTCTGGTAGCAGCTGGCCTCATCATGCAGCTGTAATTTGATGAGCAGCAAAGTTGTCTGCTATAGATTAAGTGCACTTAAATTGAATAATTGGAGACTGAGTGATACAATTGCAGATGTTATTTACCAATACAAATTGACATTATTCCTATGTAGTAGTTACTTATGGTCAAGGGTATAAGAGACTTTTAATAAAAATCATTTATTTGTAGTTTGTTAATAAGAAATATGAGGGCAATTTCAAACATTTTATCTTGTCTACTATAGGAACAAATCATTGGCATTGATTTAGTCCATTGGGTTGCTTACTTCAGTACCAACACCATGCTGCTAGTTAGAGGCAGGGTCAGGATTCACACTCGTGCTGCAGAGCTCATTCTCTTGCCCTGTACCCTGAGCTGCCAAACTTATCCCTAACTGTGCTTTCTTACCGATATCTAAGAGGGAGCTCTAGATGCTTAGATAGAATACACAAAGATTCTGAATATTAAAGAAACAGTATAATATAGTAGTCCATTCACTCATGTTTTCATGTTTTTCTGATGTTAGTCGCTTTAGCATTAATATGTGTTAGCAATAATAAGATATTAGAAAGTTCCTGAGTGCAAGGCACTGTGCGTGCTAACATTTGCAAGGATCACTTTTGCCATTAGCTCCTAGTTCAATGGCAAGTGAGCAGGGTACAAGACAAATGTAGGATAAGAAAAGCACACATAAAAAAACACAAGGACAACAGAAATGCAGTTGGACCAGTACAGAAATGCAGCAATTACGGGAAAAAGAAAGAGAACATACATATTTCAAAGGGCAGAGCTCCAGGAATGTTAGGCTCAGGCATGGCCCATTCTGGAGGAGGTGGAAATTATTTTGAGCTTTGCAAGGAAAGTTAAATTCACCATTACCACTGAGAAAGGAGAGTGGTTCAGGTGAAAGGAGCATTAAAAACTAACACATGGAAGTAGGGAGGTGGATAACAGGTCCCTGTTAATTGGGGTAATGGAGAGTAGTGAGAAATAAGGACCTGACTGGGAGTTTCACAGCAGGGCCCAGGGCCTTCAATGACATAGCAAGGAGTTTGGTCTTAATTTACTAGTCAAAGTGAAACCATTGAAAGGTTTTGTACAAAGGAACAAAATAATCAACTGAATAGTTTTAAATAGATTCATTTAGCAACAACATCAAGAAGATTTGAGATTATGAAGAAATTGGTATCAGGAAGGGATACTACATGAAAGATGATGACAGCAGTGGAAATAATGAGAAATATTAGGAATGCCCCAGAATGAACATGGATTAGATGAGGGAAATGGGGGAGCTGAATAAAAAGATAATAGTGACATTCCCAAAAGGAACAAGGAAAAGACATCATTTTGATCAAGAAGACAGAATGCAGTTTTAGACATGCTGAATGTAAGGGCTACGATTTGTTCATCCAGAAGGAGATAGCTAAAGATGTGTATTTAGAGCTCCTGGTTGGGTAACTTCCTGTTATCGTGATCTTAGCAGAAGCTGTTCATCTTGGACTTTGGTGTTTTACAAAATGAGAAAAGGGCATGATTCAATTCAGTCTGGAGGTATTGTTTGTTAGCAGTAGTTTTGTTGTTTTGTTTCCCCAACTTTACCCTTTGACAAAAGAGATAAAAAAATTCTGGGAACTTGATTTGTTTGTATGATTTGAATGGAATGCAATAATATTTGACATAAAAGTTTTTGGGAGACAAAGATGGAAAATGTAAATAGTTTAAACTTGAATATGCACAGTTAATCTAGGACTATGAATCTTTTGCTGTTGTAGAGGTGCATGGAAAGGGTAGTTTGCAACCTGCCTCCACTCCTTTAAAAGAAAAACTCTGAATGTAATATGAGATGTTGATGATAGGAGTGCGTTATACCTGCACTCAGCCTAGAGGCAAAAAAAAAAAAGGAAAAACAAAACCTGAACACCCTTGATCTAGGATGTTCGGCTACTGAACCTCTCAGGCTAGGCAGAAAGGAACCCACTCCCCAGGGTGAGTTACCCTTCAGTGTAGGGCAATTGTGATGCTGCTCAGCTCCTTAACTATGAATCTTTTATTAGTTCTGGTGTTTTTATGATCAAACGTGGCATTGTCATTGATTTCCACATGGCATTGTCATTGATTTCCACACCTCTGGCATATTGTCCAAGGAAAATGTGACCTCTTTCTCCCATAGACTATGACTCTCCTGTGTTTTTTTACTTTAAGAAGCACAAGATGAATTTTGGACAAGGAAAGAGATTTTTTTAAGTGGGCATGACTGCCAATATTCACACACTGCTAGGCTATTAATATATTTTTTAAGCCCTAGAGTGGACATTTAATCTTCTAGTCTAACCTCTCCATTTTATGATTAAGACATTTAAATCCCAGAGGGTTTAGTAGATAAAAGTTGGGAATGAAGCCCAGATTGCCTGAGTCCATTAGTCGTTTCATTGTACCATACTTCCTTCTCCCCTAGTCAAAGATATTGGAAAATATATTTGTATCATTTGCCTAATATTTATATTCTGGCTGAGATAGTTCTTCAGAAAGTAATCCACTTATAACTAAGATATTAAGGCCAGATTTCTGAAAAAAATACGGCTCTGAGCTAGTCATTGCATTGGTAAAAAGATTCTACATTGACCACAAGTAGAGCTTAAAAATATTTTTTTTTCTTTTCTCTAGCATACATTTGTCTAATCTACGCAGGGTAGTAGTATCGTTGCTACCCAAGAAGATGACTTCAGTTTCCACGTGGTTTTCAGTAGAGAACTGTGGAATTTCAGAGCTTGAAGGGACATAACATAGCTCAGTGGCCCCCAACCTTTTTGGCAGCAGGGACCAGTTTCGTGGAAGACAATTTTTCCATGGTTGGGGGTGGGGTGGGTGGGAATGGTTTCAGGATGAAACTGTTCCACCTCATAAGGAGCATGCAACCTATATCTCTTGCATGTGTAGTTCACAATAGGGGTCACACTCCTATGAGAGTCTAATGCCACCATTGATCTGACAGGAGGCAGAGCTCAGACAGGAATGCTTGCCCACCCTCCACTCACCTCCTCCTGTGCGGTCTGGTTCCTAACAGGCCATGGACTGATACTGGTCTGTGAACCCCGGGGGTTCAGGGACCCCTGACATAGTTCATCTAGTCAATTTCCCTTGTGTTGTAGATAAAGAAACTAAGTCTTTATCTACAAGAAATGGGAAATGGGTAACTAATTCCTGAAGATCAAATTCCCAAATCTGTCCTTTTTCCACGTTAGCCCCTGGTCTTTTTTTCAATGGTTAAGAAATTTGTGCAGACCACCATTAAATGTCATCGGAAAACCTCTCTCTACAGCTGGCCTGACTATTCCAGAGAGGCTGCTGAACTAAGGATAAGCCTTTGTTTCCATCATTTCATGTGAATAGATACATGAGTTTCTTAACGAAACTTCCTGTTCTGTCATGAAACCATTGACATGTTAGTTTCCTGCAACTGAAACAAATTTAGGAGATTGCCTGGATTTGTGCAGCTCTGTTGTTGAAGTTCATATACCCAGAGATTTTTTTCACTGGGGGGACTGCATGAATTTTTGACTACAGGAGGAGGTTATGGTTCTCGCTTATGTGTTGCCGAAGCCAGTGGCTTCCTGTCACTTCTGCTTTTGCTTTGTCTCCCTGGGTGTTTTAACAAGTTGACGATTTAATGCATACTCCTCTCTCCCTGGGCTTCCAGAACACTGCCCTTTTCTCACTTCCTCTCCAACTTTGCTGACCAGGCTTTCTATTTGTTTTTCTGCTTTTTGTTTTTTGGGGTGTGTGTGTGTGTGTGTGTGTGTGTGTGTGTGTGTGTGTGTGTGTGTGTGTGTGTGTGTTAACTCTAAGCAACTCCCAAGCTTTATTCTCAGCTGCCTACTCCTATTTTCTAAGAGCTTATCCAGTCTTTCAGGAGTCAACAGTGGCTCCTGCAGTAACTAGTCCCAAACCCATATCTCCATATTTGCCTTTTTACTTGTCCTCCAGACATTCATCTCCAGCATCCTGGAGGTCATCTCTGGGCAGTCCCACTGTCCTCTGATCAGGTGGTAGCCCTCTTGTTACCCACTTTAGATCATTTTTATGTGTTAGGATTGCAATCTGCCTGATGCATTGTTAGCTTTTAGTCATATGAGAGTCAGACGTTTCTACTCACACTGTAGCAGCCACCTTGGTCCTCCAGGAGGTATCCATGAGGTATGTGCAAAGGTCCACATGACGCCCCAACACTTGGATTCCATCTTCCTAGGAATTGGATGCAACAAGAACAAGATAATAGGAGTCACTAAAGTTATTCGTTGTCGCATGGAGTTGGGTAGCTAGTTCAGAAGAGAGAACATTAGATTAGGTGCCTGCAAAAGGCACAAAGTCATTGGAACTAGATTTTTATCATGATAAATAGAAATCTGTTCTTTGAACTCTATTGTAATGCTTTTGATTATCTATGATTATTTCCTTTTTTTCTATTAATTTTTTTAAAAAATTGTTCTGGAAAATGCCTTTTTATACTCATTCCCTGTAATGTTCAGTGAAGAGTACTGAATCCTTTCTTACTTTGGACAGCAGTGACTGGCAGAACCCTAAAGGGAATGTAAACTTGGCTGCCCAGGGTCGTGCTCCACCTCTCATCCAAGACATGGGCCATCCAGTGTTTCCCGCCAACACCTTTCATGGATCTGGGTTTTGATCCTTTTTCTCGTCACTCTGAACTTTCTCACTTGAATGATCTTGTTGATCCGCAGAATATAATCTATAGGGATTCTAAAATCTCATCTCTAGCCCTACTTAAGCATTTTCTGAGTCTGTCTAGGCAGGTGCTTTCCTTGGTAACCAGGGGAACAAACTTTCCAGTTTTCTCAGTACAACCCTGTTTATGCCTGTCATCCCAGTGTAATTATTAACAGTGCCTCCTTTTACTCTCTAATGTGTTCCAGTTTAAACAGTTATAGGGTAATCCTGTTGGGGACCACATTCATTTTTGCTTCCACCAGACAGCTCCCTTCTAGCACATTCTTGGCCCCTAATGTTTAGGCTTCTTGGCCAATCTGCTGCAATTCTTGCTTCTCCTCTCTTACTCCAACAGCATCACCTGGCATTTGTTTACTTGCTCCATCTTCCTAACTTAAAGAACTCAAATGATCAACACAACTCTAGATTTACTCTTTTACGAATAAATTTTGAATACCTTGCCTCCTCCATAGTCTTGTCAGTGCTGTCCTAAGGGAGCCCTCATCATCTGCTGTCTGGTCACATTCACAGTACTGCTGTGGTCTCATCATGTTCGGTCTCTCTGCTTCCCTTTACATTGCCATGTGAGGGGCCTTTCTAACAGGTGAACATGGTGATGTAATTACCTGCTTCATGTCTTCCCAAGCCTCTATCACTGCCAGGGCAGGGATGCCTATCATGACGGTCAAGTCCCTTCCTGATCTGGCCTTGGTCTGCTCCCCTAGGCACACTTCTGTCTCCTTCCTTAGTGCGTGTTAGGCTTTGACCACGTGTGACCGGCCAATGTGCAAACATCCTGTGCTCTCTCCCCTCCCTGCTGCTGCCATTACCTCAAATGGCCTCTTCTCCTGTCCTGACCCCTCTCTGCCTGGAAAACATTTCAGCTTGTCTTGGCTTCTTGGAGTTAGGTGTTCCCAGGATACCTCTCCACACTTTGCTTAGAGAGCATGTACTTTATTGTAACTGTTTGCATGCTTCTCTGCCTCTCCATCTCCTCTGAACAGTTACTTTTTAATCTTTATATATACCGTGTCCAGCAGAGTCTGTGGCCCAAAAGTACTAAATGTTTGCTGAGTCAGTGAGAGAATGGACTACTGTATTTTTCTTAACTGGTCTCCTTGCTGTCACTCTTGTCCTTTCCAGCGTAATCTTTCAGTACAATAATTGCTTTTCAGAACAGAGCTGAACATGGCACTTTCCTTCCCAAACACATCCTCATGCCTATGGAAAAGCATGCAAAGTGCATAGCACTCAGCCCTTCACAGCTGGCAGCAGCCAACTTCATCTTTGGCCATGCACACCTAACTCTACCTTCTTGCTCATGTCGTTATTTCCCACGTTAACAGCTTCCATCTCCCCAGCCCTGTAAAGCAGCACTTACACCCCAAGGCTGTTCTCAGCACTTGAGCTGGGCTTTAAATTTTATAATTGCAAACTTTTTTCATTTTCTTTCCCTCTGCTCAATCTCAAACTCTTGGCTCCCTGCTCTGACTTTGATTTTTATCTCTAGCTCTCTGGACTTGGGGTTTCTACTGAATTTCCTGGGCACTGGTACCTTGCTTCTCAGCTCTGCCTAAAGGAGCCTGGCACTTCCCTCACCCCTCAACCTCTCCTCTGTCCTTGGTCCATAGTAACGGATCCCTCTGTTTCAGCTGGACCCATGGGCACCCAGCATAAAGACAGCATTCTCCAGTCCCCATTGCAGGGAACTATGGCCAAATACTTGAGTTCCGGCAAGTGGAATGTGAGTGCATGTGAAAGCTGAGGCCTAAACTACTTCTTTAAAAGGTCTCTGTTATAGCAGATGTCTCTATATCCTAATAGGAATTTAGCTTAAACTCATCCATCTAGATCCCTGTCTCCGTATCACTTGGGTAGGACATCGTGCCCAGTTTAGGGCCCCCGGGACTCTATTTCCAGAAGCAGGGACTGGGATCACAGCATTTGTCCTCTTCACACAATCCCATTCAACAAGGAGAGAGTGTGGATACTTCTCTCCCTCTTTACCTCCTCCTGCTCCTCCATAAAGTAAAACTGTACTCATTGCTTCACCAGCCCCTTTTCTGAGTGTATCAGGACACTTTGCACTCCTCCCTGAGACATGGAACTTCTCTACCTTATTCACCATCAGGACCCTTAGCCCTCATAATAGCCCCTGGCCCAAAGGGGCTTTGTGCCTTACTTATAAAGTTGCTGTGAGGGCTAAACGAACACTGAATACTTGCAAAGTGTGGAATGTGCCTGGAACTTAGTATGTGCTCAAATAGTTGTTGTAGCTGTTGTTGTTAAGTGTCAGTGGGGCCAAAGTTTTCACTTTCATTGAGTTCCCCATGCAGCCAGCACACACTGCAGAATTTACTCTTGTAGTAGTGTTTGGCTATGTGCTACTCTCCTGGGGACTGACATTCATGCTTCCTTAAAGAGAAAGTCACTGCTTATGTTCTGGCCCACTGACCTACCTGAATGTAATAAAAATTAGAAATAACCTACTTTGACGGCCAGAAATAAAAGACTCTCAGTTCAGGAGTATTGCAAACTTGTGTTACCCCTTTTATCATTTCTGTTTGTAATCTGAAGTAATAACACTTAAATTGTCTTGAGATTAGTGACATTTGTTATGTGCTATAGTACCTCACCAGTTAACTGGATATTTGGACTGTTTTCTAGCTGGTGATGATGATGTTGATTCTAGTAATAATAATAGCTACTAATAAATATTGGGAGTTTAGTACAGGCCAAGAATATAAGAACTTTGTGTGCATCTTTCATTTAAGTCACATTACCCTTATGAGATATAGATACTTGAAATACAGATAGAGAAATGAAAGCAGGGAAATGTTAAATGATTCAGCAACAGTGGTAGATAGAGTCATTTTGGATGGCAGGATTAGAATCCAGGTCTGTTGTGGCTCTTACCTACATTTACTGCAAGTTCTAACTTGCAAAATAAATGTGTGATTTTTATCATTTATCATCTTGAGAATTCACTAAGTTTAGTGCTCAGATTGCTTTCTATTTAAGTTTCTAATTAGAGTTCATTTCTAAATCAACATTATCTTATTCATTTACTGATTTTGTCCAAATTAGTAATAACAAATTGATATGAATTGACATTTATTTATCTGACTTTGCGTTCTGTTAATTTCTTAGCTTAGCAATTTCTTAAATCTGAACTGTAGACCAATGAAAGCCAGACTTCCAGACTTCTCTTTAAGATTTACTTTTTTAATGGCCACATAATAATTGTACAGATTGCCAGACTTAAATGGCAAGCTTTAGAGAGATCCCTCTAACCTGAACAGGGCCAGCCAGGGAGAAACAAATGTCCTAGTTGCTTCCCTTTGCAAGCAGGCAGATTTTCTTTACTCAGGAAACCCAAGGCCCAGTTTCCTATCCTTCCACCATCCAAGAAGGTTCTGTCTGTCAGCTTTACCTTCATAGCAGCACTGGCTTCCTGTTAAAGTTTCACTGAATTGGTGGTTTCTGCTTAGTTTTTTGTTTTTCTTTCTGGCCCTTAGGGACTCACTGTACTTTCTAGCAAACTCATTATTGCATTTAAAAGTATGTTTCAGAGGCAACATGAAGCAACTGGAACTCATGTATACTCCTTGTGGAAGTACATTTTGGTGTAGGCACTTTTGAAAGCTCTTTGAAGTATGGACTAACGTAGAACATGTTCATGCTCTGTGCACAGCAGTCCAGCTCTGCTATATACTGAACACCAAACGTGTACACCACAGGACATGTACTAGAATGTTTATAGCAGAACACCAATGTTCATCAACAAGAGAATGGATAAGTAAATTGTGGTATACCATAATGGAATATAATGGAATCCCACATAGTAATCATTTTTTAATGAAGATGAATTCTGACTACTCCCAACACATGGATGAATCTTAGAGGCATTATGTTGAATGAAAGAAGCAAAATATAAAAATGCACCTACATACAGTATGATTCCATTTATATAGAGTTCACAAATAGACCAAACCAATCTCTAATATTAGAAAGCAGATAGTAGTTGCCTCTGCGGGGGATGGAGGAGTTAATTGTTGAGATGGAGTACAAAAGGGGCTTCCGAAGTGCTCCTTCCACAAGTATGTGTGCTTTGTGATAATGCTTCAAGTTATACACTTCTATGTGAATATTATATTTCTTTCTTTCTTTCTTTCTTTTTTTTTTTTTTTTTTTGAGACAGAGTCTTGCTTTGTCACCCAGGCTGGAATGCAGTGGCATGATCTTGGCTCACTGCAACCTCCGCCTCCTAGGTTCAAGCGATTCTCCTGCCTTAGCCTCCGGGGTAGCTGGGATTACAGGCGCCCACCACAATGTCTGGCTAATTTTTGTATTTTTAGTAGGATGGGGTTTTACCATGTTGGCCAGGCCAGGCTGGTCTGGAACTCCTGACCTCAAGTGATCCACCTGCCTTGGCCTCCCAAAGTGCTGGGATTACAGACATGAGCCACCACACCCAGCCAGATATGGTATTTCTTTTAAAAATATTTTATATTAGGAAGGAAATAGGTATATTTTAAAAGTGGATGTAAGGGTGTGCTACAGAAAGATAAGAAAAGGCTATACAAGATGACCTGGTTTAATATGTTGTTAGAACTGCAAGACAGCCCCATGCCTCCAAGTGGGTGTGTGTGTGTGTGTGTGTGTGTGCATTTACAGGAGTGATGGGCAGGGCATTGCTTGTTTTGGTTATTAGTTCCTTTTCATGCTTTCTGGTCTATTCATTTTTCTCCTTAGCCTTGTGGGAAATTAGCCAACAAATCATCAAGTGGTAAACATTGATACAGGAGAGTTCCTTGGTAAATATCCTCATGTAACATCTTGCCATGTGCTTATTTATTAGAAAATTTATGTATATATATTGTCTCTTACTTTGCATTTGAAAAAATATGGAGGACTAAGACTTTTCAGTTCGTAGTTCTACTTTTTGAATGGAGATTTCCTTAAGCAACACAGAAGAAGAAAAAGCTGAAAAGGAAAGGTAGCATAACTTCAACATCTATAGGGAATGTTTTTCTAAAATCTCAATCAACATGATATGCATATTTTTCAAATAAAATATGGCAAGGTAACATCTCAAATACAAATATGCTTATGAGGACTCTTAGAATTGTTAAAATTAGAGCCCTGCACTTATATTACCAGGAAAGCCATTTATAGTCTAGAAGACAGCAAAGTACATCCCGTTATAGCAAAAGTCTTTTTGTTTTCTATTGCCAAATTACCATAAAAGGAGAATGTCTGCTGAAATTAATTTTGTTCTTAATTTCAATCTGCAGACTGAGTGATTAACAAGCTATTTTTTTTTCTTGCAACCTAAGAAGCTGTTCTGTGGAACAATGTTATGATCCTATCATTTGCATTTAAATAAGCACTCTTTGTTTTGCATTTCTAGACATTGTTTAGTTTAAGATTAATCTGTATATTGGGGTTGATGGAATTGAAATAAGATTTATAGCCATGAATTCTTGATGTGATTGTTATAGGCAACTGGCTTTTCCTTTGGGTTTTGCATTCAAGTTAATTCATTTGGACTTGGAGGTAATAGAGCTCTTGTCTTTATAGAACTGCCTAGAAATCTTGTGTAGGCACGGAGGGCTTGAGCCAGAAAGGAGAGACAAGTGCAATCGGACTGTGCATGATGTTGCCACTGATGACTGCAAGCATTTGCTGGAGAATCTGAGTGAGTGATGTTCAGAGCTTATTGTTTATCTTTCCCCTATGCTGCTGGGGCCTCTGGTACAATGGGAAAAACTATTTACATCTTTTGCATGTCCTTTTTAACCTTTTTGGAGCCCTAGCTATGGCAAAAATACTGACTGTAAGTGTGATAATTAACTATTTTTCCGTGTAGAATGACTTTTTGTAGAACTAATTGCTATTCAAGTAATGCTGGTTTCTCCTTGTATTTTACTGACCTAGGACAGCAATCTAAATATTTATTGCATTTTTCTTCTGACTTAGATTGTCTTTCTAGATGTTAGACTGGCAGGATATGAAAAATCCCAGCTATGTACTCTGCATCAGCTGATTGTATGAGGCAGGCAAGTTGGTTGTCTCCCAGCACCTGGTCGCCTACTTTTCTATGAAGATAATTGATCATCTTTTGGGTCCCTTCCAGCTCCACGAGTATATGCTCCTCAGCATTTTATAAAGGCTCACTTGTGGGTTTATGAGTGTGGAGTATAGACCTTACAAAACATCATGACCTCTTATATTAAGATTATCACCCAATCCATCCAGTCAGCCAGCTGTATCAGTAATTCAATTTTAGGATAAGCAACATTTTAAAAATTGAAATAATGTTTTTATCTTCAACCTAATACATACATTCATATACTTTTATTTTGTGAAGAAAATTTCAGAATGGTAAGGAAGCATATATGCAAACTGTGTAAGTATACTTTAATATAAAATATAAAAGAGAATAATAGAAATTCTCTTTAAACCCGAGGGGGTTTTTTTGGTTGACAGAAGGCTTTATTTATCATTGAAGTCTAGGTTTCGGGTCCTTAAACTTTTGAATCGCTGCTCAGTGTCTGAAACAGTGTCTTATACAGAATTTCTCTAAAATAGTTCTCTTATTACAAGCTGATGCTAACCTAAGAACAAACATGGAACACTTTCTGTTGAGCTAAAATTTTATTATGGAATGTAAATGCTGTCATTTAATTATATTTCACTTTCTGATATTAAACATTTAAAAGTAGAAGGAATAAATATATATAGCTATGGTATCTTAGATGTGAAAAATATGAAGCATATTGGCATGGCTGGGATAGAGGTGTGATTAGAGGTGGGGAATTGGAAGGATGAGACAGCGCAATTGATGTTTTGGGCAGTTTAATGCTCATTTCAGTAGTTTTGACCTTACATTGGCAGTCAAAGATAAGCCAATGAGATTGTTGATAGTGCATAATGTGGTACAAATGGTGTTTTGGAATTCTGTAGGCAGCTCTTTCTGGGACAAATCAACCTATAGAGAGTCTGGAAACAGATCAAGCATCAAAAAGTTTTAATGATGTGTCCTCAGTTGGACCAGGGTGGAGGAGAGGGAAATGGTATATAATGAGAGGGATGGGAAATCCTAAAATTGAGGATTAAGGAGGACTTTATGAAATAAAGACTGATATGGGAGACCTGAGTATAATTTCTATCTCAGACATGTTGGCAGGATTTGCAGATGTACATCCTGTGGAAGACTGGACATTAGGTAGTGTGATTTAAGGGAAAGGGCATCTGAATCCCAGTATCCAGATGTCTGTGTAATGTTAGACAAGGTGCTTAGCCTTCTCTCACCTCAGTCTGCTCACCTGTTAATAGGGTTAGTAATTATTCGTATACCTGAGTGCAAAAGAGTGGATCATTTCTTAAGGTCTTTCTAAGATTCCAATTCTGACAATCTGAGAGAAGTAAAAAAGACAGGATATGCATTTAGATTATGATTACTTCCATAAGGCTTATGATAAAAGCTGCGAATGCAAATGAACTATAGAAAGTAAGTGGGGCCAGGTGTGGTGGCTCACGTCTGTAATCCCAGCACTTTGGGAGGCTGAGGTGGGCAGATCACCTGAGGTCGGGAGTTCGAGACCAGCCTGACCAACATAGAGAAACCCCGTCTCTACTAAAGAATACAAAATTATCTGGGCGTGGTGGCATATGCCTGTAATTCCAGCTGCTCAGGAGGCTGAGGCAGGAGAATCGTTTGAACCCGGGAGGCAGAGGTTGCAGTGAGCCAAGATGGCGCCACTGCACTCCAGCCTGGGTGACAGAGTGAGACTCTATCTCAAAAAAACAAAACAAAACAAAAAAAACCTGAAGAACAGAATATGTCAAAGAAGAACAAAGATGCACAATTATTTTCATTTATTCAACAAACTACTCCTCGCCTAAGCACATAGCTAGAAGTACTCTTGCATGTGTGTATCAGGAGACATATGAAAATGTGTGTTGCAGCATTGTGTGTAATACTAGAAAACTGAAAGCACTCTAAATGGAAATCTATTAGGAAATGGATAAATAGAATAAACTGTAGAAAATTCATATTTTAAAGGTACCAAGTAGCACTTAAAAATAAATTTTATCTATATAAATCACCTGAAATACATTAAAAAAGTGTTGAGTGAAGAAGTCAGTTATAGAAGGACACATAATATAAAACCATCTGTGTAAAAGTTTAAAAATACAACTCCAAGCCTATATTTGTTATAAGTACCACTAAATAAGGCAAAGTGTAAAAATATGCATAGGGGAGGTAAGAGCTTCCCTATGGAAGATTTAAGTGAAAATTGAAAGGCTGAGCCAAGAAAGAGTGGAAAATAGAGCCATTCCAGGTGAACTAGCAGCATATCTGGAGGCACTGAAGGGGATGTGCTTTGGAGTCTTTAGAGGTATTTAGCTGTATCTGCAGTGCTGGGGAGAGGAGGGAGATGAGTATGGGAAGTCTAGAGTCAGGTCATAAAAGGCCTTGTATTCCTTTTGACTCAATCTTCCATGTAAGTTTTGATGCAATCCTGTGGACATGAATGAACAATTGAACGATTGTAAGTGAGGAAGTAAGATGTAGGTAATGGGGAAATAATTGTCTTGATCTTGATACACAGGATACCATAGATGGGGAGCATGACTGGTACCTAGTAAGAGGGAAGGAGGGCTGAACAAGCCAGGGAGTCACAGGGCTGGAGAACAGGGTCATGGTTCAAGTCATAGGGGTGCTATGAGACAGGAATGATATACAGGGTGAGGGGAAAAGCAAACTGAAGGCCAAGCCCAGAGAAACCCCCATTTTTAGGGCAGAAAATATTTTTTAAAAATGACCCTAAAAGAAGATTGGGAAATAGGAAGGAAAAGAGCCAAAAAATAATGTTGTATGGTCAGGCATAGTGGCTCATGCCTGTAATCCCAGCATTTGAGGAGGCTGAGGCAGGAGGATTGCTTGAGCCCAGGAGTTCAAGACCAGTCTGGGCAACATGGCAAAACTCCATCTCTTCAAAAAATAAAAATAAATTGCCAGGCATGGTGACACGTGCCTGTAGTCCCAACTGTTGTCTGCTCCATGGGTGCTGAGGTGAGAGGATTACCTGAGCCAGGGAGGTCAAGGCTGCAGTGAGTCAAGGTGGCACCACTGCCCTCCAGCCTGGGTGACAGAGAAAGACCCTGTCTCAAAAAAAAAAAAAAAAAAAAAAAGAAGAAGAAGAAAAAGAAAACAATGGTGTAATTGGATTCAAGTTAGGAGACCTTTCCAACAGGAAGAATTAATTTAATAGTATCACATTCCCTAGACTATAAGGATTAAAAAGAGTCGATTGCATTTGGCAAATAGAAGTTACCGCTAACAGGGAGACAAGTTTTGTGCAGTTACATAGAAGCTGATTATTTTAAGCTGAGAATAATATGGAAAGACAGTGGAAAAAATCTCTGGTAGAATAGTTTTCTTCATCCATTGAATAAACACCTTTTTATTAATTCATTGAACATATGCTTATTGAGCTGCTCTTGTGCCAGTCACTATCTTAGCCACTTGATGTAAGTCAGAAAATTTTTAAGAAGATTGTTCTCATCCTGAAGCTTATAGTCTAACATTAAGAGATAAAATGAACAATAAATATAAGAAAAATTTATTTTTTGGCATTGTGAGGTGGTGAGATATGCTATGGAAAAGACTAAGGGGGATGAGGATTTAAAGGGTGTGTTTCAGCTTTTAAAATGGTGGCCAAGTTTGCCTCACTGATGAGACATTGAAGCCAAGGCTTGAAGGAGGTGAACAGGGCAGCTATGTGGATATCTAAGGTTCAAGAAGCTTTAGCACGAGTTGGACAGAGGCCTGAGGTAGCAGCATTCCTGTTGTGTCTGAGGAACTGCAAGGAGGGCAGGATGACTGGGTTAAAAGGAAAGAGAAGCAGGAAGACGGGTCAGAGCAGTAGCCATTTCAGTGTTTGAGTGCAGGAGAGCAGTTACAGGGTGGAGCGTGGCCTGATCTTGTTGGAATGCGTAGGCCATTGTAAGAACTTAAGGTAGCCATTGCAGTGTTCGATTGTAGGAGAGATGGGATCTGATGCACATTTTAACAGTAGCACTGGCTGCTTTGTTGAGAATCAGCTATAGGAAGTCACAGATAAATCAGGAACAGCTGTTAGTACATGCATATGGTATTCCAGGTGAGAGACAATTATGGTGGCTCAGTGTAGGAATGCAGCAGATGAGGTAATGAGAAGGACTTGGGTTCTGGATACAGTTGAAGGTAGAGTCAACAGAACTTCCTCATGGATTGAATGTGAAGTGTGAGGGAGTATAATTCAAGGTGTTCAGTCTGATAATTCAAGGTGTTCAGTCTGACCAACTGGCACGATGGAGTTGCCAGTACTTGTTAGGGGGAAAGGCCATGAGTGAAACAGATTTTCTCATGTAGTTGGGGAGTTCAGATTTGGATGCAGGAATTTGAGATGTCTCTTAGGATATCTGTGTGGAGATGTCAAGTCAGCAGGAATTCCTGAGACGAGTGAGAGCTGGGTGAATAAATGTGAAGGTCAGCAGTCTATCAGTGATATTTAAAGTCATGGGACTGGATGAGATCACTAAGGGAATGAACATGCACAAAATAAATAGAGAAAGGAGCCCCAAAACACACTATCATTAAGAAGTCTGGAAAAGGTGGAGAGAACAACAAAGGAACAACATTAAAGAGCGACCGAGGAGGTACAGGAGATCCAGGAGGAGTATATCAAGGAGCAAAGAGAGATCACTTTTGTCAGATACTGTGGATAAGTAAGATGACTGAGAGTCAGAAAATGGAAAATAAGTAATCCAGCAGTTGGTTACTTAATGGAAAAATCTAAGTTTAAGAAGAGGATCATATAAACAAACACATGTTGTTTTAAAACATTTTAATTTTAAAGCATACAAAGGAATTTTTTACCAAAGTTTAGATAGAGGTCTTTAGTACAGGTTCTACTGATTAAAATTTCACATACTCTTGTTTGAAAAAAACATACCTTTGATGCATCATCTATGATTTCTAATGTTTGACTGCTTAAACACATTTATGAAGCAAACTAAAGGTAATACCTGTCCAGAGATTATTAAACCATTTCTAATTTCATATAGTTGTCCCATTTATACCTCATTAGATAAAATTTTTTAACAGTTCCTAAACTGTCTCTAAAGGATTCAACTTAGTTTTCATAGGAACAGTAACTCATATTTCATCAATTTATGGAATACTTAATTCAATAATTATAGTCATCAGTTCAATGAACATAGAATATTTGGAAACAAACACAAGTAACTCAGCATACAATTCAGTCATGAGAACAGAAGTAGATGGGGGTGCTACCCACTCTGCTGGAGCCTCAGTCGGAGAAATTGGAAAGAACATTTCAAAAGTTAAATCCTGCTACCCTGTTAACCATTTATCAAATACTTACTGGTATTTACCACATAAGAATATGTAAAATCTATTACAAAAGTAAGTTCATTTATTTTTCACACCAACTCGATATACATTCCCTCCATTTTATGGAAGAAATTGGGGTACAGAGAGATCAATTTACAAGAACACGCATCTATAGGAGGCTGACCCTGACTCTGCGGTTCAACCCAAGGTCTATATGATTCTCAGTTACTATCCTAAGCATCCCGACCTGTCCAACTATAACCTGCCTCATCCATGACATTATCTATGAAGGAAAGGAGAATATAGAGAATTCAGGGTCAAGGGAGGGTTATAGTTCTTTCAGATTTTTTTTTTTAAAACTTGACAATCTTGCTGATGGGAAAGAGTTAATGAAATAGAAAAAGCCAAAGATACAAGGAAAGAGACAGTTCGTGCAGCGTGCTTCCAAAGAAACTGAAGAGATTGGGAGACAAAAGTTTACTCCAGTGTAAGAACGTTCAATGTAATGTTATTTAATGAAATAAAATAGCTTTGGTTTATAATTTTTAAATGTTTATATCTGCTTATTTTATGTAATAGTTTTACTTTTTTTTTCTGTCCAGATTTTTTTAACTCCTAATTCTTTTACTCTTCTAACAGATGCTCTTAAAATACCCTTAAGGATTTCAGTGGGTGAGATTGAACCAAGCAACTATGGTTCTGATGACTTGGAATGTGAAAACACAATATGTGCTTTAAATATCCGCAAACAGACATCATGGGATGATTTTTCAAAAGCAGTGAGTCAAGCTCTGACAAATCATTTCCAGGCAATCTCTTCTGATGGATGGTGGAGTCTGGAAGACGTGACTTGCAATAACACCACTGATTCCAACATCGGCCTCAGTGCAAGAAGCATACGATCCATCACGCTAGGTATCAGCAGTCCTATGACGGAGAGAAAGTGAAATTTCTGGGTTTATTTATGTTTGTGGGTTTCATAACCTGATTCTTAGTTCATTGATTAAGCACATTCAAAGCTTACTTGTGGCAGCTGCCGGTGCTGAAAAACTTGAGTATTCACAATGTAGCCATTATGTAATGTTGCCTGTTAATATAAAAATGCTTTTATGCCCCAAATAATACTCAGAGAGTAAAAAACATGAAAGCCGTTGATGAGGCTTTGTGATTGCACTTGCTATTCTAGATAAATGCAAGAAACTAAACACCCCACAGCTGCTTGCTTTTGCGCAAGTACTGAACACAGCTCAAAATTTGTTCTTGGGTTGGGCCAGGAGCACTGTAGTGCATTAGTACCTTATCTCCAGGACAGATTTTCTGATGAAGTCTAGACTTGAAAGAAGCACTTTAATAAAGATATATTCAATGCTCCCACATGGGATGAATCAGGGTGGTAATTGGTTATTTCAATTTGATAGACAGCACAAAACAGATTCCAAGGAACTTACGAGATTTGCTTTCTGCTGAGCATAGTAAGTTCTCTGTAAATATTAGGTGTCCCTGATTAGTTCCTTTCTTCTTGGTCCAGGAGAACTACCTTCTATGGGAAATCTGCCCCTTTGCAAGGACTGTATTGGGTGCTTATAAAAGGTCCTTTCAGTGGTGTCATTTTACAGATAACTCCGTACAAGATGACTTGCTTGAGAGCACAGAACTAGTGAGCAAAGCAGACAGGATTCAAATCATATTCTGTCTGATAGAAAAGCTTGTGTACTTTCAACAGCACCGTATTGGAAAAGAAAGGTCCAAGGTTGAGGGAAAAGTGGGCTTTTTACCATTGCTATTTATCTGTCAGATTGTTACATCAGAAAGTGTTTTATTCTGTTTACCCATATATGTTTATTCACTTTCAAAACATGTTACTAGTTTTTAGAGAAGAGTATTCATGACAACTTGATTTTATGGATCTTTGGCATGATCATTAAAATTACTATTATTGGCTGTGCATGGTGGCTTATACCTATAATCCAAGTGCTTTGGGAGGATGAGGCAGAAGGATCACTTGAGCCCAAGAGTTCAAGACCAGCATGGGCAACATACTGAGACCTCATATTTACAAAACAATTTTTTTAAAATTAGGTGGGTGCGGTCACATGCACCTGTAGTCCCAGCTACTCGGAGGCTAAGGTGGGAAGATCCCTTGAGCCCAGGAGTTTGAGGCAGCAATGAGCTATGATGAAGCCACTGCACTCCAGCCTGAGCCACAAAGACCCCATCTCTTTAAAAAAAAAATTATAGAATTGTTATAATGTACTTAAAATTGCATTAAGAAATGATTCAGTTCTTAGGAACACATTTTGTCCACACATGGAGTATTACTCAAACTGTGGTTCTGGCCCAGGGTCTGATAAACAAAGTCAGTACAACTGTGTTTTGAAGGAAATGGCCCCCCATCAGCCTTCATTCAGCTAATGTGGAAACTGACAAAGGCAGATGGATATTCACTGCCAACAGATAAGTTTACCTCTGTGAACAGTGCATGCTAAGGCTTGATTATTGCAGTGTTCATGCTTGTCTCAGAGGTATAGAGCACCCTAGTAGCATTTCACATCGAAAAATCGTTGAGTTTTGTGGATAAAGGACTTAGTTTAGTGCCTCGCTGTAACCACTTCATAATTGGTAATTATTAGTGTTATTATTGTGTGTATGTAAGTGAGTTTGCTGGATTCATAACCTAAGCTACATGAAAGGAACTTCAGGTCAGCAGATAAACGCAATTACAGGTGAGTGTGCATGTATATTGGAGGCATGCTGAGAATAGATACTTAAGAATTGATCTGTGGAAGGAAGAGATGAAAAAAAATACTTATTACCAATCATCCCCTAGGGAAGATACCTATGAAGTGGAACCCTTTCAGAACAAGAGTGAGCAGAGGGCCCGCAATGGGAGAAGGCCTGCCTTGTTCTGAGCACCTGAAATTATCTTTTTTTTTTTTTCCTGGAATCTAAAAATTTGCTGGAAAGAGGCTCAGGGACCAGATCATAAATGATCTCATATCTCACCCAAAGTGCTCAGGCTTTGAGAAACAAGCTTTGGAAGAACCCTGAAACAGTTTTAGATTATGGACAGCCTTGTTCTTGAGAGCTTAACCCTAGAAATATCTGAGTGGATATATTTGCTTTCTAGATCTCTCCCTGAATCCCTCCTATGGGCTGCTTTGGAGAAGTCTGTAGATTGAAAGCCTTCCTTTCAACCTTCAACAAGAATTTCATTAGGGAGCTAACCCCTTGTGTGGCCCTATATGTGTTCCGTACATGCCTTTGACAATTAAAGCTCTGAATTCCTTAGGGTTCTCACAGAAGAGAGCATATGTTTACCCTTGTGAGAAAAACCACTCATAAGCTTCCCTTGACATTTTATTTCATTTTTTGAAACTAGGAAATGTGCCGTGGTCAGTGGGTCAGAGCTTCGCGCAGTCCCCGTGGGACTTTATGAGGAAGAATAAGGCAGAGCACATCACTGTGCTTTTGTCAGGTAAGGATGTCCCTAACTAAGGTGACGTTTAAAGAGTGTTTGCTTCATGGCTGCCTCAGAGCACCAGTTCTTAAATCTTCACGTTTCATCCCATGTCTTCTAGCCACGCACATGTGAGTTCCACCACTAGGTAATTAGATGTTTTTAAAATGTTTGATTAAGGGGAGGAAAACTCAAAAGCTATGTTCTTGACACCCATGGTAATGTCTGTCTGGATCATTGATGCCTGTCATTCTGATTGCATCACTCACTGGAAGTAAACCAGAGGCCAAACTGGCATGCTGATAAGAGAGTGACAGAGACTGTGTTAAAAGAGAAATGTCTTTTTTTTTTTTTTTTTTTTTTTACTGTGCTTAATAATGCTTAATACGATGATCACGATGGTACAGGCTAATGTTTAGTGAGCACCTGCTATGTGCTAGACCCTGTTGTTTATAGCATACTATAAGTATCAAATCATTTAATTCTCATAACCCAATGAGATATGCATTTCTGCTTATCCCTATTTTATATCCAAGGAAATTGAGGCTCTGAGAGATTGATATTCTTGCCTAAGGTCATGCTGCCACTAAGTGGTATAGGAATACTCAATTTCTCAGCCCTTGATGCTAAACAGCTATGGATTTCATCATGTATTTCCCATACTTGGGAATGGAGTCTGAAAATTCAATCTTAACTAATAAAGATTTATTTTATTACTTGAACTGGACTTACTGAAGTTTAAAGAAAAGTGTGAGGCCACCCCAGAAAATTGCTTTAGGCCCAAACAATGTATTGAGAGAATGGCAGAACTTGGGGGGAGGGGTGGCGAGTATTGCCAGTGGACCTAACGGTGGCCAAGGCTAAAGCTTTCTGAGGATTGCAATGATCTATGATAACTTTTACTTATGAACTGTAAAACATCAAGCCCAGCAATCAGCAGATACTGGGCACAGTGTTTGGGCTGGGATCGGGAGGCCCTGTCTATGGTTGCTGGGAGGTAGGTGGGCATCCCAGGGGGTGGAGGAAGGAACAGCTGGGAGCTCTTGGGAGGTCAGGAGCAGTGGCAGTTTATCAGCCAGAACAAAGTGTGAGGATATTTTCACAACAGAAAGGCACATTGGTGCCTCCTGGCCAAATGTCAGCTCTGCCTACATAAGTCAACAAACACATTCATCTTCTATGATAGATTCTGTTGTGTTTTGATCGTTTATATTTAACAAGGGAACACCCATTTTTCTTCGTCTGTCCTTTCCTACAGGTCCTCAAGAAGGCTGTCTCAGTAGTGTGACTTATGCCTCCATGATCCCTCTCCAGATGATGCAGAACTACCTCAGGCTGGTAGGTGGACACTGCTGGGTGGAGACCTGTGTTTTCCATCCCTGCCACTGGAAAATTGGGTGGCCCATTTTTATGTTTAAAGGAGGAGTGCAAGCCCCCCCACCCTGTGCTCTGACACCGTTACCTTCCCCACCAGCCCCCTCCCTGGCAGGCTGCCCATTACATAGTCTGGATTTCTGTCACTGTCATCCAGGTATCTATTGCCTGGATCCAGAGACCACCTGTGACCTGTGAAATGCCATAATTTGGGCAGGAGCAGGATGTCTTCCTTTAACAAGGACTTGATGTCAAGTAAATGATGATCAATATGAAAGGGAATGGCCACAAATATCAAGATGCCTTACTATAAACTTTTATAATTTAAAATTGAGTAAAGATGCTAGCATTAGTGAGAAGGTTAATTTGGCCACTTTAACGGAAACCAAATAATTACAGCTTAAACAGGATAGAAGTTTATTTTTCTTAAACATATAAGTCCCAGCAGGTGAGAGGCCTGAGGAAGGAGAAGTGGCAGGGTGACCTCCCCAGGATCTCAGCACCCTTTCTCCCTGCTCCACTCTTCCCTGGGATGTTGTTTGTGTTGCTTGGTCAAAGGTAGTCACCACTCCCACTCTCACTTCCTAGCTGGAAAGAGAGAACCTGGAGGGCAGGCCTTTCCTTTCAGGGGAATTGCACACGTCATTCCTGCCCACATCCCATTCAACAGAACTTAAGACACCTATCGGTGCCTAGCTGGGAAGTGGAGCCTTTTGCTGGGCAATTGTGCACCCACCTAAAACCAGGTGGTCTGTTACTAAAAGGAAGAAGAAGAATATGATCATTAAAAGAAAGTAGCAAATTATAAATGTAAAATGGATAAATGTAATGCTTTGCATTCATTAAATACTTACTACATGCCAGGCAATATGCCAAGTGCTGTTATGACTTATTTTATTTATTCTTCAAAACATCCCTATGAGATAATTTCATCCATTTTACAGATGGGGAAACTGAACAGAGAGAGGTAAAATGCTCAAAGTCATGCATCTAGCAAGTGATGAAGCCAGGATTGTGCAAGTCTCTGATGTGTATGAGATCAATCTGAAACTAATACTACTGGTATAAAACATTAAACATAATTTTGCTTGCTGCCTTAATTTCGATGACCTTTTTAAATAAATGAGTTGGAACTATGACCCTTGACAAAAGTTGTTTCCATAGACTGTGAATTGATGCCTTTGTTTTCACGCCTTATGAAAAGAAGTATTCAAAACCATTCCATTGATCATCTAGCCAGGCTCACAGTTAGGATTAGCTTTTGTACCAGCAGCCACAGTAGCAGAGAAACATTCAAAGCCTCACAGTGTAGAAAAGGTGGATTCTCCTGAATCTGATACTTTGACTTCTTTGCTTTACTCTTTGTCCCCCTTCCTAAAAGCATGAAAGTATGCCTGTGATGGGAAGGAGATGTATATCATTACTTGGCTTAAGTGAAGGTTGAAGGGTGTGATCAACTGGTTTTCAGGAATGTTAGCCTCAGTCTCTCAGTAGAATCAGCTGGTAGAACCACTCCCTTCTCTCCCCTTCCCCCTTGTCAGCTTCTCCGTACAAGGCAAGGTTCTGACCCAGGGCTTTTCCTTCATCCATTAAGATGATAAAACTGCAAATTAGCGTTGACTAGCAAATCTGTAAAATGAAATGTCTGCTAGTCACATTATATGTAAAATATTCCAAGTACACTTATATATGTGTCTGCTTATACATAAGACATAATTTCACTACCAGTTAACAGCAAATCAGAGACCAAAACTGTTGTTGATTCTATATTGAATTCAGTGAGTGTACATAAAAGACTTCTTTAATCCAACAATTAACTCTTGAATGAATATAATAAAAATGTATCACTTATTTCAGCAGTCACTGCAAAATTTAAAGTGACTGAGACAACAATATATCATAATGGTTGTGAATGTTTTCTCTTCCATAAACAATTATAATCCCCTTAAGAGCATAGGCCCTGTGTTATGTATTTTTGTGTCCTGTTATTTCAGTTGTTTCACAACTGTTTATTGAGAGCCTCTTAAATGCAGGTGGTGTTTTAGAAACTGAGGATAGAGCTATGTATAAGACACATTGCCTGGCCTCATACAGTTTACCTTCTAGTGGTAAAGAAGGCAGATTTAAAAAATATCAAATGAATAAATGCACATGTAATGTGATGACCAGCACCAACACAAGTGTAAAGAAAAATAAAGCAGACAAGGAGATAAAGAGTGGGTGGACGGGGAGGCAGAAAGCACTATTTTTAGATGGAGTTATCAGGAAAGATCTTACTGTAATGACATTTGGACTGAAAAACAAATGAAATGAAGAGAGTCGCCTTGTGGAGGGTGTTTGAGGTACAGGGAACCGCAGACACAAATGTGTCTAGGTTGACAGTGAAGTCTGGGAAATGATCAGAAACTAGATCATGCAGGAATATGGCAAAAACTTTGAATTTTACTCCAAGTGGATAGGAAGCCACTGAGGGAATTTGAGCCAGAGAATGGCATAGCTTCCCAGTTCCACAAATAACTACAGGCACATTGATGTGTGTTGAATTGTTGGAAATCTGTACAGTAGATATACAAATGTAGTAATTGACTTTGTTTACCTTCAACTTTTATTTTACGTTCTGGGGTACATGTGCAGTTTATTAAATAAGTAAATGTGTGCCATGGTGGTTTGCTACACAGATCATCCCATCATCTAGATATTAAGCCCAGCATCCATTAGATATTCTTCCTGATGCTCTCCCTCCCGCCAGCCCCCACTGTGACAGGCCCCAGTGTATGTTGTTCCACCCCCTCCACCATGTGTTCATGTGTTCTCATCATTCAGCTCCCACTTATAAGTGAGAACATGGAGTGTTTGGTTTTCTGTTCCTGCATTAGTTTGCAGAGGATTATGGCTTCCAGCTCCATTCATGTGCCTGCAAAGAACACGATCTCATTCCTTTTTATCATTGCTTAGTATTCCATGGTGTATATGTACCACATTTTCTTTATCCAGTCTATAATTGATGGGCATTTAGATTGATTCCATGTCATTGCTATCATCCGTAGTCTTGCAGCAAACATACGTATGCATGTATCTTTGTAATAGAATGATTTATATTCCTTTGGGTGTATACGCAGTAATGGGATTGCTGGGTCAAATGATATTTCTGCCTCTAGAAAGAAATGAGGAGTCGCCACACTGTCTTCCACAGTGGTTGGATTAATTTACACTTCCACCTACAGTGTAAAAGTGTTCCTTTTTCTCCACAACCTTGCCAGCATCTGTTGTCTCTGGACTTTTTAATAATACCATTCTGACTGGCGTGAGATGGTATCTCATTGTGGTTTTGATTTGCATTTCTCTAATGATCAGTGATGTTGAGCTTTTTTTCATGTGTTGGCCACATGAATGTCCTTTTGAGAATTGTCTACTCATGTCCTTTGCCCACTTTTTAATGGGTTTGTTTGTTTTCTTGTAAATTTGTTTAAATTCCTTGTAGACTCTGGGTATGAGACCTTTGTCAGATGGATAGATTGCAAAAATGTTCTCCTGTTCTGTAGGTTGTCTGTTCACTCTGATGACAGTTGCTTTTGAATAGCTAACCTTTTATTGAGCATTTATTATACACCAACCTCTATTCTAAATATATGGATAATCTCATTTAATCTTTCTATGAGATAGATACTCCATACAAGTTAGATTTTACAGGTAAATAAACAAAGACTCAAAGTAATTTACCCAGCGTCTTCAGCAATTAAGTAGTGGGACCCAAGGAGTTGAAACTAGCCTTTCTGCCTACTCATGCATGTAATCATAGTTTATTAGCCTAGGTTATTAGCCTATTGATTAAGCATTGCAGTACCAGTTGTTACTATGTATGCAAATATATTATATAAAATGCATGTGTTAAAACCCTTATGCAGAAAACCACATGTAGTGAAGACTTTAAATCAGGATTCTGTTTCTGTTTCTGTTTTTTAAAATGATGTTATTTTTAAATACTTTTATTGTTAAAAATAATACAAGTACATTTTAAATCTCCACCCTTGATTTAATAGGGGAAATATTCAACCCAATTGAGTTTTGAATCACTAGTAATTTATTGTAATTGTTGAATTTTTTGCATTAACTTAAACATTTAGCCAGTTGCAATTTTTGTTAGGTTATTTGAAACCTCGTGTTTTAATAATTCAGTGACTATGAGTAATTATGATATTAGAAAAAATGCTGGAGTTCGGTCATCTTGATCTGAGTGCTTCTTTAAAATTAAGACTCTGAATGTCCAGGATGGGATCCTTGAGTTTCTTCTACCTGTTTTTCATTCACTTCAATATGTGCCATGCCAGTCACTGAGAATCATCACTAGGAGAGCCTAGTTATTCTCCGTACATTCCCAAAATAAGTTTGCTACTTTCCTATAAAAATAAGGTTGTAAGTGATAGTTATGTGTCTAAGACATCCCACAACCCTGGTAGCAGAGGGCCAGCTCTAGTCTGATCTTTCTTAGGAAAGGGAGGAGCAAGCCTGGGTGAGGTCCTAGTGAAAGTGGGAAGCAGCTGGTTGCCTGATATGAGGAAGAGGCAGCTCTGCTACCAGTGGAACATTTGACTTCCACAGCAATAGTGGAAGAGGATCCTGGGCAGTAAATGTCAGCCTAGAAAAGGTCTAAAGCAGAAAAACTTCATGAATTCCAGAGGCTGGCTGACAAGGGAGCAGTTATGTCTAAAAGTTCCATCTTATAGTTTTATGTTTTTGAAGTAGCTGTAATACCCAAATTATTATGTCTGTATCAATAAATGGGGACCTGTCTATATTTGAAGTTAGTAACCCAGTCTGCTATGTATGTGAACTGTAATTTCTCTTAAATTCCTATTACTCTTATACCTCTTCTTTAAAAGGGACCTCAACAAATGATTAAAATGCTTTCTACCGTGAAGAATTCCAGTTTTTTATATTCCAAATGCTGGATGTACCAATATTGTTTGAGGAAATTTTATGTTAATGAATAGACCGTAATTGTGCCATCAGTGGCTCTAAAGTCACAAGTAAATTAGTTATTTAAAATCAGGTGTCAGATATGGGTGGAATGAAATTTGTAGCTATAAAACATGTGATTTTAACGGTCCCAATTTTATTGGCTCCATAATGCCCTTTTATTTTTCGTTTTTGTTTAGTCAGCACAAGCTGGCCTAGAACTGTTTCTGGACAGAAGTTCCTTTTCCTCACACTATGTGTGACAAGTGAAACTCCAAATAAAACTTGGGATTTATTGCTTTAAAATGCCACCGCTCTGCAAACACATTACAGGTGCCACATCAACAGTAGTGGAAATCACAGCTCCTCTGGTAAACCCCATTCTGCAGGAAAGCATTGTGGAGGAAAAAAATAGAGATGCATGGTCTATTGTTGAGGTCACTTGTTTCCATTTAATCCAGAATCTGTTTGGCTCACAAAGCACTAATTGACATGTGATGAGCTTCCTGAATAGTCTGTGAAGACACAAGAATAAAAGGGATTGGTACCAATTGTGATAATGAGGCCAGTGTCCCTTTATCAATAAGCAGAAATGTCACACTATAAATGTGCACTTAGGGGATAATTCTGGTAACTACAATTAAGACTGTAATTTTAAAAGTTGTGTTTGATCTTTTTCAAAGAACAGATCTCCTTTCAATACAATTAGAATATTTATATCCCACTTTCCCCAAAAGATCTGCCTACGTATCTATCTTTAGAGCCCTCTGCTGGAAGCGTGGAGTATATATATTCATTATACCCAAGATCTTGATTACTTGGAGAAATATGATAACTTCAAAACAATATGTAATGTCTTAGCAAAGCTTTGCATGTTCGACCCGGTTCTGATAGAGTAACAGGTTCCCAGTAATTAAGGTTTTTTTTTGTTGTTGTTCAGAATTTAAATGGTAACCAACATGACTATATCATTTGATGAGATAACAGAATACCATTTACCAAAAATTGGTAATACCTGAAATGGAGAGAAACCTACGAATGAAATGCATGCATTAAAATGTATGAATGATGTGGAAGTATATACATTTGTTTTTCTCTTTACCTACCTAATTCAGTTATTTATTTATATTTCTGCTTTATCCCATGAGGGACATTAGACTATGTAAATGCAAAGGGCTTACATCTAGTGAATGGCCTTTTCAATGAAATTTTAAATTGAATGTTTCCTGCATGTGTTTCCTAAAAACCTACAGTCTGAGAACAAATGAAGTGTTGCAACTAAAGACAGCTTCTTTATGAAGTTGGGTCTCTTTATGTTATTTGATTTCAAAATCAATCTTAAGAAAGTGTCGGCAGTTTGACAGGATGGCCATAATGAATAGAGCACTCTTGTTCTCAGAAGTGAGACAAGATTAAATAGCCACGCTAGTTGAAAATCTCTGGGGTAAATCTTGAAAATCTTTAGCCTGTTTATTTTCAGTAAATCTTAAAAATTGGTATCCTGTTTCACTGGTATGAAATGATACATTACTTGTGAAAAAAAATTCTACCCAATAAATCATAGCGATTTGGGATTAATTTGGAAAGCTCAAGAGCTCCGGTTTAAAATTGCACCTGGCTAGCAAATTGCGTACCTAATAGACAATTTCCCACTGAAGTACTTTTGAAAACTGACAAAACCTCAGTCACAGAAAAATAGAACTGAAATCTCTCTTTGGCAAGAATCTGGAAGCATCTTCTACTATCATTAAGACTAATAGAGTATTAGGCCCATTTATGTGAGGCCTACCTGAAATTAGGTAGGAAATATTATCATCCTTCCTCTACCATCTTCCTGGTGATTAAAAAAAAAATAAAAAAAGATTTATACCACTTAGAAAATTGGGCATTTATCCTTTACTGCATAGTCTCTGCTTTTTGCAGCACTATGATATTCTTCTCCACTCCCAGGAGTCCTTTCCACATCCATCTGAAGACTGCGGGTCCTAGAAATACCTGGACAAAAAGTTGGTGGGGATTAGTGAGACTGTGCTACATCCCAGGTGGTGGATTCTCTTTAAGCACTCAGCAGGGATGGAGACAGGAGCTGCTGGGCTGTGGTGCTTCCTGGGACTGTGGTTTATCTTCATACATTGTCTGCTGTGTTGGACAGTAGGAGTTCATTCCATTGCAGCCATTGCTAGACCCAGGAGTTTAATCAGCAACTGCAGACACCAAGTTTTCATCCACCCACTGACCCAAGAAGGAGATTCAGCCACCCAATTTGTGGACAGCCAGTGAAGCCAGTGGTGGTCCACACATCCTGGTTTCCTGCAAAATTCTTCCTCTGGTTTCATAGTACATAAACGAATAATAACAAATTAACCATATACCTCTGGAAGAATACTGCAGAACAGTTTTCAGTCTGAAAACTCAGGGAAGAACACACCCTTAAATTATTTGCTAGTGTCTTAGTCCATTCAGGCTGCTGAAACAAAATATCGTAGACTGGGTGGCTTACAAACAACAGAAATGTATTTCTCACAGTTCCAGGGTGTGGAAAGTTCAAGATCAGGGGGCCAGCAGATTCAGTGTCTGGTTAGGGCCTGTTTCCTAGTTCATAGATGGCACCTTTTCATTCAATCCTCAAGTGGTGGAAGGGGCAAGGGGTTCCCCTTAGCCTCATTTGTAAGGGCACTAATCCCTCCTAACAACCCCAACTTCTAATACAATCACCTTGGGGGTTAGAATTTCAACATATGAATTGGAGCCAGGGGAAGCAACACAAACATTTTGACCACAGCAACTAGGAAAAACAGAAAAAGTTTGGAAAATTATGTTGTCTACAGGATGCAAGGTGGTAGACTATGAAAGCAGGGCAAGAAAGTCATAGTAGAGTCTGGGCTTAGATTACAAGGAAAAGTGTTAGAAAGGAGATGGATGAGGTAAGGAACTATAAGAACAATTGAAAATGCAATGGCATAAAGTTGCACTTGACTATAGAGAACAGAAGTGAGATCGTGAATATTTTGCGTGTTGTGCAAGACTAACTTGAGCTCTCTCAATGCAAAAGAAGACAGAGCTATAATGATGAGATAAGATGACAGATACTCGCAGAAAAAAGAGAACTTAAGCATTATAGGTGTTCATTATAGTTAAAGAGAACTAGAAGAGGAGAAATTACCAAAAAATTGGAGAAAAATGTCCTAATCCAAAAAAATTATGACTATGCATATCAAAAGGACTTACCATGTTCCATTTAAGATTAGGAGAAAGAGGCTATAACTAGACATATCTGGGCAGCATTTTTTAATGAAAAGTACAATCTGTACGTCACCCAGGCTTCCCCATCTCATAAGTATAAATGAAAACGTATTACTTTTCAATAATTATTATTTAATAATAATGTATCCCTGCAGACTTGTGGCCCCATTGCCTTACTGCTTAGAGGCAGAACCTCAGCAGCACTTTCTAGGGTAGTCTTTCCTGTGTCTCTGGGGAAGTTCTTGCTCCAGGTTTGGTCCTTGCCTGCACCTCCACCGTAAGCCTTTTATTGAAGGTGTACTAATAATTGAACAGTATTCCAACTCAGAGAATATTACGGGAGGCTACCAGACATGATATCTTTCAGAGCCTAAAACCCAGTCCCAAGCCCAACATCAAGGAGCCCCTTAAAGGACCACTGCCCTCTTAGCTCATGGTCTGAATCCTGGTGGTCATGCCTGGCTTTCCTCCACTTCCCAGAAGTGCTCACCAACCTTCCTTAGTCTCCTTAGAGGCCAAACCTCATGTCTTTTTTCTTTTTAACCTTGAGACAGGGTTTCGCTCTGTTGCCCAGGATGGGGTGCAGTGGCATGATCTTGGCTCACTGCAACCTCCACCTCCCGGGTTCAAGCGATTCTCCTGCCTCAACCTCCCAAGTAACTGGTATTACAGGCACCCACCACCACACCTGGCTAATTTTTGTATTTTTAGTGGAGATGGGGTTTCACCGTATTTGCCAGTCTAGTCTTGAACGCCTGACCTCAAGTGATCCGCCCACCTTGGCCTCCCAAAGTGCTGGGATTAAAGGCGTGAGCCACCACGTGCGGCCCAAAGCTCAAGTCTTAAAGGCCTAGGGTAAGGAAAAAGTTTAGTTCATCTCTTATGCTAAGAGCTTTTCTTCAAGCCTTCCTTTTATATCCCACAATCTGCCTCCTTGTAATGATGGACTGGGGCATTTTTACTATCTTCACAGAAGTCCATCCCAGCTACCATAAAGGATGGGCCTTTTCCTGTGATCTCAAAGGGACAACCTCATCAGAGTACAAGAGAGAGACAACACAGAGATACACACACACATTCTTACATTGTCCTGTTCTAGATTATAGAGAGAACAAACTCAAAACTTCTCTAAGTCTGGGTGGCTCAATCTTCACTTGAGCAATATCAACTGTATCAGTTAGGTTGGACCCTCACCTGTCCAAGTCCTTTCCGGCAAGACCTTGCTGCAAGACCAGCTTTCCATTAAGAAAGCTTCTCCCAAGCATGTGTGCTGGGCAGGGTGCAGGGGTGTCAGCCCTGGGATGACAGAAGTGGGAGGCTAACTTTCCTCTCCATATTTTTCTCAAGACATCGCTGCCTTTGCCCTGTGTAGATGATAATTGCCTTTCCATCCAAGTGCATGCTGAAACTCCATGTTCTCAGGCGAGGTATCCTTATACACGAGGATAAAGTTTAAAAAATATATATAAGCATACAGGCAGGAGATTTTCTTTTTGACAAAGCGAAAGTAATCCATCTCTACCTAGATTTCTTTAAAACACTGAATTCCAGAATGGAATAATATATAAAGTTGATCTGAGTTTTATACTCATCAAAACATCTTTTACCTAAGAAGTCAACACAAAGACATTATCTGATATACAACAGCTGTAAAAAGATGACACTCATGTACCCATCTTTTAAACATACACACACACACGCAGCCACTATGCAAAGAAAAAACTGGAAGGAAACAAAAATATTTACGGTGACTGTGGGTGCTGACACTCAGTAATTTTTTATTCTTCTTTATATATACCAAAATTTCCATAATGAAATGCATTACTGTTTTAACCACGAACAAGCTAAATAAGCATTGACAAAATTCCACATAAAGAGCATCTGCAAAGGATAATATAGAAAAAGTTACAGAATTTCTGGAAGGGACAAAATGAACTTGGAACTGTGTGTCTCAGCTACCCTGCAGACCCTCGCTATGGAAAATAGAGGGAAAAAATGTGTTTTTTTATAAAGTATCAGCTCTTGCTAAGTACCCTTTGCCCATGTTTCACATTCAAATGAGAGTACAGGTGTCCAATGATAAAGCTAATCTCTAAAATATTGTTTTTAATCTTTTGAAAGTATGAGGACAATCAAAAAAGAATTCCACACCTGTGTACCACTTTTTTCTCTCATCAATTTAGCATCTTCACCCTAGCTCTCTACTTGGTTTGTTAATAGGTTGAGCAATATCATAATGTCATTTTCCACGGCCCAGAAGGAAGCTTGCAAGACTACATAGTACATCAGCTTGCACTCTGCCTGAAGGTATTGATTACTTGTATATCAGCTGCTTTTCTTTGAAAATTGGCAAGTGCGTAGAACTAATCACCCTATTTTCTTATCACAGCACAGACAAATGGCTGCAGGATTCTCCTGTGAAATAGTGAGAGCTGAAGTAGATGCTGGTTTTTCCAAGGAACAGCTACTAGACCTGTTCATTAGTAGCGGTAAGAACATTTCAGCAAATTGCCTGTGATAACCTAAAGGCATGCTCTTCAATTATGCCATTAAGAGAAAATACACTGTGTTGCTTGGGGATACATTTAAGATAACTTTAATTATTCAGCAGCTGTGGGATAAACACTTGCAAAAATTATCTTCATGTGTATATTATTGCATTTGTTGAGCATCCTGCATTTTTTTCTTCTTTTTGTTATTAATCATTAATTGTTGCTAGCATACTGTCTTACTGGCACTAGTGGTATACCAAGGGAGGAGGTGGTAGGAGCAGTTCACCCTAGCTGGACTAGGTATTGCATCTTTGATGCTGTTTAGAACTGCTGGAGCATGGTGGTGATACACAGCAGATCAACTTTTTAGTAAATTTTATTACTCATAAATTCTCTACAACCAATACATCCCTTAGTGCTGCACCTGGGGCCAACCACTTTCTCTACCTCACTCTTGCTATGCCATTGACTGGCACTTAGTGAAATACATCACATGCACTAATTAACTCATTCAGTCTCCACAACAGCCCTATGCAAGTGTAGGTATCATTATTTCTACTTTCAAAGGTGGGGAAAGGGTCACAGAGAGGTCCAGTAATTTGCCACAGCTATGGTAGTAGCAGCACCGGGATTAAATATGTTTATTAATGTAATGTTATTAATGAGTTTTCGATCTTAGATTCCAGGGTCTAATACCCCACGTTTCATCACAGGTGGAATTAGCATAACCCTGCATTGCATACTGTAGAATAGCATAACTAGTGACTCTGACACAAAACTGAAATGGACCAGACTTTAGTCTCCTAGGGCTGAAAGCCACAGAGACCCCTGGGGAAGGGGCGAAGGAAGCAGTTGTAAGATTGGAGAAGGATAGGTTGAAATGCAAATTCAAAATCTCTTTGTTGGGGAGGGGTGCTTCTATATCTTGTGGCCAGGGCAAATGTAGACCAGGCTTAGGAAGATAGAACAGTGGCATGATCTCAGCTCACTGCAGCCTCGATTTCTGGGGCACAAGCTAACCTTCCACCTCAGCCTCCTGAGTAGGTAGGACTACAGGCACGCCCCAGCACTTCCAGCTAATTTGTGTGTGTGTGTGTGTATTTTTTGTAGACAAAGAGTTTGCCATGTTGCTCAGGCTGGTCTTGAACTCCTGAGCTCAAACAATCTGCCTGCCTTGGGTCTCCCAAAGTGCTGGGATTACAAGCGTGAGCCACCGTGCCTAGCCAGCACTTTCTAAGTCAACAGATGAATAGATAAAGAAAATATGGTACATATACACGATGGAGCGCTATTCGACCATAAAAAAAAGAATGAGATCCTGTCATTTGCAACAACACGGATGGAACTAGAGATCATTATGTTGCATGAAATAAGCCAGGCACAGAAAGACAAACATCACAGGTTCTTAATTGTTTGAGGGATCTAAAAATCAAAGCAATTGAATTCATGGAGATAGAGAGTAGAAGGATGGTTACCAGAGGCAGAGAAGGGTAGTGTTGGGTGTTGGGGAGTAGGTGGGGGTGGTTAATGGGTTCTGAAAAAATAGAAAGAATGAATGAGACCTACTGTTTGATAGTGACTATAGTCAGTAATAATTGTACCTATAGTCAGTAATAACTTAATTGTACATTGTAAAATAACTAGAAGGAGGTAATTGGATTGTTTGTAACACAAAGGATAAATGCTTGAGGGGATAAATATACCCCATTCTTTATGATGTGATTATTTCACATCACAAGCCTGTATCAAAACACCTCATAGACACACAAATACATACACCTACTATGTAGCCACAATTTTTTTTTAAAAAAGAAATGAAATTAAGAGGCAGGTTTAGGGAAGCACTGAGGATACCACAAACCTAGAAGCACATTTTAGGGGCAGGAAAATTCCAGTAGAATCTGAATATCACTGTACTACACAGGCCAGTCTTGGGCTAGAAATTAGTGAAAGTTAGCTACAGAAAGCTGTTTTTTCTGATAATGTTACTAATTGTAGCTAACATTTTGTAAGCTCTTACACTGGTGGCCCTATTCTTTTTTTTTTTTTTTTTTTTTTTTTTTTTTGAGACAGAGTCTCACTCTGTCACCAGGGCTGGAGTGTGGTGGCACGATCTCGGCTCACTGCAACCTCTGCCTCGCTGGTTCAAGTGGTTCTCCTGCCTCAGCCTCCCGAGTAGCTGGGGCTACAGGCGCTCGCCACCACACCCAGCTAATTTTTGTATTTTTAGTAGAGACGGGGTTTCACCATGTAGGCCCTATTCTAAACACTGCATTTATTAACTCACAACTTTCTGAGGCAGATACAGTCCCATCCCTGATTTATAAACATGAAAACACTTGAAATAAAGGGTTAAGTGTCCTACTCAAAGATCCCACAGCAAGAACATAAAACGGAACTCAAACCCCAGCAGTCCAGCTCCTAAGCCTGACCTTAATCACTACTGGCTTTAAAAACGCCCTAGTGCCAAAACATCATTTTTCCCCTGTTATCTAACAAAAGTCTCCCGCATTTTTTCAACTTAAAATCTTGCTTCTTCTCAAAATAAGAAGCTAAAGTATTTTGTGCTTACCCTATGGGGGTAGATAGCAATTATAGACTGAATTCTGCTCTAAGCTTAGAGAGCTAAGAAAACTGGAGTGCAATGAACAAGGTCACGAAGGATGCAAAGGTGACCAACTCAGCATTTCTAGATCTATGGTGGGCATCTTCTTAAAAAGAGCTGCTCTTCCTAATTTCCCAGTTTGGAGAGTGGCCCATGTCTCTTGACTCCCACACTGGAAACTCAGATCTCATTGGCAGGCTTGAAAACCTCAATGCCCCCAAGTAACAACAAGCCACAGGAAGAGGTGAAGCAGGCTGGGCAGGGCTGCAGGGAGAATGGGGCATGCCCCCATCTCCAGGAGGGGCAGCAGCTTTCAGAACCAGCTGTTTGTTGCTGACAGAATTGTAGGTCCAGTGTCGTCAGGTCTTGTGACTTTCAGGAAGAAGCCAGAAATCCAGGTTTTTATGTAAAAACTTTGGGATTTTGTTCTTTCAATATTGCTAACTATTCTAATTTTTAAAAGCAATATGAGAACCACATGGAACCCCAGGTGCTCTCATTTGTGGGCCCCTCACCCTCGTCCCACAGTCCATCGTCACATCCTGCCAGTCAGTCTCAATCTGCTTTTTAAAATCCATTTCCATCAGCACCATCTTACTTTATGCCTCCCTTTCCTGGAACTCCTCACTTTTACATAGACGGTTTCTCTGTCTCTTGTTTCTTCTCCCTGAGCATTCTTCACAGGCCAGCAGACCTCTGATTAAAATCCCTGTGATTTCTGCCCCTCCCCATCCCGCATCTCTCCATTGCCCAGTGAACTAGGTCGATGCTGTTCAAGGCCTTCTATTCTAGGGCATTCATCCACCCAATCTGCTGATCTGACCCTTTTAACATAGATACCCATGCTCCAGCAGAATAGGATGTTTCTTCCTTATGTATCCTTTGCTTTTCCACTCTGCATGTCTTTGCTCATGCTGTAGTTTCCACTAGAATTAAGGAGTAAACATGTAAATGCCTCTCATCCCACAGACACCATGGCTACCACATGGCCGGTGTGATGCAGAGTAGTCTGTTATAGACTAGTGATTAAAATAGACACAGTCTCTGCCCTTCTGGAAACTATAGAAAAAGCCTCTGTCGAAATACTTTAAGGACACCTCAAATGACGCTTCTGTGATTCACTGCTTCTGGTAAACAGCAGTGGATTTTATTTATACTTCTGGGCTCTACCCAACTGTATGTCAAGGCAACGAGGGTATTATTTGGGGTTTTGCCTTGTCCCACACACATGTTATATGATGAGCTCCTTGAAGGCTAGCACTTTAACTTATTCTTCTCTTAGCTTGCATATAAATTGTCAATAATTATTTTTTGAATAAATTGGTGAATTTTCTGATGTAAGAAATAGCATAGGCAAAGAAAAAGAGAATTATTAGTTTAATTCAGGTGGCAGCAAGTAGAACTTGCTTAGAGTCGAGGTAGAAAGAAGTAAGATTAGAAAGACAGGTATTGATAAGGGAGTCATTGATGTCTAGGCACAAAGAATAATTTGGATTTTAAAAAATGAAGTGTTTGAACAATAGACTAAGGACAAAATACTCCACTCTAGGTTAAAGAAGGAAGAGTAGGAAATGGTATGTCGTCTCCAAATACAGAATAAAAATCCTTCTATACCCTTCATATCACATGACTGTGGTTTGGTAAGGAGGCTGCGAATGCATACTATAATTGGGTCAAATATTCCTTAGTGTAAGGTATGGAATTGGGTTAGTAAGACAGATACTTTTTAAAATTGCAAATGATTGTAAGCAGTAAAGCAGAAAAGAAAATTCATACAGAAGGATTTTTATTCTGTATGTAGCTTAGTAACTTGTAAGTATCAATATCTTTCTTCACTTTTTAATAAGAAAACTATGATACAAATACAAGGTTCATCTGCTAAGGCCTTGACTGCAGTTGCCCAAGTTAGCAAGGTGAGCATAATCACTTCCTGTCTGCCTCACTCCCCATATCTAGGCAGTCCCTAAGCTCTGTGGAATCTGCTTCCTCTATCTCCTCCTCCTGCTCTCCATTCCCCCATCACCTATTATTTCTTGTTCAAGGCATTGTAGAGGCCTCATCATTAACCTTTCATATTTCCTCTGGTCTCACTCCCTCCATGGGCCCTCCACAAGGCATCTGGGGGCTCACTGGAGGATAAAAAACCATTCAGACAGTTCCCTGCTGTTATACTCCCAAGGCTCCAGAATGAAAGCTAAAGCTCTCAGAATCTACATCAGGAACATTGTGGACTGGCCTCTCATCCTTGTCCTGCTGCAGTTCACCCTCATCTCCTAAAACCCACTCTACCTCCACTGCCGTCTTCTCAGTAGGACCCATGCTGTGGGCTGGAGGCTGATGAAGACATAGAGGAGAATTAGAATCAACAAGGACACCAGAGACTTCAGAGCAGTGCAGGGGAACTCCTATGAGCCACAGGGAAGGATCCATCGACAGGTGTGGTGTCAGTTCTTTCACTGTGCAGAAAGCATGCAGCAGGGAATGATCCTTCAGTCAAGAGGCGATGGATGAGGCCACAGGGTAGAGAAGTCAGAGATCTGGATGGAGGAAAGGGGTTTTCTAGGCTATTCCACTCAAACGTTTAGAATAATGAGCATATAGGGATTATCTACCAGCTACTCTCTTTTTTTACCAAGAAATTAAAGTGATCAAATAGTAAGTACCACAACTGAAGAGTACACTGATTCCTGAGGTATTCTACACGTACTCCTGATGGTTAACCTTATTTTCTCTAAAGAGAGAGCCTTAAACTATGTGGGTTGAATGGGGTGAGAATGCTGAACTTCTGTCTTCCACTGAGCACAGCACACATTGCCTTATGTGTTCCTCTCTATGACGCCGTAGAAGAAAGCCAGGGAACAGGCACAGAAAAGAGTTAAAGAGGGTGTGAGCAAAAAGACAGAAATGAAGAGTAGCAAAAGTATTTTAAATAATTAGGTTTAAGAATCTAAAACTTAAATGGAGATTAAAATGGTGCCAATGAAGAAAAGAATAGAGAACAAAAGACCATTTCAAAGAAAATGACACAGCACTTATTCTAGCATAAATTACTTTGTGTTTATTTTAAAATAACATTTTCTTCTCATATTCCCTTTCTTGAGAGAGGGTCATGTCATATGACTCTGTTATTTGGTAAGGAGGCTGTGAATGCATATTAGAATTAGGTCAAATTTCTCCTCAGTATAAAGTATGGACTTGGGTTAGCAAGATGATACTTTTTAAAATTACAGTGACTGTAAACAGTAAAACAGAAAAAAAAATTAAACACTAGATGGGTATTTTAAAGTAATACTTTGAATTTTTCAAGGGAACTTTCCTTTGTAAAAGTAATGAGGATAGGGTTGCTGTTACAATAGGAGACTATGACAATTGGAGTCTCCAGAAATGAGTTTACCTCCTTGGGCCCTGCATTCCTGGGACTCTTTAAAGGCTTGCCCTGTGCTTCCCACTTGGCCTCTCAGAACATCGTTCCTCCAGAGCCGGGGTTTAAGGGCACATGGAAAAGAGGGGTTGTTTTCTGTCCTGAAAGGGGAGATAATAGACTTGGAGTCACTCACCTACGACACAAAGCAGTTTGGGTTTAGCTAGAAATGCGATATGCTAATTATTTTTAAACTGATAAGTTTGGCTGCAGAATTCACTCTCTGGGACTTTTAATATAAGGATGTGCAAAACTGGGATGTAGCCCTGAGCCTCACAAAGACAGTGTCCAGTTAAAATTACCAACCTGCAGGAGAGGAGCAGGGCTGAGAGAGCCTATAAAGTTGGAAGAAAAAGGTCAAAAAGAGCAGACTGGTTTTAGAAATAGCGTTTTGAAGTGGCACAGAGCAAAGGGAATTCAAATGGCTGACTTTTTGGCCGAAGGTAAAAAGGAACCTGCAGCTGTAACATGGGGTGTGTGGCCTTCTTTCACCTCTCCATAAGCCCTGATCAGAGACTGGTTGATCCTTGAAACTGTAATGAGTTCCTGCTTCTGTGGCTGGTTAATATTTTAGACCTGAAACTACGCAGAATAACCTGAACTAGACACGTACTATTTCTCAACTAAAATAAAATTAACCTTTGCCCCACCTTGACTAAGGATGTGGAACTTAAGTGGTCAGATGGAAAAGTAGGTACTAATGAAAAACTGAGGCAATGAGGCAAGCGAATGAAGACAAAGCTTTCCCCCAAAGAAAGCTGTGCTGTTTGACCCTTGATTGCTACTTCATGGGAGACCAAGATAAAGATGAAGTGGAAAGATAACCCAATGGTTATGTATAGCAGCCCTTCCCCCTTTTTGTCTAGGGCACAAACTGTCCATTGAATGTGAGATGTATTAGGTCACTAGCAATATAGTATTTGCTTGAGGACCCAGGAGAATGAGCATATTGCCTCTTTCCAAGAGACCCCAGCATGCCTGAAAACTCATTTATTTTATCTCCAGCCTGGATCCTTCCTCAATGCCCTCACCCTCAT
Source organism: Homo sapiens (assembly GCF_000001405.40). Lineage (NCBI taxonomy): Eukaryota > Metazoa > Chordata > Mammalia > Primates > Hominidae > Homo > Homo sapiens. The sequence continues at coordinate 117,738,764 of NC_000007.14, read as the reverse complement.
GCCCCACCACCTGCTGCACATCAGAGAAGCAATGCTTCACTCATCAAACACATCAAGCCTGAAACATAACCCATCACCACCACCTCCTCCCCAAGTACATGCTTGGTCACATCTGCTCTCTGCCTCCATTAACTGCTCAGCCTCTTCTCTGGTGGAAACCTAGAGTTGTCTCCAGTATTTCCTCTCTGCCCCTCTTTCAATAAGTCAGCCACTGAGATTTACTGATTCGGTCTCAAAATGCCTTTTCATTCTGTGCGTTGGTCCTGGGTGAGGCTCCCATCATCTCTTTCCTTAACCATAGCAGTAAGAGTCTAGGAGGTGTGTTCTCCTATTTCTTTCCTCCTCAGCCAATTCTCTGCACCATGAAGATCTCAGAGCAGGAGTCAAATCCTGTTTATCCCCCTATTTAAAGACTTCCACTGATTCCCAGAACCAGTAGCTCCCTCCCAACAAGACATTCTGAGTCTTCTACTTTTCATTTTTGGCTTGGTCCTGAGGCTTCATATCAGCAAATCTCGCCCCTGATTGCACATTCCAATCACTAGGGAGCTTTTACAAAATGCCAGTGCCCCAGGCCCAGCACAGTGCAATTAAATCAGAAGCGCTGAGAATCACTGGGGATGGGTCCAGCGATTCCTGCAGCTCAGGATGAAGATGCAGCCTGCCTTCCGCAGCTGTGACTGCTGGGCGCCCTGCCACTCCTGTGGCACCACCCCAAGTTCCCAGCCCTGGCCCGACTTGCTATATGGATCAGCTTTTAGCTCACCATGATGACGCTTTTATAACTATTCTGACCTTGATCTGACGCCGTATTCCCTTCTAGAATTGAATCCTGCCCAGCTCCATTCTTCGGCCAGTGCCATTTCTTAAACTTAGTTTAAAATGCTGGCCAGGTGCAGTGGCTCACACCTGTAATCCCAGCACTTTGGGAGGGTGAGGTGGGTGGATCACGAAGTCAGGACTTTGAGACCAGCCTGACCAACATGGTTACTCCCATCTCTATTAAAAATACAAAAAAAAATTTTGTATTTGGCATGGTGGTGTGCACCTGTAATCCCAGCTACTCAGGAGGCTGAGGCGGGAAAATCACTTGAACCCGGGAGGTGGAGGTTGCAGTGAGCCGAGATCACGCCACTGCACTCCAGCCTGGGCAACAGAGCAAGACTCCATCTCCAAAAAATAAATAAAATGCTACACACCCCCAGTTAGAATGAGTCACTTCTGGCATGCCATAGCACTCAGCATCCAGTACCTGTAGCAAAGAGGCATTGGATAAACATTTGTTGAAATGCAAGGAAATATTCCTTCCTTCAGATGCATTCTGGCTGGCTGCAGCAGCTTCAGAGCCACTTAAACTGGCGATGCACTTAACACAAATCAGGGAAAAGCTGGAGACCTTCAGTCCTCAGTTACAGAAAACCAGATACATAAACCATCAATCCTGTGTGTTTTTTTAATCGCTGAATTAAAAATGTTTGTTAGTTTTCCATTGTTGTTTTCACCAACTACGGATTTCTCATACTTCCACAATACATCTATTTCTGAAATAACATTTGAACCCAAAGAAACATAGAATTTTAGCATTCTTTACCAAACAGCTGTGTTGAAAGGGATCTGACACACACTAGATGCTAGTGTTAGCAGCCCTCCACAAGTACAACTAGATTGAGAGGTGGCTGTGATTGTTTCTAGCCTTCTAGATTTTAAATTTTCATAGCATCCAGAAGAGCCATTTCTGTCTGAGAAGAGATTCATTTACAGTGTTCAAGGAGTTCTTTTGAAAATGAAAATGCATTGTGTCTATAGTAACAAGAAGGAATTGAGAATATACTATCATGAATATTTGTAAAAAGTAGACTATTTGGTAATGTTACTCTCAAGTATCCTAAACTGGTTTCTTTTCAAGGTTAATTTGACTAAAACTGTGGCATCTTAGAATCTTCAAGAAACTAAAGTGATTTTATTTTGTAATTGATTAGTATATGGGAAGTGCCATATAGAATACATTTTAACTAAACTATTAATAGTTTCTGCTTAGTAGATGCCAGGTACTGTTTTAAGTATGTTTTGTGCCCTTATTCATTTCCTATATATAATATTAATTTTTCATTTACTTTTCCAGCTTTCATTTTGGGTTGACAGAAAGTCAGTCCTTCCCATCCTGAGTGAAACGAATGGGAAAATATGAGTCGGAAGTGCTGGATTTTACTCCTCCCTTACCATTGTTTCTGAGACCACAAATTACTTCAGCCTCTCTGAGATCTGGAAAATGGAAAGAGCGATTTACTTATCTCTCTGAGGTCCTGTCTACATTTTTTTTTTTTCTAGACACAGTCTTGCTCTGTTGCCCAGGCAGCAATGCAGTGGCACAGTCACAGCTCACTGGGCTCAGGTGATCCTCTCACCTCAGCCTCCCAAGTAGCTGAGAATACAGGTGCCTGCCACCCTATCTGTCTAATTTTTTGTATTTTTTGTACAGGCAGGGTTTCACCATGTTGCCCAGGCTGGCCTCGAACTCCTGGGCTCAAGTGATCTGCCCACCCTGGCCTCCCAAAGTGCTGGGATTACCAGCATGAGCCACTGCGCCTGGCCCTGTCTACATAATCTTATGAACATTTTACATATGCATAATTTAAAGGTCATTTAAGGGCTTTTAACCTTTTGTATTATGAAATAGATATACTAAAATATATACTACTTATGTTTACAGATTAATTAATAATTTAAAATAAAATAACCATGTAACCACTGACTAGGCCAAGAAATAAAATATTCTCAGCTCTCAGAATGTGACTGTGTGGTCCGTCCCCCTTATCGCAAACCCTTCCCTTTGGAAGTAACCACTACTCTTTCATGATAATCATTTCTTAGCTTTTCTTTATAGTTTTACTCCCTGTGTATGAATCCCTAAATTATAGATTTAGTGTTGCCTGTTTTGAACTTTACATGATGAAATCACATTGTATATAATCTTTTATGATTTGCTTCTTAATATATTGTTTGTGAGTCTTCCATGTTGTAAAAGTTGTCATTTGTTCGCTTTCTATTTGTTGTATGAACATACTCTTATTTATTCATTTATTCTATTGTTGATGGACATTGGGTTGATTCCATTTGAGACTTGTTATAGAACAAGGAATGTTGGATCATTTTGAGTGTGTTCAAACTTATCAAATAATACCGAACAGTTTTCCAGAGTTGTTCACTCCCCAAGCAATTTAAGAACATTCCCATTATACCACATCTTTGCTAATGCTTTATAACTTCAGACTTTTTTAGTTTTGCCAATTTGTATAAATTTTTGTCAAAAGCTTGAATCACTGAATTTCCTTTTTTATTATAGCTTGTCTGATCCCAGTGAAACAATCTCCCAGTAAGAAGAAAATCATCATCATTTTAGAAAATTTAGAAAAATCTTCACTGTCGGAGTTATTGAGGGACTTTTTGGCACCTCTTGAAAATCGCAGCACTGAAAGCCCCTGCACTTTCCAAAAAGGTAACGCTAATAAAGGGACCATGCTGAGAAGCAAGCTTCTGTAATATTCTAATCTTTCTGTTTCCCAGAGTACCAGTTATACTTCATGTTCTTTACGTTATTTTAATTTGAATCTGTCCCATAACATAACTCACTGAGGATGGGCCATTGCTTTTTGGTTTGTTTCAGGAAATGGACTGTCCGAATGTTATTACTTTCATGAGAACTGCTTTCTGATGGGAACCATCGCCAAGGCCTGTCTCCAGGGCTCCGACTTGCTGGTGCAGCAGCATTTCCGCTGGGTGCAGCTGCGGTGGGATGGCGAGCCCATGCAAGGACTGCTGCAGAGGTTCTTACGAAGGAAAGTTGTGAATAAGGTAACAAACAGCAAGTGCAGCCTGTTGCCAGGAGAGCAGGGGTTTTTGTTGTCAGGAGATCTCAGCTTGAGTTCCACCACTCACTAACTATGCAGCCTTGGGCAGGTACAGCTTTTTGACATTCAAGGGCCAAAAAACATAATGAATGTGAAACCCATAACAATTTCTGCACTACATTAACTACAAGAAAAAGCAAATTAGTTTTACCGTGGCTATCAGCTGTTCTCAAGGAATCTCACCAAGTTCTAAATGCTGTAGAAGGCTTGGTTAGAAAATTAATCACTCTTCTTAAGGAAAACTTACATCTTTCTTGGAGCCTTCAAAACATACACCCTTGTGAGCACATTTTACAACAGGCCTGTTATACTATGCTATGGTAGATATTAAGCCACATGAAAAAGTAGAATTCTATACCTTTTGACACATTTTCAAGAGTAATAATAACTTTTAGTGACTTTCACAGAATAACAAAATAAGTATTCTATATTCTCCCAAATGACAAAAATAATTGAAAGCTGACCAAATCGAATACATCATTATTTAATATTTTTAAATTGGGCCAGTAGCTGAGTGTCAAGGTAGATTAGAAATAATAGAGTTTGATTTAGTAAGATTTTCTCATTTAATCCTGCACAATGGGCCACATTTGGAGGACAGTATTGTCATTGCATTATTGCAGGATTTTAAGCTGCTAATAACACCCCAACTGCTAGCTGCTTCACAGAAAGAGGATTTTCCCCCTCACATAACCAGATATCTTGTGGTAGGTGTCCAACGTCTCAGGTCCCAGGTCCAGGGGAGTCTGTTGACCCTCCCGTCAAGACTGCAGTGTGCCCACAAGGCTGCAGACACTGTGCCCTTGTGAAAACATGTTCAAGGGCAGAAAGCGGGCTGCAGCGAAGGATAGAGAGCTTCGGCTTCCTCAGTCTCTTCCTTATCAGGGAGGAAAGCACTTTTCCAGAAACATAAGACTTCTCTTTAATGTTTCATTAACTAAAACTGGTTTCATCCCAGACCATGGCCAAACCTGCTTTTCCAAGATTGAAGCTCTCCACCAAGTGCTTGAACAAATTTCTGTGTCTATTGTGTTAGAGTATGTGTACGCATTTGTGCTGGGGCAGGGGAGATGGTGGCGGGGAGAAGTGTGGGGTGAGAATGGCTTTTGGGAATTCATTGAACAGTGTCTGCCACTGGTAATTAGAATTAATATCTGAAATTCCTAATTTAATGAGGGAAATCTACCCCATGTTATATTTAAATCAGTTACTTGGTCATAAATATTATGCTTTTGGCCAAAGCCTAGCCACTGTATGATCTCAACAAGAAGGACGAATGGTGAGGTAAAGACAGTCATAGGTCTGTAGCTTTTCAAATTACCGATACTTGCATTAACTATCACTGTCAATATTTAAATCTCATTGCCAAAGATAATTCATGTAAATAATCAGAAAAGATACCAGTTTTATTATGTAGGATTGGCACTATTTCAGGTAAAGTATACCCCTCTCCCGCTAGCTCTCTGATAAAAATTGTTTTAACTTACTTTGAAAGGAAAGTTCCAAGCTTCAGGTTCACTCTCTTTTCCATTGCGTTTGAGAGTGGGATGTGCTGCAAATAATAGAAACTGGAAAAAAGGAAATGCCTTTCCTATACCAATAAGCACTTCAAGTAGGTTAATAAAACAGCCCCTGGGGTGTGTGTACAAGGGAATGGATGAGTCCTGCAAAACATCAGAAATCTTGTAATGTCACAGAACCTAATCTTTGTGGGCACTTAAAGCACACTGGCAATTGATCACAATTTCTTCTTCTAGTTCCTTGGAGAGATACAAGAAAATCGACCTTTCAGGACAATACTAGGCTTTCTACTAGTATTTAATAAAAAACAATTATACCCTTTTTAGTAGGAAATACTAAACTATCATTAATTATGTAATACATAATCTCAGAATTGTAGCTTAAAAAATATAAAAGAGTTATATAATGATCATTCCTCTTTTGAAGAGAAGGAAAATTGTAACAGATCCCAAAGCCTCAGATAGTACAGTGATATCAATTTAATAGAGCTGCTGGTATCACAGAATCATTTTTTTGTTTTTCCTTGGCCAAATTATTTCCTTCATGTAGGACATACCAGTGTTCACAATTGTCCCCTGTCTTAATATCATAATTACTTGGTACAGCAAAGATTTATGTGAATCTTCTTTCTTGTAAAATACAAAGTTAGTTTCTGTGCCTGACTTTTTTTTTTTTTTTTTTTTTTTGAGACGGAGTCTTGCTCTGTCGCCCAGGCTGGAGTGCAGTGGCGTGATCTCGGCTCACTGCAAGCTCCGCCTCCTGGGTTCACACCATTCTCCTGCCTCAGCCTCCTGAGTAGCTGGAACTACAGGCGCCCGCCACCACGCCCAGCTAATTTTTTGTATTTTCAGTAGAGACGGGGTTTCACCATGTTAGCCAGGATGGTCTCGATCTCCTGACCTCATGATCCACCCACCTCGGCCTCCCAAAGTGCTGGGATTAAAGGCGTGAGCCACCATGCCCAGCCCTGTGCCTGACTTCTAATCAAGGGATATTTCTCCTAAAAGTAAATAAATATTTATTTTTGTGTGAACCCTCCATAAAAGATTTGATTTTTATAAATAAAATATAATTCTAAAAAGAATTACTCCCTTTAGGTCATGTGTGTTATATGGTGTTATTTAAAATGTGCACATTTTAAATTTTGGAAAAATGTATGCTGAAAGAGCTCTGTACATTTTGGTGACGTTAGCATTTTATCTGAGACCTTACTTTTAGGAAAATAAAATTGTTTTTCATTACCATTAATACCAGGTGAACATACTACAAATCCAGATACAGCATCTCGTCACTTACCCAGAATATGAAATATTTAATGTCATTCTTATTAAGTTAAAAAAACTTTTTTGAACACTTATGTTCTGTAAGACCTGGTGAGGGACTATATACACATATATGTAAGTAATGTTTTCTTCCAGAATTCATGTTTAAAAATTGATCCAGCTTTCTCCTTTGTCTGCGTGCCCCTCTATTTTGTGTTAAGTTCATGTAATCAGCTACAGATCTATATAATGCAGTCCATCTGACACTGCACACGTAACAAACTCAACATGTCCTGTCCCCAAACCTAACTCCGGGCTTCCCCCGCCGACTTCCTTTTTTGTTATCAGTCATCCAGACTTAGAACTTCTCAGCCTGTTCTTCCCGTCAGTCAGTCATAGCATTTTCCAAATCCTCACTTTGTGGCACACCAAGCTCCAGTACTAAGGTTGAAAGGACCTATAGCCATGGCAACTGATCATCAAAACACAGTGTGATAAGTGCATCAGAACAGTGTTAGCTGGTTATTCTGTAAACATTGGCCCCTGGCCTGGGGACTGTGAGACAAGACCGGGTTCCTCTCACCCTCAGAGAGCTAGTGTTCTCATGGAAAGACAGGCCTTCAAAAAGAAACTGTCTATCTGTGTAGGATTTGGGACCTTGGAGGACAGTTTTTATTCAGGAGGCATTATTCAAGTGCTATTTTAAAAAAACGTGTTCAGTGTGTTAGAGTTGTACATCCAAATGCCCGGCTTTCCCTCAGGCTTTTAAGTTAATTGTATAAGCTTTATCTTTCTGTGTATAAATCTAGCAAAATTTAACAATCACCTTTGAAGGGACTCATAGCTTAATTACATTTCTTTAAATAGTTTGGTCTTTAAAACTTCAATATATTTTATTTCTCTTTTTAAGAACTTCTGCTGTCTGACAAATCTTCCCAAGTACTTAACTAACTCTTGTAAAACCAGAAAATTAAATTTATAAATTGTGGCTCAAATGATCTCTTAATAGCCTTGTACCATGTACATAAACTTAATAAAATTCTCTTACCCCTTCTTAAGACCACAACCCTAAACTCAGTTACCATTTTAAACTGGACATGAAGCTATTCTAATATATGAAATTCCTGTAAACATTTCAAGTATTTAAAAATACCCAATATATGATTCTCTCATCCTAACCGAAAAAATAATGTTTGATTATATTTAATTCTGAATATTAATGAAGATAAAAATATACCCCCTGTCCCCATCCCCCCGAATTTTTTCCATCTCAGGAAACCTGGGTTCTCTTTCCATGAAAATTTAGGGTTATTTTCTTGGCTGGCCAAGTCTGTATATCAGCCAGGCTTGTTGAGGACTTGTGATCTGGCCTTAGGCTTTCCTCAATAACAAGAAAAAAACCAGTAGAGTCCCACTAATAGTCACTGTGTACAAGCGTCTGAGTCCGTGCCTTCCAAGTGGAGTAGATTCAGTTTACACATTACCTAGTTCTCAGCTTGTATTTGAATCTGTAACCTTTACCCATGCTATTTCACCACTGGACTGGATTCAACTATTTAAGCCTTGTCTCTTCTTGAGTGGCAGGGCTACAAATCTGATAAATGACATCAGATTAAACTCTGTGTTCCCAGTTCTGATTCTGTCCGACTTCATGGGTACAACACTCAAATCATGCTAATTAAACAGGTGGCTAATATGTGCTGTGAAAGAAACAGGTAAGGTACCACTATAGAAACTCGGGCGGAAGTTGGGAAGAGTACTTATTTTAGGAATTTGGGGTGGAGGCCTCTCTATCTGTGGTCACATTGAAGGATTTGCAGGTCATGCTAATTTGTTATGTCAAGGAAGAAGGGTTTGCTGAGAATAGGGAAGCAGGGGGTCTGGGCAGAAGGAGCAGCACTTGCAACACATCTCAGGCCTAGGGAGGAGGAGGTTGGCATGTGGAAAACTCAGGGACAACTACGTGGCCTTGAAGTCATTCGTTCAGGGGACATACTAGGTGGGGGATCAGATCCAGCACCTTGAATTAGTAACAGTTACATAGACTGTTTACTTGTAGAAGCCTGTCATTTATTCATCCCTTTTGTTATTTGCAAACATCAGCATCCATTTTGACCGCTCCTCCACAGTTCCTTCCCTCTTCCATATTTGGGACACTCTTCCCACCTCCCCTCACCAATACCATGTCCTGGACATCCTGTGAGAGACCCAGCTGAAGTCCCCACCTCATCTATTTGTCTTTCTTGACCACGCTGTATTTAGTCAGTTCTTCTTTTGAATTACCATAGCAGCTTGTGTCTGTCTGTACTTCAAGACTGCCAGTCTGGAAGGGATCTGAAAGATAAAGGGCCTGGCTCAATTTCCTCATTTTTCCAGCTGGTAAAATTCAAAAGAAAAAAAAAAGGAAGGCAATTGCAGTACCTGGTGGGTGGCTTTCTCCACTCCATCAAACCGCACCAGAACTGACCACTTGCTCTTCATTAGCTTTTCACACCTTTTCTTTTGTTTCCTCTGTATTTCATGAGTACACTAACTTACATGGATTTTTTTCTTCTTAGCAGCAATAACAAATAGGCATAGAATACATAGTAGGCATACACACCTCTATGCAAAATTATCCATTAACACTGAAGGAATGTATCTCTGGGGAAGGAAATAAAAACATGTGGTTACTAGAAAGTCTATTTATTGGATAGACCTTTTAATGAAACACCAGTTTTTAATGTACTGTCCGATAACCACTTTTCCCATAATACAGCCAACTTGCAAAAGGAGAAATTTCATATAAACAACATCTGCACTTTGGAGAGAGGTGGACACCCTTCCTGTTTGTTCAGGTCCTTAGGAAAGACAGATTACATTCTGCCTTTGGGTACTGTGAAATGTGATTCCGTTACGATGTCTAACAGTCTGAGCTTTAGAAGCAGTTTATTAGACAGTCATTAAGAGAATAATTCAGTCCTCCCAGAAAAAGTAACGTTTCCCTGGGGACCGAGTTACAATGAGAGCTCTACCCTCCTTCTCCCTTCCTCTACATGTGGTCTTGATGAGGCAGCTGGGGAGATCCCTGTCCCTCTGTCAGCTGCCCACAAAGCTAAGCCTGTTCTTTCAGCCCTGGCTGACGGTAGAAAGTGAGGCTTAAACAGAGAGCTTCAGAAATGTTAAGCCTGAGGAAGAAGAGGAAGTTCTTTAGCTTAATAGTGATTACTGAATTCCTTTTAAATGTGATAAATGACTCCTTTATTATTTCAGCGAGATGCTGTATCCTATTTTTCTATTAAAGATAAGCCCTATGTAGTTAATGTATACTTGCAGATTGCTGAGAGTAGATCTTAAATAAAAATAAGTATGTAAAGGGATGGATATGTTAGTCAGCTTAATTTAATAATTTCACAATGTATACATCAAAACATCATGATATATACCACAAATATATATAATTTTTGTCAATTATACCTTAATAAAAAATATAAATAGACTCTAGCCCTGGCTTTGCCACTATTACCTGTGGGACCTTGGGCGAGTTATTTTTTCTTCCTGCCTCAGGCTCCTGATATGTAAAATGGGGTAAAAATGCCTAACTCAGGCTCATGGTGAGAATTAAAGGAGAAAAATGCTTATCACACTAACACGTTTGCACAACTATAGTATGTGTTATTATCCCTCCTTCAGCCATCCCAAGTAAAGTTAAATAAGATTCAGCTACTTTTCAATTTTGATTTAAAGTTTTATATTTTTAATTTTGGGCTTCTAAAAACAAAATGTTCTAAACCAAGCCCCTGGGTTCCACCTCCCTGTCTCTCTAGTTCAAAGGTCAGGCGCCCTCCCCCTGCGATCCTGTGTGCAAGATTGTCGACTGGGCTCTGTCCGTCTGGCGTCAGCTTAACTCCTGCCTGGCCCGCTTGGGCACACCTGAAGCACTTCTTGGACCAAAATATTTCCTGTCTTGTCCTGTAGTTCCTGGGCATGCCCAAGTGACAGTGAAGTAAGTGCCATTTTTCCTTATCTTTCTGCTTATGATAGAGACGTGGCCAATTCAGATGTTTGAGGGTGAGAATGCTGACCAGGCTGCCTTGTGCCACCTCCTGTCACTGACACGGAGTGCCAGTGCTCTCTGCTCTTTCAGAGGATGGCCACAGCTTGCCTACTGTGTGCTTCCTAGGGCAGCTGCATTTTTGCTGAGAGCTAGGTTTTTCCTCTATTAGAAAATTCTCATCCAAGTTATGTTTGGCTTGCTATGCAGAGTCTCCTGAGTGAGGTACCACATAAGAAGTTTCATCAAGTATTGTATGCACACCCTCCAAAAAACCTGCATTCTGTTAATGAATTGAAAAGCTTTCCCTTTATTGAGACATATGTTCAGTACTTACTGTTTTCCTTTGAAGCATCTTATGAGAACAGACATATATACAATAAGGTTAATGAAATAGAAAATCAGGAGAAAGTTGAAATGAGAAAAAATTTGTTACCATCCAGTTTAGTAATGGTTCTGTGACCAGCAAGCAGATTTGATTCTATAGTTTCTGGTGCCATGGGCAGAAGTCTATTTTGGAAAGCAGGGGATAGAAATAATATCTTCTTAGCTGGATGTAGTGGTTCATGCCTATAATCCCATCATTGGGAAGTTGAGAGGGGAGGATCACTTGAGGCCAGGAGTTAAAGGTCAGCCCAGGCAACGTAGTGAGACCCCATCTCTATTTAAAAAAAAAAATTAGCCAGGCATAGTGGCATGTACCTGTAGTCCCAGCTATTGAGTTGGGAGGCTGAGGCAGGAGGATCAATTGAGCCCAGGAGGTCAAGACTGCAGTGAGCTTTGATTAAGCCACCGAACTCCAGCCTGAGTATTAGAGCAAGACCCTGTCTCTAAAAAGTATATGTATATTTTCTCTATTGTAAGACAAACCACCATTTTTATAACAGCTAATTGGTGGGAAAGAAGTACTATATTAAATATATATTTAGAATTTTGCTACAAAATAAATACACTTATTGATATAATTACCACTTTCTTCATTATTATGTCAGTTAAATTAAAGTCTTTTTTACATCCAGAGTCTCAAGATTCTTAGGAATCATTTTTGACCTCTCCTATATGGAATATAGTCTTTGTCAAGAATTATGGAGGTCCCAAGATTTTTACCCTATTTGCAAGCTACCAAGTTAGCCTGCCATGGTTCAGGATGCTGAGTTAGGGACACAGCACTTCATCACCCACAACACAGCAGGCAGGCAGCCTGAGCTTCACTTTTACATAGATTCCCTTTATCCCTGAAGCCCCACAGGGTGATACATAGTAGCCCATGTGGTTGCTGGATTTGCCTCAACAGCTGTGGAACTCCCCCCTTCCCATCCCTCCAAGGTTTCTAAAGAGGGATGCTGCAACTCTGTCGACCCTTGGCCCTGGAAGATGTTGTTTTTATTATCCTGATCAGGAAACAATTCTGCCCTCTGATCCTGAAGGAGACATTTATCTCTGTCTTCCAAGACTGAAAAGATAGTTTAGAACAAAACCTGACACCAGATGTGCAGAAATGCTGCAGAGAATTGTCTACCAATGGCTAAGTTAAGGAGTTGATTTTTTTTTTCCGACCACAGCTTATCATATTTATACTTCAGCACTTTTAGGAATAACTGCATAATTTCGATTCATGCTGTAGAATACCAGAATTTTGTCTGTGTTCCCATTCGTACTTTTATTTTTCCCCCGATTGTGTAGCACTAGACATTAAGAGAGAAACTTAAAATAGATGGATCATAGTTTTTGACAATTCTTGAAAGTTTTATGCAATGTCTAAGCTTTGAAAACATTCCTAACCTGGGAGATGTGGTTTTGTTTCTATAGCCTTTAATCATATAAGTGTTTTTTAATACTGCAACAAAGCATAATCTTTTTTTGATGGAATTTTAATTGGCATTGAGTGCTGCAAATTTGGGCTGCAGTCCCACTGTTTATGGCTATTAATGCAAACAGTCCACCTGAGGTGATAGCTGATTGACCCCCATCCTCCCTATAGAACTGAGCCCACCCACACGCACCCTTGCCTTGGGACAGGCAGATTTAATTTGCCGGTGATTATACATCCCAGGCTGGGTGCGGTGGCTCATGCCTGCAATCCCAGCACTTTGGGAGGACAAGGCAGGCAGATCCCTTGAGGTCAGGAGTTCGAGACCAGCCTGGCCAACATGATGAAAACCCCATCTCTACTAAAAGTACAAAAATCAGCCAGGCCTGTTGCCACACGCCTGTAATCCCAGCTACTTGGAAGGCAGAGGCACGAGAATCACTTGAACCCAAGAGGCAGAGGTTGCAGTGAGCCGAGATTGCGCCTTGGCACTCCAGCCTGGGTGACAGAGCGAGACTGTCTCAAAAAAAGAAAAAAAAAGTATCCCAATTTCAGAAATATTACAATACAATGTATGTGCACCTTATTAAGGAGATGTAACAAAGAAGTTGAAGCTATTTAGACATGGACTTTTAGGAAATCTTTTTTCCAGATTTTTTCAGTCTTTAAATTTACCTTCCTTTCAATGTGTTTATTCATGCATTTATTCACTCAGCACTCAAGCATTGATTCTACATTGAGAGAGACATGTAAACAATCAGTTTCATTTGAAATACAGTGTATTTTTGAGGCAGATTCAAACACTTTTGTATTGGGTAATTTCACTTCTTTGAAAACTACCTGGGAAAGGTAGCATATCTATAGAAACACTTAACGTTTTTTCCCCATAGTCTTCAAACTGTCCTTTCACGGAATTGTGTATAATTATTGAGAAGCCTGCTCCTAAGGGATGAATCGGTCCCTCTCCTGCTAGGTGGATGTCTAAGCTGTGGAATGGCGTCATCGCACCCAGAGTTCAAGAAGCAATATTGTCAAGAGCCTCTGTGAAAAGACAACCTGGCTTTGGGCAGACAACTGCTAAAAGACACCCTAGCCAAGGACAGCAGGCTGTGGTCAAAGCTGCTCTCAGCATCTTGCTAAATAAAGCTGTACTGCATGGCTGTCCCCTCCCCAGAGCAGGTATGTGGGTTTCTGCAGAGAGGAGAGGAAATTCACACCCTTGTGAAATACCTTTTAAAAGCTGTTTTTAGAGAGCTTTCTTTCTTTGTAATTAGAAAAATATACATCTTATAGCAGTGTTCCAGAACTGTGATTTTAATTACTGGTTAATGTTTGAATTCTAGACCTCCAAGTAAAGTTGGTGCTGGTTCACAAAACCCCAGCTTGGATACTAAATAAATGCATTATTTTGAACAGTCCGTATCTTTGAGAAACGGAAATGTATTTTGCTTTAATCAGTGAAACTGCATTATCCCTGCTGTGATTTGTGTTGTTTCAGAGCTAGACCAGCATACAGCTGATTTCAAAGGAGGAAGTTTCCCTTTATCCATAGTTTCCAGTTATAACACTTGTAACAAGAAGAAAGGAGAGAGTGGTGCCTGGAGAAAGGTGAACACCAGTCCTCGCAGGAAGTCTGGCCGCTTCTCTTTACCCACCTGGAATAAGCCAGACCTAAGCACTGAAGGTAAAGGGCGGGGGTAGGCATGTTGCCTACCAGGAGGTGGACATACGTGATCCAGTGTCTGAAAGCAAATATGCTTTCATTTTTATCACGATGCATTTGGTAAAACAAAGTTTAAGTATTTTAATGCACATTTTCATGGAATAAACTATATAGTAGGTACATTTCCAAAAATATACAGGAGATCTCTACCTGAAAAATACCGCTTTCAAACCAGAATTCCAAAATTAATCTTTAACTTGTTAATGGTCATTTATTTATTATTTTGTTTCTCTTGGTGTTCACAATTTGTATAATCATTGCATTATTACATAATAAAATCATTGGCATATTTCTCCATTATGTCACTCCTAAGTTAATCTTACATTAAAAAAATATGTGTAGAGACATATTTGATACCCATTTAAGGCCTTTCCAGGTGAATCAGGTGTACACATTTCTTTCTTATGTATGACGTGTACCATGTGCTGGGTTTTAGTCTAGGCACTGGAAATAGAGTGGTAAAAAATATATATATTCCGGCCAGGCATGGTGGCTCATACCTGTAATCCCAGAACTGAGAGAGACCAAGACGAGTGGATAGCTTGAGGTCAGGAAGGCGAAACCCTGTATCTACTAAAAATACAAAAATTAGCTGGGCATGGTGGCGCATGCTTGTAATCCCAGCTACTCAGGAGCCTGAGGCATGAGAATTGCTTGAACCTGCGACACAGAGGTTGCAGTGAGCCGAGATCACACCACTGCACTCCAGGCTGAGTGACAGAGCAAGACTGTGTCTCAAAAAAAAAAAAAAAAAAGATCCTGCCGTCATCGAGTTTATATTCTAATAAATTGGACAGATTTCATATGATGGGACATCAAGTGAAAAATATGTAAGCTTTCATTCTAACAAAGAAGATGTAACACGTCTGTATCTTCTGGTGTTAGGCCTATTCCTTTTGGCATTGATAATAAGATAATCAGCTATTATATAAATTATAAATGTCTTTCCCAAAACAAATCCAAATTGGAATAAAAATGAAAAGAAATTTCCACCTCATGTGCACTGTGGACTTCAGATTATGTCATTCATTTTCCTCCTCTCTCAAAGTATTTGTTTTGTGAAATTTTATGCCAACTTTATAGCAGTGGGGTTTCTAAATGAGGTGCTTAAAATCTTATATTTAAAAAACATAAAGTTGCTTTTAGTTATGAGTATATTTTCATTTTTAAGCTTGTATTTTGTTAATTTTAATAAAAATTTAATGTTTTTTTAATCCTATCAATATATGCTAGGGTTCCCCAATTACCCTAAGTGCATGATAGCAAATTGTGACCCCTTTTTAAGTGACTGAATGAAAATTTACTGAATAAAATGAATTTTCTTATACTTTTAAAAAGATCAGTATTTTATATTGATAATAAGATACTGTTTTGATCTTAAGAGCTTGTTATTACTTCCCAGAGTTGTCAGAGTGTTTGATTTAGGGAGTAAGAATCACTAGACTCCAGCCCACCAATTTAGTATAGACCCCCAGATGACTTTCTGTAGCAAGGATTATACCTTTCATTTGCTCTTAGTCCTTTCAGTATGCAAGAAAGCTCCAAGACAATGATAATGATCTCCATTTACAGAGAATAAAACTGAGGTTCAGAAACCCTTGGGCACCTGCTCCAAATCACCTCTCCTGGAAATATGCGGTTCTGTAATTGTTTCTTGCAAGCCCAGTGCTATTTTCTGTAGTCCACAACACCCTGATCTTATTAGACGTGCAGTGATCTATGGGTACTCAGATAACTGGACACCCATTGAGGCTCTTCACTGTGTCATTTCTAAGTTTATTAGAATCTCTATAAAGTTTAAGACCAACTTTTTGAGCTAACTTAATTGTTGGTATATGCTTTAGAGTAGACAAACAGAATCAACAAAATGAATATGAATTTAAAGCAGTATCATGGAAGAGTCTGGATCAGAAAACTATATTACGCTTAAATGTAAAAAAAGATGAATAGACTTGAAATTATTTGTATTTTTAATAATTTTAGTTTTAGAACTATTTGATATCAAATGTTATATTCTTTGAAGCATGAACTTCTTTGACAGAATAAAACTACAAGAGTTTACACTGACTTCAAGGAAATTTCTAAAAGTTAACTTTACAAAGTATATAATTCATGAGTCAGTAGTTGGGTTAGAAACCATGACTGACATGCCTCTCGTTATTTTTATAATGGTAAATTTTTCCAATAATTACACTGTATATATGATTATTACAATGGTTGGGGTGACTTTGGTTAAAAAAAAAAAAAAAACCAACACAGGAATCCTTTTGCATGCAGATCACTATGGAAGCTTATCAAATTTGATAAAGAGACAGCCCATTTCTTTCCTGACCTAAAACAGAAAGGCCAATGATGTCAGATCCCAGGCTTTTAGGGCAGAGCCCAAGGCTGTGCGCTATGTAGTAATTAGTAGAAGCCACTAGTCAGTGCTTTGGACAATAATGACAGAAGTATGACTAAAGAAACTCGACAGTGATTTTCTTTGATCTGCTTTTAATGAGGATATATTTACTTTTCCAAAACATTCTTTAGAGAAAATTTGTGTTGACAACATTAATATTTTTAGAATTCACTCAAAAGCAACTGTTTTAATGCATTCATAACATTGAGTCTAAAATGGTTTATAAGAGTGTTTCTCAAACTTCAACCATAACCCATTGTGAGAAATACATTTTACACCATGATCTGTACACACAAGCCTCTGCATTTGTGTGTATATATAACTGATATGCATCAGTATACCTCCAGCAAGAAATACAGGCTATTTTCTCTTTTTTTAACTGTGTCATAATCTGCAGTTTAAAAAACATATGATTTTCAGCATTTAAATTCTATGACTTTTTGTACCCTGTTCATATTTTCTCTTCTGTATAATGCAAAAGCTGTTAAAAGTTAAATTTCTACAAGTACATGGCTAATGCCACATATCAAAAACTATACTTGATTACATAGTAGTGTTAGAATGCACACAAAGGTAGAGAAAGGGTGATTACCATCATCAAAAGGCAGGTATTAAAATCTTCTTTTGGTCCTTTGAGAACAAGGGCCTAAGGAACTAGGGACTTGACTAAAGAGAAGAACGGCCATCCATAAAAGTGAAATTCAGGATTCTTGACTTGAGCTTCAGGTAGTGTTAGTTGTACCGAGTTCCATCAAAATGTACTCGAGGGAGTTGGCTATTCCTTGACTTTCCCACAGTGCCTCTGCAGGAGGCTATGCCCAGAGCCTCTGTCCTGGGGAAAATCTCCTCAAATCCTGGATACTAATCCAAGAACAGTATGAAAGTACTGCAAAGTCCACAGTCTGTTTCTTTTAAATACAGAATTCAAGAGGCACAGGGATAATGATCTATTGAAAATGGTTCTCTTTTTTAACAGGTATGAAAAATAAGACTATATCACAGCTGAATTGTAACAGGAATGCTTCTCTGTCAAAACAAAAGTAAGTTCCCCTTTCAAATTTAACTCACAGCAAACAAAGATAAATCAAGTAACTTCAATTACTATTTTAAATGTTCCATGTTCTCATTTGAATGACTATTATGTTAATATGGTTTTAAAAAAGTTATATATGTCATTCAAATGCTGATATTAAACTGAAATCTAATGGTGTCTTTGGATAACGTCTAAATTGTTCGTTAAGATTAATATAATGCAATATGAAGACTATTTTGCTTGTAATTTGTTGAATAAGGTTAGAAATATTATAGGTTTCATTTGATCAAATTTTGTTTATGCATTTGTGAACTTTTAGATAGTCATTAGATGACTTTTCCACAGATTTACAGAAACAGTATGACTTTTTTCTTTTTTTTGGAGACAGAGTCTTGCTCTCTTGCCCAGGCTGGAGTGCAGTGGCATGATCTCGGTTCACTGCAACCTCCACCTCCAGGTTCAAGCAATTCTCCTGCCTCAGCCTCTTGTGTGGCTGGGATTACAGGTGCCTGCCACCGTGCCTGGCTAATTTTTGTATTTTTAGTAGAGACGGCGTTTCACCATGTTGGCCTGGCTGGTTTCGAACTCCTGACCTTGTGATCCATCTGCCTAGGCCTCCCAAAGTGCTGGGATTACAGGCGTGATTTTTAAGTGCTATAAATTTACAGTGATAATTTATTATATTGTTCCTAAGAAATAGACTATTTCAGCTTACAAATATCAAGGTATAAAGGATGATTTGGACAATTATAGAAATGTTTAGGCAGTTTGTAAATAGGTCCCCATGATAGCCCAATAAATTGTGTGCCCTGTCACTTGGCATGTAACATTTAGGATCATGTCCGCTGGTTTGCAGCATTACAGAAGAGGGGAGGGTAAAGAGAGAGAAGGGAGATGAAGGAAACTGCATGGCACGCTATTTTCTGCCAGGACCGCAGCTAGATCCATGACCTGCAACAGCCTGTATCATTTTTCCAGCAACCCTAGGATGTACACATAAGGGTTATTTACAGAAAAGGGAACCCAGGAACTGAGGTGTTAAGAAAACCTGGTGCATGGTCATATTGCTAGCTAGCAATAGAGCCAAGTTTGAAATCCGTGTTTGTCCCATTTTATCACATTGTCCCCTATGCCACAGTGTTTAGCATCCTATCTGGCCTGGGAGACAAGAAACGGCAAGAATAAGGAGCTTGGAATATTGTACATCAAAGTGAAGTTCTTTGTGAAACAAAATTTTATCCTCTCAAGAATTTTGAGTAGGAGTTACCAAAATCCTGTGGAAATTTCTTGCATTAAATGACATTTATGAAATACTTTAAAGGCTATTAAAAACATTTTCCCTACCCCACACCAAATCCCAAAAAAGGTACAGTGTCTAGATTTCCAAATTGGGAATTGTTCTCACTTTGAAAAACGTTTTTCTGAACTTTGTGTTAGGTCTTTAGAGAATGATCTATCACTGACGTTGAATTTGGATCAGAGACTCTCTCTGGGTTCAGATGACGAAGCAGATCTTGTCAAGGAACTTCAGAGCATGTGCTCCAGCAAGTCTGAGTCTGATATCAGCAAGGTGAGCAGTACAAATGGGGGGCATTGAATGGCTCTACTCAACAGCTGGGAGACTTTTGGGGGACCACAATTCCCTAAAAGAAATTCCTTATTGATAGTATGGTTAATGATCCAAATCAAACCATCCCTCACCTTGCTTAGAAAGGCCGTTTCTTCCTAAATATCATTTATACAATAAAGGAGCTCTACTTTGTGAAGCCTGCTTTTCCAAACTCCTCCAAGACCTGAAGTTAAAATTGTATGTTAATTGCATTAGTACAAGTCACATCAATTCATTTGGGCAGCTTTTCTTTTTTATTTTTGGAGATGGAGTTTCGCTCTTGTCGCCCAGACTGGAGTGCAGTGGCGGGATCTTGGCTCACTGCAAGCTCCGCCTCCCGGGTTCAAGCAGTTCTCCCTGCCTCAGCCTCCCAAGTAGCTGGGATTACAGGTGTGTCCCCCACAACGCCTGGCTAATTTTTGGACTTTTTAGTAGAGACAGGGTTTCGCCATGTTGGTCAGGCTGGTCTTGAACTCCTGACCTCAGGTGACCTGCCCGCCTCAGCCTCCCAAAATGCTGGGATTACAAGCGTGAGCCACTGTACCCAGCCTGGGCAGCTTTTTATATAAGCCTAAATTTGAGTTTCCTCAGATATTTTTCCTTTCCACATTCCTAACTTTGGCATATCAGTCATCTATCAGTAAGAAAATTATAACAAGCATCACAGCAGACTTATGTTATAGACCAAGCAACAACTTTCTTTGCAAATGAGAAAAAGAATTAGCTTGTATAATGCATATCATCATAATCTCTAAGCTGTGAAATTTGAGACCAAATATGGAAAACAGTGACCTGAAATCTCACAGAAAACATGGACAGCATCAAGTTCAACCTGTTTTGGCACTCTAGTATCTGCAGCAGGTTTCACCGAGCTGCCTTGATAGATGCCTTATGAGTGGCTGTAACGTTCAGCTTCCCCTGAGACACTCAACTGTATTATTTGAATCGTCATAATATCTACGACAAAGTAGAATTCACTCTTATTTAACTTTGTTGGAAACAAAGTATATATCCACTGGAAAAGTAAGGTAATGATTAAAATCTTGCAAATTTTATATCCTTTCTTTACTTGCAAAGTGCCTTTTTTTTCCCTAGAGAGTTCTTCTGGTCTTCTTTTGACGTTTTAAGTGGATTCTTTTTCCTTAGAGGATGTTTCTCATGCATTTGCTGTCAGTTTTACATTAAGACTTGAAGTCTTTCTTTCATGTGAACAGTTCAGGACTTGAGGGGCAGGGAAGAGGATAAGAGTAACACTTCTGCTGTGATTTCTCCACCATTTAGCTGTGCCTTGAGTATGCACAGTGTGACTGTGGAGACATGACCGGGCAAATTCTGTATTTTCTAGATTGCTGATTCCAGGGATGATTTAAGGATGTTTGATAGTTCTGGAAACAACCCTGTACTTTCAGCAACTATTAATAATCTGAGAATGCCAGTGTCACAAAAGGTAAGTGTCCCTTTCTCCCCAAAGTGAACAAAGGATGATTGCTGTGGAATTGACTTCACAAATCATCTTTCAGTGTGAATCACAGAGTTATTTTTTTAAACCAAAGCTAAGAACTGAGAAATAGGATAAAGGTAAAAGTGTTCATTAGGTTTTAGAAAGAGTACTTATAGAATATTTTGGAAAAAAATGACATAGGAAAGCATTACTTTTTTCCCTTCAATTTGATTCCAAAATTTTGGGTGTCTGTTGAGATCTCCATGTTTTTTTTTTTTTCATTTTATATGACAAAACTAGAAATATTGTAGTTCTGCCTTATCCTCAGGTGATGCCTGAAATCTAAGATAGTACCAAAGTTTATATACACTATATTCCTTCAATCCGATAACCTAGAGGGCTACTAAGTGGTCAGTGTGTGGGTAATGTAGACAGAATGAATAAGTTGATTCACATCCAGGGCAGAACAGAGTAGGATGGTGCAAGATTTCATCATGCTACTTAGAATGGCCTGCAAATTTATGAATTGTGTATTTCCAGATCACAGAAAACAAAATTGTGGATGCGGGGGTACTAAGGTAACAAAACTGTCATCTTGGTTGTTCCTAAGGTTTCCTGCATTTTAGAAAATTAGAGTTAATTATAACAAAACAAAGCACTGAGTGATAACATAAAGGTCTTATACATTGCAAAAAAAAAAAATCTCAATTTTATTTCATCCTGACTTTCCATAACATGCATTACATTTCAATGAGACTTTAAAAATAAGTCTGAATGGCAACTAGAAGAACCAGGATTCCAGTAGACTTCCTTAACCTTTTGAAATAGCTTCCATGACTACAGCACTGCACCATTATCAGTTGGTTAATAAATGGCAAGAGCTGGCACAGCATGGTATTCCTGGGTGAGCAGAAACAATGAGAAATGTCTCACTCATTAGTTGTGAGGATGCAGACTTCACAGAAGCACTTTGTAATATATGGTTTGTTCACCAAACCATGTTGATTGATTGTAAGCCACCTTGGGAGTAGATGAGAACGGCAAAGACCTGTGTGTGGGTGGGAAGGTGGGGCGCAGAGAGCAGGATTATAAAGTAAGCATGGTGAGACTATTAAGTTATTAAGCTTTATCTGATCACCTAGCGGCACTGGGCCCCACAGCCCCGCTCCCTCACTGCTTCATTAAGTTTTGATCCTGGCTATTACATGTGGAACTATGTGAGCTGCATGCATTGGGAGAGCAGGTATGGGAGTGGGAATTTACACGGCTGGGGGCTCTAATACAAAATATTTAACATGATGTCCTGTGAAGAAAAGCATGGCTTTCAAGCTCACTCTATCATAATGTCTGCCTTTTTTTGTTCAACTGGGAACAATTTAGAAGCCCAGCAAAATTTGGAGGATGACCTAAGAAGGTGACCTGGAGTCAGCACTGAGCCTTCTGGTTGGAAAACAGTCTAGGGCCCATCCCTTTGCTATCTTTAAAGCCTCAACTCACTCCCCCTGTATTTATTGGCTTGCTCTGAGCTGTGCTTGACTGGACGCCAGTCTCTAGGACCCAAGAATTTAGGATTCCTTGTGGAACATCGTCAGTGGAAGGGGCCAGGAGGATCTTAGCAAGAGGAACAGTGAACCACCTTCCCCATAAGCCCAAATCACTTTCTTGTGTAAAAATAGAGAATGGCTGCTGCTTAAATGTCTAATAAAGAAACAAACATTGTCATACCCCTATTTCTCTGTCACATGACCATATTGAGTTGCTACAATAAGGTACTGTCCACAAAAAAAAAGTAGTACTGAAAGTCAAAGTTCTGGGCAGCTTTGTTTAAGATATTTTTTAAAGCGAGTCCTTTTATACTATCTGGGCTCTTATACAAAGAAAAAAAAACTATGTTATTGTTTAAATGTGCAATTTGATGTGGGAATTAGGACCGCTGCCTCCTAGTCTTCTCTCCCTTTGCCCACTGAAGACACTTATTTGGAGGGACTCTTCCCCAAGAGCTAGATGATGTTTTTCTCAGAAAGTGCCAGCAGAGGGCAAAGTGGTACTTACTGTTGGCAGCCTTCTGAAACCTTGACTGGCTGATGCCTTTTCTCTTCTCCTACTCAGCTGGTATTTCTGGGTTAGATGCCCAGTTTCTTCTGTTATCAGGAAGTATCTCCATTTAGAGGTAAGAGTTTCCTGGGTTAGTTGAAATCACTTTCTCCTTCATGGCCAGAAGGCTGGCAATGCCTCCATTGAAGAGGGGCCCTGCAACCATCATTATCTGTTGGAAAACAAAAATGAGTAAGTTATCTTTATTATTTGCAACAATATAACTCCTCACTGCTCTAACAGTAAGGGAGAGTAATTGGGTTTACTAATCAAGTGGCATTTAGCAGGCCTTCTGAATTAAAAACAAATATACATATTTAAATCAACAGGAAGAACAAATGTTAATAAATGTTTTCCTTTTATGTAAATCCAAACTAATCCTCTGAAAGGACAAGTTCACATCTTTGGTTGCATGATGAAATCCACTTGAGGCTTCTTTTTTTTTTTTTTTTTTAACTTCAGGGCCTGGACTCTAGTCTGAGGGGAAGCCTGGACAATGGGTTTTTTAAAGGTCCCTGGTGATTCTTACATGCATCCAGGGTTGAGACCCACTGTTCTAAAACATAGCCCTGATCTGTCATCTTCATTTTCCACCCATTTCTTTCTTTCCAAATATATCTTTAGAGGGATTGAGATGCCTTCATGTAGCTTTTCACATGTTCCTTTTTTACATGTAATTTACTACTTCCCTCTGTACTCCTCCCCATAGAACCTTCTCTCGTCACAGTCCTGTGCCTCTTTAAAGACTCACCCCCAATGCCACCTTCCCTACATGTTGTTCTTTTCCTCCTGCCCCTAACTTTCCCATCTAGAGGAATTACAATATCTTCTTAGCTTCTAGTAGATGCTGTGTATTGAATGAATTGCTCTGATTTACCAATTCTTTAAGGCTAAATAAAACTTACTTTAGGTCAGTGCCTTTCTACACAAATTAGTTTTTGAGTTTAACATGCACAGCAATATGGATAGTAAACGTTATACATTTAATACAGATAATTCGGGGGTTTTAGCCCAGGAAGCATTAAACACCTGTAACTCTCCTGCTCCTAAACTCCGCTGCCCCCTAGGCTTGACTTCCAGGGTGTCAGGAGCACTTTTCAGGCAGGATGCTGTGCATTGGTCACCTGCTCTATTCTTGCACTCCTGGCCTTGAATTGCTGTGGCTCACGCTAAGCCCAAGTGATTCTCCATGTTCTCATCCTAACTCCTTCCATTCTAGCCTCACACTTCCAGGGACTGACCAAACTACATGTTTTTAGTTGTTCTGGGTACTTCTCAGTACTTTATTTCATGTGGATATTTCCTGCCTCAGACCATGAAGGTACACTCCCCTCACCATCATGTTGCAGGTACAGAAACAGACTAGAACAGTGTATGTCTCCTTTCCTTCCTCTGGGCCATGGCATTAATTAACTCTGTAGATTTGACAATAATGGCAAAATTAAACAACTCCCCTCACCACCAGATTCTGTATAGCAACTAACTGTTATCCTTATTATAATGCCATATTTCATGTTTTCTGAATACTACGTATGTGTTGCATTTGCTGGTGTTTTAAACCAAATTACAAGTTCTAATTGGCCTTAGTAGGCCCATGACCAAGTCCCATTTTGCGGACTTAACAGTAATTTCTTGTTAGGAAAAATGAGATTGGATCCTGGTACCTGCACTGTTTTTACAGTTGTGACTATCACCATCCAACTCATGACAAGCAATGTAACTTCTCATTTTCTTTCTGGTAACTTGACAGCATAAGCATCTTTACAAAACAAAAGCAGAACATACTAAGCAGATTCGCCCTTAACATACCATCAAGTACACATGGAGGTGACGAGGATGGACTAGGATGTGTTCCCTCACCAGATGTAGCTCAGCCTTTTTCCAGGCTTCCTCGGACGTAGTTAAAACCGAGCCCATCTGTTTTTTGTTTTATCAGGAAGCTCTTGCCTTTCTAAGCTAGCTTCTTGCAGTCTAGACTTCTCTTTCCTTTCCCTGTAAATGCAGGTGGCCTGGACCCCAGATTTGTCCCCTCTTTATTCTCCATTACATATTTGTTGTTTCAGTGTTTTTATATTTTCCCAAACCACTAGCCAAGTATATATTAGAGTTACATTGCTGTTCCACTTAAGATTAGCTGAGTCTGAAAATCTGACCCCAAGAGATTTCACTTTGGTGATTTAGGGGTAGTTTAATGAACATGTTGTGTTGGGCTTTAAAGAATTAGGACTTTAACAGGGAAGTAAAGGAAAAATAGGATTTAAAGGGGATTGGAGCCAAACTTTAAAAGAACTTTAGTGACATGCCAGTTAGTGAGGACTTATCCTTTACCTTCCTATTCACACAAACACAGCCATAATTCTCTGCCCATTTTGTGGGTAACATTGGATTAGGTTGGTGAGGAGAGAGAGAAAGGCAGCTGCTAAAGATAACTGAGGATTTCCTGCTAAATTCACTGGGAGAGCAGCATTAGCCAGTAATGAGCCAAGCGGAAAGGCTTTAGAAATTAGTATTGAAGAAATGCAATAAATACAGTTTTAGAAAGAATTTGAAGTGTGGCTAGACATATAGGTGAATTAGTGGGGTGGAAATGCAGGAGATAAATGAGGGCTAAAGAAAGAACTTTGGGAAATACTTAGAGCTTGAAATACTCTGAAGGGAAAGATTATCAATGTGTGACTTATAGAGGGCTAAGAAAAATGCTACCATTTAGGACAGCAGTCCCCAGCCATTTTGGCACTGGAGACTGGTTTCGTGGAAGACAATTTTTCCACGGACCTGGGTAGTTTCCGGATGAAACTGTTCCATCTCAGATCTTTAGGCATTAGATTCTCGCAAGGACTGGGCAACCTAGACCCCTCACTTGCACAATTCACAAGAGGGTTTGTACTACTATGAGAATCTAATGCTGCTGATCTGACAGGAGGCGGAGCTCAGGTGGTAATACTGGCTCGCCCCCGCTCACGTCCTGCTGTGCTGCCCAGTTATTAATAGGCCATGGACTGGTCCACAGCCTGTGGCTTGGGGACCCTTGATTTAATTG
This sequence comes from Homo sapiens, assembly GCF_000001405.40. Lineage (NCBI taxonomy): Eukaryota > Metazoa > Chordata > Mammalia > Primates > Hominidae > Homo > Homo sapiens. The sequence goes on along the minus strand of NC_000007.14, from coordinate 117,712,889 downwards.
CTCAATGGAGAAAAAGGATAGTGAGGAGTTAAGCTAGGCGTTCTTTGGCCGCAAGATTTTTTAAAATCGTATGTCCATGCCACACCCCAGAACTATTAAATATGAATCTCTGGTAATAGGGCCCAGCCAATGACTATTAAAGCTCCCCCAGGTGATTCCAATGTCATATAAGACGATACCCAGGAGAATGCAACTGCCGCAACTGCCAGATGAAGCCAGATTTTTCCTGTTAAATTTTAGTTTTGTTTTAAATTCTTGTAATGGTTATATTGCTGTTGGGTGCATTATTACTTTTGAAGAGGAGAAGTTATCAAGGTCAACTCCTTCAGAGGCATTCAGAGTAGGTCACTTAGTAGGAGTCATGTCATGTTTGTTAGTTTGCAGAATTTAATGCAATATAGGGAAAATACCTTGAGTGAAAGTTGGGAGACCTGAGGTCTTGTCCCAGCTTCACCACTCCGTTCACTGTGGGCAAATCATCTTACCTATCCAGCTCTCAGATTCTTCATGGGCAAAATGAGAGACATTGACCAGGTAATCACAGGATTTCTGAAACATTAGAGAAATGAGAACATGCAGCTTCCAAGTATGGAAGATCTTGAGTGGCCTAACCATAGATGAATGTAGGTTCTGCTAGGGAAGGAATGTTTCTCTTATGTTTTCTCCTATATGCCCCCAGATTATTTGATTATTGAGTAATAGTTCACTTTTAAGACTTGAAAGTAGAAAGCAGAAAAGTTAGGTGATTTACCCAAGGTGACATAGTTTGTAGAGCTACCTACAAATGGGACTACTCCAATTTGGTGATTTCCTCATGCCTGTAATTTTGTGAAGTTTCTGTTGGTAAGGAGATCGACGCCTTAGCACTTGATTCACTGACTCCTGTATTTAGGAATTTTGTAACAGCAGATGGATTAATGAAAATCATGCAGTAAGTCTATAGGAAATTAATTACTCAGCTTCTCCTCTCCATTTTCTTTTGATTTTTCACGAGAACCTATAGTTTTAGAGAGAAACTCCTGTACATTTGCTCAAAGAGGAGGCAGGGGTAGGGCTCATAACAGGAGAAGTTTGTGATAAACTTGTGTGGTTTCTTGTCTCTTACAGGAGGTCAGTCCTCTCAGCAGCCATCAAACTACTGAATGCAGCAACAGTAAATCAAAGACTGAGTTGGGTGTTTCAAGAGTTAAATCTTTTCTTCCTGTTCCTAGAAGTAAAGTCACCCAGTGTTCCCAGAACACCAAAAGAAGCAGCAGCAGCAGTAATACAAGGCAAATAGAAATCAACAACAACTCAAAAGAAGTGAATTGGAACTTACACAAAAATGAACACCTAGAAAAACCTAACAAATAGGCCTGCCTACAATATTCTCATTATTAACTTCCTCTATTTCACACAGAAACCAAGGACAACAAGATACAAATACCTTTAAATTGATAAAATGTTTTCACTGTAATATAAATTATGAGTGCGGGACCACTATTCAATTTTTTTTTGTAAAGAATGTATTTATAACCAACATTTTGTTGCTTTTTTTTTTAATTCTGTAGGATTGAACTTCAATACCAGGAAGTTATGCCAACTTTTCAAGTAGTTTTATAATAGAAAAATTGTAATAGTTTTAATCAAGATGTTCAGGGGTATTAAAACAGAACTGTGTACTGTATATCTGTATATATGTATATATGTATGTATATTTAAGGAAGTCCAGAAATCATACTGCATACATGCTACAAAAAAGTAGCAAAAAAGTACAAAGTTGGCTTAGATAACTTGTACCGTTTTAAATGGAGATCATAATTTTATGTTCACTTGATGGGGAATGACTAGAATGGGGCAATAACAAATCATTTCTAAACAGTTATTTTCCATTAAAAGCCATATTAAGTATTTTGCTTGTTAAATTCTAGTTTTATGTTTTAAATCTCTTAGTGGTTACATTGCCATTTGGTAGCATCATGTATATATTTATGCTTATAAGTTTGCATTATGACTCCTGTAAAATATGAAATTATAATGCAATAAAAGTGTTATCTTTCTTACAAAAGTTTTGTACCTAAGTGGATATAGATAACTGCATAAATGAATAAATTCAGAATTAACTCCTTCAATATTTCTAGTAGCACAACTGATAATATTGATATTTTCTACAAATGTTACTTCTAAAATTACAGACAAAATTACTTACACAATTCAGTTAAGATGCTTTGACACTGAATAAAATATTGATTTCATGAAATCATTTTGCTGTACTTTTTATCTATAGCTCTTTGTAGTCTCTGTAACAGATAATTTGTGTTCAATTTATCAATGCTCATAAAACTTGCCCTCCCATGTTAGTATTTCACTAGCTGTTCACAACAAGACTCAACCCTAATTAGAAACATCTTAAATACTTAAATGGAGCACCAGGAATTGGGTGCTCAGAGTTAAAACACCTTCCTTTTTTTTCATAAATACCAAAGAAGTATGATTTTGTACCAAGAATCATTTACTTGTCCAAAGTCATTGAAAGCCTTTTTTTCGCCAGAATGGTTATTTACAATGAAGTGTACATACCTGCATTGTATTGCTGTTACAAAACTGCACATACCTTAAAAATAACAATATGTAGTAAAGATTATGTCACTGATCTTGAGAACAAAACTGAATGCTGTCAAAATCATAGATCATATCTAGATTCAGGTGGCTCTAATGTGGTTTTTTTCCTGCTCACATACACCTGCTTAGATTATATCTAATTTGATTTGTTAGTGATAAGGCATTGTGTTTTATATTAGCAGCTTTTCTGAAGATAAAGATCCCATTAGTGTACTCAAGGACTAGAGGTGAGAAAACAAAACCATTTTTGGAATACATTATTAAGATGACTTGTAGTAATTGATCCATGTGACTGTCAGTAACATTCAACAAATGCACTTTTTGTAATTGAGGGCAGACTGCAAGATGTCTAAAAAGGACATTTAGAACACGGCTTTCAAATACAGGTATAATACCAGTGGGTCATTATAGCAATTTAGTGAGTTACAACTAGCATTAAAAATTAGAAAATGTCAGAGTCATCTTTTATTGTCTCACAGTCAATACAAGAACTGTTGGTGAGACTTTTGTTTCTATCGTGGATGTAGGAATGTATGTATATGTGACACAAAATATAACTGGGTCATGGTCAAATATCTTTGAGAGTCAATACCCTATCATGGCACCTAGTGTTGGCAGTTCTTAACTGCATTACTTAAGTGGAGGCTGCATTGAGGGGTCATATAGTCTTTGGTGGTAAACAGCCTTGGGGATGAATTAAGCACTGCCATTTATTAGCTGTGTGGCATGAGACAAGTTAATCTTTTTTTTTTTTTTTTTTTTTTTTTTAAGATGGAGTCTCTGTCACCCAGCTGGAGTGCAGTGGTGCAATATCAGCTCACTGCAACCTCCACCTCCCAGATTCAAGCGATTCTCCAGCCTCAACCTCCAAGTAGCTGAGATTGCAGGCATGCACCACCACGCTCAGCTAATTTTTTATTTTTAGTAGAGACGGGGTTTCACCATGTTGGCCAGGCTGGTCTTGGACTCCTGACCTCAAGTGATCCACCTGCTTCGGCCTCCCAAAGTGCTGGGATTAATTACAAGCATGAGCCACTGTGCCTGGCACATCTTTTCTATTACGTTTTCTCTGTAGTTAAAAAAACCTACAGGTTGTCCATGAGTGTTAGATAACGCAGTAAAGCCTTCCTAGTTGCCTCACACATTCATAAAATAAGTAATCAATATCTCAGAACTTTTTATGGTATTCTATATGAAGCAAATTTTAAGGATCAGAAGTTGGAGCAATACAATAACAGTAGGAGACTTCAATATCCCGCTTTCAACAATGGACAGATCATCCAATCGATATGGAAATATTGAACTTAAACTACACTTTAGACCAAATGGACATAGGTATATACAGAACATTTCTTCCAACAGCAGAATATATTCTTCTCAAGCACACACAGAACATTCTCCAGGATAGGTCATTATTAAGCCACAAAACAAGACTTAGCTTTAAGAAGATTGAAATCATATCAAATATCTTTTCTGACCTATGGTATGAAATTAGAAATCAATAAGAAATTTCAGAAAATTCAATAATATATGAAAATTAACATGCTTAACTACCAATGGATCAATGAATAAATTAAAAGGCAAATTTAAAATGTCTTGAGACAAAAATGGAAACACCATACCAAACCTTACGGGGTGCGGCAAACCAGTTTTATGAGGGAAGTTTATAGTAATATACATTAAAAAAGGACAAAGATCCAAAATAACCTAAATGTCATACCTCAAGACATTAGAAAAGCAATCCCATTACTGGGTATATACCCACAGGATTATAAATCATTCTACTATAAAGACGCATGCACAAGTATGTTTATTGCAGTACTGTTCACAATAGCAAAGGCTTGGAACCACCCCAAATGCCCACCAGTGACAAACTGGATAAAGAAATGTGGCACATATACACTGTGGAATACTATGCAGCCATAAAAAAGGATGAGTTCATGTCCTTTGCAGGGACATGGATAAAGTTGGAAACCATCATTCTCAGCAAACTAACACAGGAACCAAACACCGCATGTTCTCATAAGTGGGAGTTGAACCACGAGAACACATGGACACAGGGAAGGGAACATCACACACCAGGGTCTGTCGGTGGGTGGGGGGCTAGGGTAGAGAGAGCATTAGGAGAAATACCTAATGTAGATGACGGGTTGATGGGTGCAGCAAACCACCATGTCACGTGTATAACTATGTAACAAACCTGCACATTCTGCACATGTATCTCAGAACTTAAAGTATAATAATAATAAAAAAAAAGAAAACAAGGACAAACTAAGCCCAGAGTTAGAAGAAAGGAAATAAAGATCAGAGCAGAACATTTTTAAAAAGTTATGGCATTCCAAATCTTTTCAAATTGTAATAATTCACAGATGCTGGCAACTATATTATGAAAATTGGATTTTAAACCATGAGTGTATAAAATAATTCATAGAAATATCTAACTGAAAATAACTATAACACTTTAGCAATTTTCAATTTCATTCTATTTTAAGAGTTTCTCCAAAATAGACTAATACATTTTGTAGTTGTTTATGTAAAAAAGAAAACAAGTAGACTATAAAAGCTAGTTATTAGAAGTAGCCAATTTGGATAGACAAGGTCAATTTTTCACAAATACAGTTTTTGTGAGCAGTTAATCCTTAGTGAACATTAAATTCAGTTGACTAGCCCCAGGCATCACTTTAGGCATCACCTTATTTAGGCATCTGTTCTTAACAACTAAGACCCATTAAAGAAAAGTCACTCTCTGAAGTAATGCGATGCTTTCTAAATTCTATCCCATCCCTTTGCAAAATCATTTTATTCAGATAACATTCTACAGGTGTCAAAGGAGGAAATGAGTGAATAGATATCCTCTATTAGCCTGGATTTGACCATGAATATGTATGTTTAGTTGTGTATCAGGATGCCCATTGAGTGTTAATTTGAAAGAGAAGACTGGGAAACACACTGAGAAGGAATGTGCAGTTACTTGCCATATCTAGTCTGTCTTTCATAGTGAAGCACTCATATCAGGAGTTGCCAGCTCAGGTTCTGGCCACAGAGCTAACTACAATGACACTTAACATCTCTGGCTTTAATGTCATCATGGTAAAAATTCAGAAGGTTTTTCTGCCTCCTAGAAAGAAAAACACAATGGAAAAATAAAAAATCCTGCAAGTTTTTCCAGTATATCCTGATACCTTATAGTAAGGGCATCAGCTATACATATCACAAAAGTCATTTCAGTTGTAATTTAAGGAAATCGAGAATATATTTCTCCTAAGCTAATTCAAATATTCACATCTACTCAGAGTGGCTTCAAACCTTACTTATTCATTAAAGTAATATCGTGCTAGGGACTAGGAATAAAGCATTAAGACATGCCAGGCATTTTCCATCTTAATAGGGCTGAGACAGTGAGTAAATAAACAAAGCAAGATAATTTTTCATTGTGTATGTTCTATAAAGGAAATCAGTATAGTGATGTATTAATAATACAAAGCACTTGGTAAAGATCATGGAAGGAGGATTACTTTAGAGCAGAATGGTTCAAGAAACGGTCTTCAGGGATCAGGGTATGTAGCAGCCAGGGTAAACAGCACTGGCAACTCTTCTTATGGAAAAATAGACAAGTGAGATTAAATTACATTAAATTAAAAAGCATCACACAGCAAAGGAAACAATCAACAGAGTGAAGAAGGAACCTACAGAATGGAAGAACATTTTTGCAAACCACATAGCTGATAAGGATTAATATCCAAAATATATAAAAAGTCAACTCAATGGCAAGAAAACAACCCAATTAAGTGGGCAAAAGACCTGAATAGATATTTCTCAAGAGAAGGCAACAGGGATATGAAAAAATGCTCAACATATGAATCATCAGGGCAATGCAAATTAAAACCACAAGGATATGTCACCTCACACCTGTTAGAATAATCATTATCGAAAAAGATGAAAGGTAACAAGTGTTGGAGAGGATGTAGAGTGGCCCCTTGTACACCGTTGGTAGGTATGTAAATTAGTACAGCCATTATAAAAAACAGTATAGAGGTTCCTTTAAAAATTAAAAATAGGTTGGGCATGGTGGCTCATGCCTGTAATCTCAGCACTTTGGGAGGCTGAGGCAGGCAGACCACAAGGTCAAGAGATCAAGACCATCCTGGCCAACATGGTGAAATCCCATATCTACTAAAAATACAATAATTAGCTGGGTGTGATGGCATGCACCTGTAATCCCAGCTACTCAGGAGGCTGAGGCAGGAAAATTGTTTGAACCTGGGAGGCAGAGGTTGCAGTGAGCCAAGATTGCATCACTGCACTCCAGCCTGGCAACAGAGCGAGACTCTGTCTCAAAAAATAAAAATTAAAAAAAAAAGGAAAAAGAAAAAGAAAAATAGAACATAGGATCCAGCAATCATACTACTGGTAGGGCTATTTCCAAAGGAAATGACGTCAGCGTGTCAAAGAGATTATCTGTACTCCCATGTTTACTGTAGCACTATTTACAACTTCCAAGATATGGAATCATCCTCAGTGTCCATCAACAGATGAGTGGATAAAGAAAATATGGCATACATACAAAATGGAATGCTATTCAGTCTTAAGGAAATCCTGTCATTTGTGACAACGTGGATGAACCTGGAGGACATTATGATAAGCAAAATAAGTCAGGCACAGAAAGACAAATACCACATAATCTCACTTACGTGGTAGAATCTTTAAAAAATATGAACTCATAGAAGTAGAGAGTAGAATGGAGAGGAGATTGGGAAGGTATTGCTCAAAGGGTACACAATTTCAGTTAAAGGCTAGGCATGGTGGCTCACACCTGTAATCTTAGCACTTTGGGAGGCTGAGGCAGGTGAATCTCCTGAGCTCAGGAGTTTGAGGCCAGCCTGGGCAACATGGCAAAACCCCATCTCTACAAAAAATACAAAAAAAAGTAGCCAGGTGTGGTGGTGTACACCTGTAGTACTAGTTACTTGGGAGGCTGAGTTGGGAGGATGGCTTGAGCCCAGGAGGTGGAGGTTGCTGTGAGCCAAGATCATGCCACTGCACTCTAGCCTAGGCAACAAAGCCAGACCCTGTCTCAAAAAAAAAAAAAAAATCAGAAGGGAGAAATAAGTTCAAGAGATCTATTGCACATCATGATGACTATGGTTAATAATAATATATTGGCCATGCACAGTGGCTCATGCCTGTAATCCCAGCACTTTGGAAGGCTGAGGGGGGTGGATTATCTGAGGTCAGGAGTTCTAGACCAGCCTGGTTGATATGGTGAAACCCTGTCTTTACGAAAAATACAAAAATTAGCTGGGTGTGGTGGCGGGCACCTGTAATCCCAGCTACTTGGGAGGCTGAGGCAGGAGAATTGCTTGAACCCAGAAGGCAGAGACTGCAGTGAACTGAGATCGTGCTACTGCACTCCAGCCTGGGCAACAGAGCGAGACTCTGTCTCAAACAATAATAATAATAATGTACTATATTTTTGAAAATCTCCAAATCTACAGATTTAAAGCAATCCTAACCAAAATCTATGCAGGAATTTTTGTTTTTAAGAAGTCAACAAGCTCTTTAAACACATTTCTTCCCTTTTAATCGGGATTTTTTGGTGTGTCTTCTTGGTTTTCTGAAATAAAAATAGCACACAGATATTCAAGTCACTCTGACTTAGAGCCGAATTTTTTCTATGGTGACCACCCATTGATTGGGGGCCTTTTATTCTCTTTAGGAAGAGAAAACAGCCTGACCAAGTTTATTTGACTTTCAGACCTCTGTGCTAAGGGACCTAAACAATGATCTATTTTCTTCCTAACAAGTCCTTCAGGGGGTATTTATGTCCAAATATAATAATATTTCCACCAAAATATTTTTAAGGAAGAAGCATTGTGAGTTGGTTTTATCAAACGAGTTTATTATTCAGAACTTCCTGACAATTTACTTTACCTGGGCATTTTCAAGATTGGCTTTGTGAGTAATGAAATTGGAACTAGTGTAATATGCAGCCTCTGTGTGGTGTAATTTGAGAGGCAAGGTGTGGTGTTCCTGCTACGCTATCCTTCTCTTATTTCTGAATTACATTATTAGAATGTGATATCTTACATATTTTGTGATATGGTAAATAGAGAATTGAAGTAGTGAAACTCCTCCCTGTTCTGCCGGTGAGTGATTTGTGTCATTGACCATGTGACACTTTCCTGGGCCTGGATTTTTAACTTGGAACTAAGATAACTTCTAACTCCAGAATTCTTTGCTTCTGTAATTCATCAGGCACATCTCAAATAGTTGAGATTTCTTTTCCTGCCCAAATGCTGAGGGAATGGAATCAGAATCCTGCATTTAGTTAGAGGGAAGGGATCAGATACAATTGAGGAATGGGGGCCTTTAAGCTCAGGCGATGCCCCCAGGTGCATGTTGTTATGTGGGGGGTAGTGACCAAGGACCTGCTGGAACCGAAGTGGGGAGCAACAAAGCCAAGGAAATGGGCCAAAAGCCGGAAAAGTGGACACGAGTGCAAAAAAGCAACACAGGCTGAAGATGAGCATTTTGGTAAAGAGACATTTCATTTGGCTAGTCCTAGCTGAGTCCAGGAACTTTAAGGGGAAAAAAAATGTTCCAAATATTTACTACCAACCAAACCCTGTCAGCTGCTTGAAGGCGAAGTCTATTCATACTTTACTCATTTATTTTGGCTTCCAATACCTAGTACTATCATATACAAGTACTATAGGAGATATATGTTTGACAAGAACTATAAAAATATGATCATCATGATATAATGGTGGTGTCCTAGCCTAACCAAGAACCCATTTCAGTTCAAGTTCCTCTCAATTAAATTTGTGAGTTTCTCACTCTCACCACCTCTGTCACCACCACCGGTATTTACATGTCTATTATGTAGGCTTTTAGAACTCTTGCGGTCACATTGCATGGAGTAAGTGGATAATAGGAGGGCAAAAAACAAAGAAATAGAACTGGCCCTGTGGAAAGTGGGCAATCAGCCAGCAAACAATATATTCTCAGAGGTCCTGAACATCCAGACAGGGCCTCTTGCAGTGGTCTCTCTCTCTGGACACTGGCCTGCACCCATGGATTAGCTTCTCTCTTGAACCATGTCTTCTAATAATCCCCAGTATTTGGGTTTTGGCATTACCCAACCCCTTTTTTGATCTTCCTTTCCCACCTCCATCATTTCATACCCACCGAACCCCTTCTGCCTTGCAGAAGGTGCTTGGGTTCCTTTGATGCTTATGTTCTAGTCTCTCTCAAGAGTGTCTTCAAAATACTTTAGCCAGGCTACAGAATTTGAATACTTATTTAACCAACAAGATCGTAATTCTAACTTCCAGTAAGCTGACTGTCAAGTTACTAATTTCTGACATTTATTACACTAATTAGCAAAGGCTGTAATGTCAATCAATAATAAAGTTAGAGAAGTGTTTGTGGTAGCTGCCTCAGCATTCCTCTTTAGAATGCTAGCTGACCACTGCTGGGGCATGGATTTTTAATTAGGAAGTACTAAGTGATAAAGAGAAAATCTTAAACGTAGCCAGAGAAAAAGGCATGTTACAGGAAAGAATGACTTCTGATTTATCATAAACTGTATTCTGCAGAAGAAAATCAAATATTTCTGAAGTGCTGGAAGAAAATCAAGTATTTCTTAAGTGCTGGAAGAAAAACACTGTCAACCTAAAAACTTTATCTAGTGAAAATATCTTTCTAAAACAAAGGTGAAACACAGGAGAGGAAAACACATGATCATTTCAATACAGGCAGAAAAACATAAGACAAAATTTAACATTCATTTGTGATTAAAAAATAACTCTCAGCTGACCAGGAAGAGAAGGCACTTAACTTGAAAAGTACATCTGTAAAAAACAAACAAAATGAACACAGCTAACATTATGTTTGCCCCTGAGATCAGAAATATGACAAAGATGACCACTTTTGCCTCCTCTAGTCATCATTGTACGTGAGATTCTAGCTAGTATAAATAGACAAGATAAAGAAAATTAAAGTTTGCATGGTGAAAAAGTAGTAAAACTTTTTTTGCAGATGTGATTGATGTTATAAAAATTAAGGAACCTAAAAGTAAGCAACTAAAACTAATAAATAAGTTAGTAAGGTCCTAAGATACAAGATCAATATATAAAAATAAATTGTAATTCCACATACTAGCAAACTGTAATTTAAGATATTTATAATAGCATCAAAATTAAGAAATATCTATGGGTACTTTAATAAAATATATAAGATGTGTACACTGTAACCTAAAAAACATGGAGATGTACCATGTCAATGGATGAGAAGGATCAATATTTTTAAGATGTCAATTCTCCCCCAAATAATTCATAGATTCAAAGCAATCTCCTTTGATGGTTTTTGATAACCTTTGCAGAAGTTGCAAAAAAACTTCCGATTTTTTATAAAAAATAATAAGCTGAACCTAAAATTTATATGGAAATATGAAGGATATAAAATAGCCAAAACAATTTTGAAAAAAATAAAGTTGTAGAATTGGCATTAACAGAAAATACTTACTATAAAACTACGGTAATTAAGATAAGGTGGTACTGGCATAAGGACAAATGTACAGATCCTGGAACAGAATAGAGTTCAAAAATAGACCCACTCACACATGCTTATTTTTTTTTATAAAGTGCCAAAGTTGTTCCATGGAGAAAAACAATCTTTACAACAAATGATGCTGAAACAGTTGTATTATCAATAAATACCAATAAAAGAAAACTCCAATCCTTAATTTATAACATATATAAAAATCAACTCAAAATGGATGGTAGAGCTAAGCAGAAGAGCCAAAATTATACACCTTCTAAAAAATAGGAAAAAGCTTTTACCTCAGATTAGACAAGATGTCTTAGGACACAAAACACTAACAGTTGAATTTGCCTCCTGGCAACTCAAGCCACATCTAGAGAAGCTGATGAGATGCTTGGATGCCTCAACTTTTGCATTATTGAGAAATTCAAACCAAATAAGCCCCAGCTTACACAAGACAACTCTCTCTCCAGCCACACTACTCCACCACATAAAACCCCAAGTCAATTCTCCCTCCCTGTTCTCTCAATCCATTTTTAGACTTGCTTGGGAGCCTGGCCTGTTTTTCTCAGAAGACCTCATTATATGAATAATAAAATTGTTAATACCATCTTGAGGTGTATGTGTATATGTATGTGTGTATTTGTGTCATCATTAGCATTGATATCTGAACCAAATTTTGGATGTGCAGTTCTAACTTCCTCTGTGGAATGACCACAACACTATCTTCCTTCCCATCCTTTGAGACACTAAATATTATTTTATACCTCACTTAATCCTGTAAATACTTATAAGTATCTTGGCCTTTAAACCTAATATTTATCCAACATACTTGAAAAGCATTACTCTGCCAACTAAACCTTCATACAATGTTCACAACTGGGCAGTCACGTCAGTCTTGTGGTTTGTATTTATTTATTTATTTATTTATTTCAGCACAAGCCTACACCCTGTTAAGACCACATCTACCAACTTCCCCATTCATTACAGCATTTGCACAGCCAAGATGGATCATTTTGTTTCTTCTCATGCCTTTCTTGACAGATGTACTTCATCATCTCTTTAGACTTTTCAAAAATGAAGCCCAGAATCATAGAATTATACAGTACCTTGGGGGCAGACTTGAGATTAGTCATTTGAATGTCTGCCTTCTAATTTCAAATCAAGCCACATTTCCCATCGGATATTGTCAACCTGTATATTGTAGAATCTAACCGGTATAGTCTCTTTAAAGACTCATCAACAGACTTATGCTTTAGGGGACACCATTTATATACATTTATATAGAATTCCATATGAATAATACCTCCCTTCGACTGAGAAAAGTGTCCACCTTCCCAGAGTATCTATCACTCATGAACAAGCTGAAAAAAGAGTCTACCCTAAATTAAAAAGTTATTGCTTTAAAACCTCAGGTGAGTGACTTATCTATGCCAAAGTCAAGATGCACATTGCCAAATATCACACAGATGAAGTATACAAGTTTCATAAGACTTCTAGAACAGTCATAATTCTTGAATTTTGAATTGGTATCTAAGTCTCAAACTTCTTCAGGGCACTTAGGTATTTGCCTTTTTATTGAAAATTTTTATAAAAATTAAACACTTTTAATACCCAAAGCAAGAATCTCTGAGGAAACTCATATGCCACACCCAAATATAAATAACTCTTCCCCCAATTCTACCACCACCACCACCACCCCCAACATCTTCTCCATCTCCTGTCAATCATATGGTGAGCTAATCGAGCTGCTTATGTTGCCTGCTAGTCATGGCACTAATGAGATACTTTAGGAATCTTTCTTTTGGGCCCACTCTTTTTCCAGGTCAATTCTGTAGTTCCTAACTTGAGAAGATAATTTTTTTCCCCTTTTTTATAAAAAAAGTATATCAGAAGGGTCAGTTATGCTATCCCATTTGTCCTGCCTTTATTTTTGTAGAAAATTGTGTTTAGTTGTGGGCACTAGATCAAATGGAGGGCAGAGAACAGGACCCAGTGTCTATTTCTCCACATCAATGATCTAGAAAAGGGAGAAATCCAAGCTAGAGAACACATGTTAAGAAAATGATATATAACACATATAAACTATATTATTGTGGATATATTTTAAAAATTCTTCCAATTGAACAATCTTTTTTAAAATTTTACAAATATACAGAGATAGAAAGTAGATTAAGTGTTGCTTAGGACTGGGGGAGATAGAAAGGACAGGGGCTGATAGTTAAAGGGAATGGGTTTTCTTCTTGAGGTGATTCTAAAATTGATAGTGGTGATAGTTGCACAACTGAATATACTAAAAGCCACTGAACTGTATACTTTAAATGGGCAAATTGTATGATATCCTATGTGTATGTGAATTATATCTCAATAAAGTTGTCATGCCAAAAAAAAAAAACAAACAAAACCCTAACAGGCCAGGCACAGTGGCTTATGCCTGGAATCCCAGCACTTTGGGAGGCCAAGGTGGGCAGATCACGAGGTCAAGAGATCGAAACCATCCTGGCCAACATGGCGAAAGCCCGTCTCTACTGAAAATACAAAAATTAGCTAGGTGTGATGGTGCACGCCTGTAGTCCCAGCTGCTTGGGAGGCTGAGGTAGGAGAATCGCTTAATCTTGGGAGGCGGAGGTTGCAATGAACCGAGATCACGCCACTGCGCTCCAGCCTGGTTACAGAGTGAGACTCTGTCTCAAAAAAAACTAACAAAAAAATTGCAATCCAGGGATGGTAACACCTTTTTCATAGGCCACACACAATTGTTTCCCTCTTCATATGGCAATGATATTATAAAACAATGCATAATTCAGTCTTGACTCTAGCAGATTTGTTGAAAGTTCATTTCAATTATTGCCAAGGTGGTGCTTCTAACTGTAGATGGAGGGGCCAGATGGCCATGTAGTTTGAGTCATGATCATCTGGACCAGAAAGCACAATCTTACTCATTCATATTTTTCTACTCGGAGCAAAAGATAGACTTTGATTCTGGATGAGATCTACCAGGGTCAAGTAGTGGAAGTATGAGGGTACAGGTCTAGCTGGTGCAGGACTGTAGCACATGGCTGTGACTACTTCATTATCTTGCGACCTCTGAGGAGAATATTTGGAGGTTTAGGGAGGGTCATTACAAGTGTAACTTCATGGTAAATTCCTTTGGCAGATCCTAATTTTAGGCCTGAGCGCTGGCCATTTACCTAAATTAATTACAAGGGTCTCTAAGAGAGGAGTTGGAGAGGAAGAGGATGGAGTTATTAAGGCTTGTGTTATAGGAAGTTCACAGTTGAACTTGGACATGAGGCAGCCAGTGTGCTTCAGTGGTCCACAGACTGGCCATTTGGAGACATCAATCAAGTAATCCTTTTATCTTGTTTTATAGGTAAGAATAAGGAAGTCTAAATGTAAGAGGTCAGGCCAATGTCACAAATGATTTAGCAATCACAAGCAAACTTGAGAGATGATTGAATAATGTTATGTGAACTTCTTGCAACCACGGGGAAATCAATTACCCAAGCCTTAGATGTTCCCTTGCCAAGGCAGGGTGGACAGTGTTTAGGGCCATGTTTATTCACCTGGCACTTGCCTAATGAAAAGGGATGGTTTTAAGAACTACTTGGAAAATGTTTTTGAAAGGATTGCCAAATCCTCGTGCTGGAGGATTATTGGATCAAATATGCAATTGCTTGTTGAAATGGAGCTCTGAATGGCCTCTGTATGCAGACAGCCAGAGTCTCTGAGAATTGTAAGCCAAAAAAGTAAGAACCTTAAGTCAAAGAAAGGGCAGCTCACCTCCCCACCTCTCAAAGAATAAAATAAAGTACAAAAAAAAAAAAAAGAAAAAAAAAGCTTAGAGTTAGACTTATGGAGAATGGAAAAAGTGTTCTCATCTGAGGTGGCAAATGTTCTCACATGGAAGTTTCTACCACATCTGAGAGAGACTAAACCTCCCTCAGCCCTTTCCTTAACCACACTAAGGTACTGTCCATTTACCTCCTTTCCTTTATGACATCAAGGTTCCTGCCTATTCTCCAACTCCAATAGACCGTATTTTTTTTTCAAGTGGCAACAACCCAGACTGCTGCTTGGAAGGATAAACACATCTTCATAATTCTAAAAGTAAATACTGTTAATACAAAAGGATTATTAAAATAAGTTCATGTTTTGTTGACCTTGACAAGGTTTCCTAAAAGATGATGTCTTTTCGTCTGAAAAAAGGCACCCTAATAGACCAATAGTAGCAACCTAGGCAAAAATTGGAGTGAAAAATTCATTACCAGAGTTTACCACCAAATGGAGAGCAAAAAACCTCCAGAAAGGATACAAAAATTACTAATCATGAAGCATCTAAGCACTGGCTATGTGAGTAAATGACATCAGAGCAGTCTCTTGGAGGGGCCTATTTAGTTGGACAAGGGTTCCAGGACTTTAATTTCATTCACAACTATTAAATATTTACTGATACCTCTGCATAACACTGCAAAGCCTCAGGTGCATCAGTCAAGTGTAAAGGGTCTTAAATGTGTTTTCTTGACTGGAGTTCACGGTGTCGCATTAAAAATGAAGATAAGGAGGCTAAGCATAGCTAGTTGCTGGACTGTGTTGAGCTTTATCTGAAAAATTTAACAACAGTGAATAAGGTCCAAAGTGTAAAATAGGCACATTTCCCAGAAATAGTAGTAAATCAGTTTTTAAGATAGAGGCCCTGATTATACAACATTTTGCATATCTTGTAATTTCAGGTAGTTTTTATCCCAAGTAACTGGAAAGGTGGAAGAGGAACTCATTATGGATTACTGAGGTGTGAAAATATTATTCCATATTACAATTCCATATTATAAACAACTGGAGTCTTATCCAAGTGAAGAATCAACATTCAACATTAGCTTCTTTACTGGTAAATCAGATTAAATAATACAGCAGAGCTACCTCCCTTCCTCTCCAAACCAAGACCTTGACTGTGATTTACAAACTCACTGGCAGGTGAGAAAACTAAGCAAATAACTAAGACCTTGCTCTAACACTACCATGTACCAAGCTTATGTAATTTCCTACCCAAGGTTATAACTCAACTAGTTCATCACAGTCTAGAGAGCACTTATTAGTACAATAAGACATCATGGAAATGTGCAAAAAGGACAAAGTACTGTAGCATCAGTTATGCTTGAGAAACAGGGGAGAGGGCCCCAAAACTTCTAGGTTATATGAACAACATAATTTACCCAGTTGTATTTGTAATCAAATATATGAGACAGTAGATTTAAAGAGGGACTGAGCAATTCATTAGTAATCTGGGCATGAGGTGGTCACCATCCAGCCTAGATGAAGGCCTTGAAAGGCAGATTAAAAAGAAGAAAGGTTTCTACCATACAATAGTAGACATAGATAACAAATCTGTCACAATTATACCCACTTTATGAATCCCAAACCAAGCCACCTCCATAAAGTCTTTGAGTCTGTCCTCTCTTTTACCTACTCAGATACTCTATTCCTCTTCTGAAGTTCCATAGGCTTTATTTCTACCTCTCTTATATTACCTGTCGTAGTCTGCCTTGCATCATAGGTATTGCTGTTAAGTACACACTCCTGGATGGCAGAAATCCATTCTTATATCTCCTCCTGTGCTTCATACATAAGGCTCAATCAATGTATTTTTTTGTGTGTTTAATCAAATAAAGGACAAGTTACTAATAACTTAAGAATTATAAAACTGGGGCAGCCTTGGAACCAGGAGTAGCATTAACAGTAAAGAGATAAGTCACAAAATCTACCTTCTCTATTCTTACTACATCCTTCTAGAGGAAAATCATAGTCATGCCATGTTAATGCCACAACACATCACAGTCCCTTACAGGACCCATTCTCAATGAGACCTTGTGCAGATCAAAGTCCTACCTTCTTTCAGTTTCTGCTCTTCTAAACCATCACTCAAGTTTCTCCAATTCCATTCTCTATTCCCATTCTAGCTAGAATAATCCTAATACTTCATACTTCAAAAATAAATGAGGCCACCACCTGGGAACTCACTTATCTTCCTGTTCTCATTTCTGCACATCCAGATCAGCCAGTTATATCAGGGTTTTACCATGAAAGCGCACTGCTCAGATGTCCAGAGCGTGCGTAATTGCTGCTGACTTCAGCTGCTACACTCTGGGTCCCCCTCTGCATCTGCTTTGGGACCAGGCTTCCAGCATGCTGCTCCCAATTGTTGACTGAGAATGGAGGGGACATTTCCACGCCCATTTCTGTGGGACATGTGTCTTCTTTAAATGAAGGTTTTTTTCACTCCATAGGCCTTTCTTGGAACTGTCTTACAGCTAGACACATTTCCTACCTGGTCTTTTCTTCCCCTCTCCTTCACAGGTGTCAGACCTCTCCTGAGATCTGAAGAGTCTCCCCACTTTCTTCTTTATCCTTTACAAGTGTTATCTCAACGAATCTCTTGCACATCTAATCACATCTTCATAGCTTCTTCTTAGAGAAAATGAACTAAACTACTTCTTATTACAAAAGATAATAAGATGAGACTTTTCCCTTTCACCTATACAATTACTCCAGGACTTTGCTCCCTCAATGATCTACTTGGTTGCCTTCATCTTCCCTTGCTGTGGATCTTTCCCTTGAGCCAGCATGTCACTCAAAAAGCCCCAGTGAAGAGACAAAAAGGATCACCTTCTAACAACTGACATCTCTTTCCAGATTGTCTAATCCAGGCTTGTCTTCCTCTCCTTTATTCTTTAATCAACTAAAATGTGCTCTATGCCCACTCTATTAGTGAAAATGCTCTTCCTAAAATCACCAATGACCGTCTGGTCTTCAGAAGCAAAAGGTAATTTTTAATGCCTTCAATTTTTTTTTAAATTTAATTTCTGGAATACATGTGCAGGATGTGCAGGTTTGTTACATAGGTAAAAGTGTGCCATGGTGGTTTGCTGCACCTATCAACCCACCACCTGGGTATTAAGCCCAGCACACATTAGCTGTTTTTCCTGATACTCTCCCTCTCTTTATCCCCACCCCCCACAACAGGCCCCAGTGTGTGTTTTACCCCTCTCTGAGTCTATGAGTTCACATTGTTCAGCTCCCACTTATAAGTGAGAACATGCAGCGTTTGGTTTTCTGTTCCTGCATTAGTTTGCTGAGGATAATGGCTTCCAGCTCCATCCATGTCCCTGCAAAGGACATTATCGCATTCCTTTTTATGGCTGCATAGTATTCCATGGTGTATGTGTACCACATTTTATCCAGTCTATCGTTGATGGGCATTTGGGTTGATTCTATGTCTTTGCTATTGTGAATAGCGCTGCAATGAACATACACGTGCATGTATCTCTATAATAGAATGATTTCTATTCCTTTGGGTACACATCCAGTAATGTGATTGCTGGGTCAAATGGTATTTCTGGTTCTAGATCTCTGAGAAATTGTCACATTGTCTTCCACAATGGTTGAACCAATTTACATTCCCACCAACAGTGTAAAAGCATTTCTATTTCTCCACAGCCTCACCAGCATCTGCTGTCTCTTGACTTTTTAATAATCGCCATTCTGACTGGCATGAGATGGTATATCATTGTGGTTTTGATTCCCATTTCTCTAATGATCAGTGATGTTGAGCCTTTTTTCATGTTTGTTGTTAAAGCCTTCGATTATATAGTGTCTGTTCTATTCGACATTACTGATCAGGCTCCTCCTGCCCCCATAAAGGCTTTCTCCTTCCATGGCCCCCATGACACCAAGTGCTGTTGGTCTTTCTGCTCTGATGGTGCTTCTCAGCCTTCTTCACTGCAATGTCTTCTTCTGTTCACCCCAAACATCCAAGCACAATTTACGCTTGACACCTCCTCTTCAACTCAATGCAATTTTCCTGAGGGATCTCATCCACTCCCATGGTTTAACCACTTATATGCTGATATTTACTAGCACTATATATGTGTGTGGTGGCTTGTAAATTTGATCTAATTGGCTGTGAAGTAGATGTCAGACAGTGACTTCAAAGTTGTCATGTCCACATCTGAACCTGTTTCTTCTTTACCTGCATGAGCTCCTATCCTTGGTTTCCTGTCTCAGTTGTCAGGAGAGTAAAGACAAACATGCAAATCACCCTTATTCTGTCCCTCTAAAAATTAGGAAGTGCGTGGATAGTAGTTTCTAACATAAAATTCTGAGCTTGGTTCTCCATATCTCAATTTCAGGTGATGATGTCCTATCTATAAAGGACAGGACAACCAGAAAGAATTTGGCAAGAGAAAAGCAGAAAAATTAAAAATTGGGTGTAATAACACTTAAAGTTGGAAGGACCATGTGGTCACTCCTCTGCCTTTTGACAGATATGGAAATAGTATTCTTATCCCCAGTTTCCAGATGCATAGCTTGGACCCAAAGTGATTAACGTAAAGCTACCTACCAAGTCTGTTGTAAAGAGAAACCGAGGCCTACGATGCTAATGCAGTGCACCTCATTCTGCACTGACAGAGGGTACAGAAGTCACTGTTTAGCTGTGGAGGATATGTTCCAAGACCCCCAATGGATGCCTCAAATGGAATATAGTACTGAACCCTATATACGTTTTTTCTATACATACATACCTATGATAAAATTTAGTTTGTAAGTCAGGCACAGTAAGAGTTAACAACACTAATAATAAAATAGAAAATGTATAGCAATATACTTTAGTAACAAGTATGTTAATGTTCTCTCTCTCTCTCTCTCTCTCATTGTATTATACTCACCTATTTTCAGACCCCAGTTGATCTCACATTACTGAAATTATGGAAAGCGAAACCATGGATAAGGAGGATCTTCTGTAAATGCCAGAGAGGTCAGGTCTTGCAGCAGAGGCTGCTCCACAGTAATGGGGCACAGAGATACCCGTCACATGTCATCCTCACGCTATGCATCTCTGAGCTCAGGGCATAATCTCAAATATCATCTGACAGCGTGGCATGTGTATCAACAAATCAAAGGACAACCTAATCTCTTCTGCTTGTCACCAATGTGACAGGGAGCAATGGTGTCTCCCTGGATAATAGACCACAAGACCACCAACCATTTGGGGTGACAGGCCATTTGGGGCAAGTCATCCTCCCAATATGAGCATCATATAAACATCTATGAGCATCATTTCACACCAGAGAAATTTCACTGTCTGCAAGGGAAGAGAGTTCCGGCTGCCTTAAACTTGGCACAACAGAGCTCAGAAAATTTTGAGCAATCTGACTAAACATAATGATTCCATTGGGATATTGGAGAGCATGCTGAAGTCATTACAGATTCAATTTTTTTTTTTTTTTTCCAGAGTCTCTCTCTGTCGCCCAGGCTGGAGTGCAGCGGTGCGATCTCCGCTCACTGCAAGCTCCGCCTCCCGGGTTCAAGCAATTCTCTGCCTCAGCCTCCCAAGTAGCTGGGATTACAGGCGCCCGCCACTATGCCCAGCTAAATTTTTTGTATTCTTTTTTAGTAGAGATGGGGTTTCACCGTGTTAGCCAGGATGGTCTCAATTTCCTGACCTCGTGATCCGCCCACCTCGGCCTCCCAAAGTGCTGGGATTACAAGCGTGAGCCACTGCACCTGGCCTACAGATTCAATTTTTAAAAGCTTATCAGATCACAACAATATTGTATAGTGGGCTTGTAGCAGAGTCTAGAATTAGTCCTTTTTGAAGAACAACACCTAGGCCAACCATGCAAATAAGCACTTTAAACTCACTAATCCTCAGAATAAGAAATTTACAATCTTTTCTTCCACAGTGGATAATGATATCAAGTACTGACATTCTACAATATAGAAGGCCCTGTGACCGTTTCATCTGATTTAATCTTTACTACAACACTATGGGAGTTATTGTTTGCATTTGAGGAAAATAAAGACCATGTAGATTAATTTTCCAAAGCCACACAAAACTTGTTCTACCAGGAAGGGACAAGGCTGGAGTTAAAATTCAGGTATTTCTGACCTCAAAGATCTTGTTCTTCCACTATGTTCCATGATAGACTGCAAAACGATAATTATCCTTTTGTTGATCCTCCAATCACTGGCTTAAGTTTAATTTTAGCTGACTACCACCATGCTGGAGAATGTCCTTGCCACCTCTCCCCAACTCGCACATGTACAAAAAGTTCAGAAGTGACATGGGAAGTATTTTCCTTACTTAGCCAGTCCAAATGTTTAGCTACCTCTGCTCAGTAGACAACAAAGGTGTATCTTCACATTGAGATATTTTGGTTGGACAGGAATTTGGGGCTAAGGACACTCTAGGGTTACAAAATTAGGTACCATTCTCTCCAAACCCATCTCTATGTAACCACTGTATCTTCCTATATTTTCTTCCTTTGCTCATAGAAACCTACTCAAATGTAGGTACACACCAAAATGATAGAAGACAGACACTTTTTAAGATACAGAACATTTGTTCAACTTTGAGAAACTATGTTCAAGGAACTGCCTTTCCTTAAAGTATAATTCCACGTGTTTTGACAGTTGTGTACACCTGTGAAACTACCAGCAAAAATAAGATTTAAAACACTTCCATCACCTCACGGTGGGTGTTTTTGTTGTTTTTTTGTTTTGCTTTGTTTTGTTTTGTTGGAGACGGAGTCTCGCTCTGTCTCCCAGGCTGGAGTGCAGTAGCAAGATCTCAGTTTACTGCAAGCTCCGCCCTCCCGGGTTCAAAGGATTCTCCTGCCTCAGCTTCCCAAGTAGGTGGGACTACAGGCCTGCGCCACCACGCCCGGATAATTTTTGCATTTTTAGTAGAGACAGGGTTTCACCATGTTGGCCAGACTGCTCTCGAACTCCTGACCTCAAATGATCTGCCTGCCTCCCAATGTGCTGGGATTATAGGCGAGAGCCACTGCACCCAGCCACCATGGTGAGTTTTTAAAAATAATTTTATATTTTGTGTATTATACTTTATTTACATATTATTTATGTAGGTCAATTTACCATTTGAAATATAAATTGTGGACATTTTTCTAAGTCAACAACAAATATAGCTCCCACACATTATTTTAATAGCTAAATACATGTCCACTTATACATACACCATAAATTATTCATCTGTTTTCTTAACAATGGACTGTTTCCAGGTGTTTCTGGTTATTTTTGGTTACTTTTGCTATTGTAGTCAAGGCCACAGTAAAATATTTATGCTCTAAATTTAAGTATCTGTAATTTTGTTTCTGTAGGATAAATTCCTAGAAATTATTTTGCTATGTGTAAGGCCATCGACATTTTTAAATTGTGACCTGTAAAATTTGTAGAGAGACATCCTCTAACTCTATGCACCTTAGAACGTTCATCACTTCCTCCTCTCACATTGGGTAATGTTATACCATACAAAATAGCAGGCGCCAGCAAGCTATGGACAGAGACTCTTTCTTCTAGTACTCTCAGGAAGTTCACAGTACCAGGAAGGACCACAGGGGCCTTCCTGACACTGCCCTGCCTCCCTGTTTTCCTTTGTCTCCTACAGGGCATCTTCTGGCTTACTAGGTTTCAACTGTCCTCCTTTCTTTTCTCCAACACACCACAGCTAGAGCTTTCCAATTTTCTTTTTCCAATTTTTGCTTCTACTTGAAAATATCTTCCAAGATCTTCACAAGGCTGGCGATTTCTAGTCATTCACATATGAGCGAAAACATCGTCTTCTCGGTGAAGCCTCTCTACATGCTAGCTACCCAATGAATGACCTTCCTTCCTACCCCCCTCTCCATCATGCCATGTCTACTTCATAGCACTTTCCACTCTCTGAATACCACAGGCTCTGTAGTCAAAATCCCACCCAAGCGTGACCCCTTCTCCACCCATTGTCCCCTACAGTCCAGTACTCACACCGTCGCCAGAGGGTCTCCCTTTAAAATTCAAGTACATTCATGTTGCTCTCCTGCTCAAAACCCTCTGCTTGCTTTCCCATAGTACTTGGAGTAACAGCTCTTGTCATGGTTTACCAGGATGTTTGAGCCCCAGGCTACCACTCAATCCCTTTCTCTGTCCTGATTCACATCAAGAGGCCTCACTGGCCTCCTGTTCTTCCCAAATACACCAGGAACTTGCTCTCTTCAAGGTCTTTGTATCTGCAGTTCCTCCCACCAGAACACTAAACCCAAACATTCACAAGACTCATTCCCTGGCTTCCTTCAGGGCTCAGATGAAAAGACACAAAGCTCTCTGACCCTGCAACCATTTGCCCTGCCTCTTAATTCCTGATAGCACTTATCACTAGCTAATGTTATTTGTTTGTGTACTTATCTACTCATTTATGCATTATCTCCCTACCAATAGAATGTAAGTTCTATGAAGACATGGACTTTACTCTTTTCACTTTTTCATTCTCAGTGACTGTCACTTGGTCAGTTCTCAATATTGCTTTGAGAGCACAAATGAAATTATACTTGTTTATCACTCTCCCAGCTAGAACATAAACATCCCGTAAACAGGGACCTTGTCCCTCTGGTTCATTATTTTGGCCCCAGTACTGCTCAGAACACATGATAGACTTTTAATCTGTATTTGTTAAATTAACAAATGAATAAATATAAACATGGAGCTGATGGAGCTTGGGACATAGTGGTGATTATTTATGTATAAGTATTTATTTGAATCACATTTAGTTTTATTTAAATGGATTTATTATATTTAGAAGCAAATCTTCAAGACTACTTGCACG
The DNA here is from genome assembly GCF_000001405.40 of Homo sapiens. Lineage (NCBI taxonomy): Eukaryota > Metazoa > Chordata > Mammalia > Primates > Hominidae > Homo > Homo sapiens. The sequence goes on along the minus strand of NC_000007.14, from coordinate 117,689,086 downwards.
GAGGTGAATAGTATGCCCCAAATTCATGTCTATCCAAACTTGTGAATATGGCCTTACTTGGAAATAGGGTCTTTGCAAATTTAATCGTATCAACATGAGGCCACAATGGATGAAGGTATCCTTAAGGATAATAAGAGAGAAATTCAGCCACACAGAAGGAGAGTGCCATGTGATGGAGGCAGAGATTCAAAGGATACATTTACAAGCCAAGGAACACCAAAGATTACCAGCAACCACCAGAAGCTAAGAAGCAGGAAATAATCCCCCACTAGAGCCTTCAGAGAGAGCATGGCCTTGCTAATATCTTGATTTCAGACTTCCAGAACTTTCAAAACTGTGAGAGAATAACTGCTTTTTAATCTATCTAGATTGTGGTCCCTTGTCACAACAGCCCAGGAAGCTAATACACTATCTCTTTTTAAAATGCTGTTAATCGAAATATATAATGGTGCCAATGTTGAAAGAATGCTAAAGAGTTTAATCATGAGCTGGAAGTTCCTCCATTTTGAATGTTGGAGATTCTGTAAATAACAAGATTGTTCAGGTCAAGGAACTAGCCATGAGCTTGTCTGGCCTGTTGGACCTTTGTCTGAAGAAATTTGAAGTTATTTCCCCATGCCAGGTAATGTGTGCTCAGTTGAACAGCAGATGAGGTGAGCAAGCACACATTGCTATGGCCTCTATTGACGGGAAGCCAAGAACATAAAAGGCATTGAGCCATAGGAATATATTCTGAGACAGCCTTCAAGAAAGTTAAAACTTACATAAGTGTAACAAGAAACATGCCTAGACAGGTATAACACTCACTAAACAGCATTCCGTAAGGGATGAGGATTATGTGGCCTACACTCATTGTGTACCAAAATCTTAATTGAGATAGTCAGTTGAGGTTATAGATATATATCATGAACAATACCTGAAGGAGTTCTTTACTCCAAGAAATTATGAAAACATAAGAACTGAGAATTAAAACCTACCCTATGGCAAAATTTTATACATATAAAGTACTCCCATATCCGCCCCACCCTCCCTCTGCCCCAGCAAACTTAGGAGGATTAATTAAGAGAGAACTTTAAGGGCTGAGCGTGGTGGCTCACACCTGTAATCCCAGCACTTTTCGAGGCCAAGGCAGGTAGATCCCTTGAGTCCAGGAGTTTGAGACCAGCCTGGACAACATGGCAAAACCCCATCTCTACTAAAAATGCAAAAAAAAAAAAAAAAAAAAAAAGCCTAGTGTGGCAGCACATACCTGTGGTCCTAGCTACTCAGGAGGCTGAGGTGGGAGAATAACCTAAGCCCGGGAAGTTGAGCCTGCAGTGATTGCACCACTGCATTCCAGCCTGGATGATGGAGACCCTGTCTCAAAAAAAAAAAAAAAAAAAAAAAGAGAGAGAGAGAACTTTGAGGCCCACTGGGGTAAAGAAGGCTGGATGGCTGAATCCCAGGAGAGAATAGGAATAATGTTCACGTCTCTTGAATACTTAAAGATATTTTTTGATATTGCAGAAGGATGGAGGAAGAGAAAACAATTTCTTGCCTATTCTATAGGTAGAGCAAGTTTTACTCCCTTCTGGGAATTTCTGCTCAAATATAGGAGAAAGGAAAAAGTGGAAAAGGCCACAGCTCCCATTATAGAAGTTGATGATTCTATTGTGTCAATCAATATGGAATTGATATGTTTCTTCAGCAAAAATGGTCAAATATTACCTGTTTCATATGGCTCAAACTTGTAAGTTCTGCCTGGACTTTTCTGGGAGGTTCCTTCCCTCTCTGCTTCTTTTGGTGGGAGGAATAACTTCCACGTTGAATTCAAAGCGAGTAGGATTCTTCATTATACATAATTCTATTAAACAAGTCCCTTGATTCAGAGCCTGGTAGTTTAATTCCTTCACCTTTTTATGCCTACACTTGTGGCAGGACACATTAGCAGAACTCAGGAATAGTTAATTTTAGAAATGAAGATGCCCGAATCAAACCTAGGAAATGGCATTTCTTTGTATTTTTCTCTAATTTGTATATGACTTTGTTTTTAATATAAATTATGTTTATGGTATTATTTTAATTAAAATGACCCTTTTAGTTTTAGAAGCAAAATGGATTTTTTTAATTCACTCCTAGCTGTCCTCCTAGCAAGCCTAAACAATGCCACTGTCCACCTGGAGCTGTACTCCAAAGATAGACAGCCTATGTAGAGAGAGGTCATTTCCTCATACATCTAGTTACACTCTGTCTTAGTCCATTTTGTGCTGCTATAAATAAGCAAAATACCTGAGAGTGGGTAATTTGTAAAGAACAGAAATTTATTTCTTACAGTTCTGCAGGCTAAGTCCAAGGCTGAGGGGCACACATTTAACAAGGGTCTTCTTGCTGAGTCATCCCATGGGAGAAGGCAGAAGGTCAAGAGAGCATGTCTGTTGCAGAAGAGAAGAGGGGAATTGGGGAACTCATCTTTTTATCAGGAACTCACTCCCTGGCTGATTAACTTACTCCCATTATAATGACATTAACCCAGTAACAAGGAATGGAGCCCTCAAGACCTAATCAGCTCAGCTGTTAAAGCTCCCACTTCTCAGTGCTGTTGCAGTGGGGATTAAGTTTCCAATAAGCTTTAGGGAACACATTCAAACCACAGCACCTACACTAACCTAATCCAGTGATGCAAAGTCACACTGGCCTGATGGTTTGTCAGAGGAAATCAAACTGGTTTTGAAAATAAGAAGTAGTTTGGCATAGCTGTTTTGTTATTGTTGTCTTCATAGCAAAAATAGCTTGAAAGCAGTAACCCATTTGGCTTGAGGGAAAAAGGAGACAACTTTCTAGACTCTGAGAAGATGTGCTAAAGAGCATTGGATAGAAATCAAGTATAAACAGCATCCAAGAAATACTTGCAGGACAGTTGCTTATTTTGCATTTATTAATATTCTGCCAGCCTGTCAGCTTAAGAGCAGTCATTTCCTGAGCTGCTCTACATGGCTACTCTGAAGAAAAACTCATCCATTCTGAGAAACTATGCAGGTTTGCCCTCCTTCTCCATGCTGCTTTCTGGACTCAAAGAGCTCAAAGGATCCAGGGCAATAATATTTCAAGAGGATCCCAGCACACATTCCTTTGGGGCCTCCCATGTTTGCCATGGGTTTTTATAACCCAGACAGCAAGAGCTGTGAAAAGAAAATTTAGTGAGAACTGACAAGATAATTTAATGGAAGTTCTTCCAACAAATAGGATGTATCTTCAAATAAAAGAACCAAGCCCCTCTGAAAAACAAATGAACACCAATATAAAAGCCAAGGTCAGAAGTAGAGCCAAAAAGTTTGTGTGTGTGTGTGTGTGTGTGTGTGTGTGTGTGTGTGTGTGTGTGTGTGTTTTAAATGCTGAGAAGATAAACATGATGCCAGCCGGTTATGTTGACCTGGTCTCCTTCATAGGGGTATTGTCACTTTTGTTTTAATTTAAACATTATCCCAGCCTCTTCCCACAGCAGAGTGAAATAAAATATAATCACCATATTTTATGTGTCTTTCCTAGAATTGATTCCAGGTTTATATGGGAACTTTAAGGTTTGTATTAAGCACGTATTACTGAATATTAGCTTTTTTGCCTTTTTTAAGACAGAGTCTGGCTCTGTTGCCCAGGCTGGAGTGCAGTGGCATGATCTCAGCTCACTGCAACCTCCGTTTCCTAGGTTCAAGCAGTTCTCCTGCCTCAGCCTCCGAGTAGCTGGGATTATAGGCGAACACCACCACACCTAGCTAATGTTTTGTATTTTTAGTAGAGATGGGGTTTCACCACGTTGGCCAGGCAGGTCTTGAACTCCTGGCCTCAAGAGATCTGCCTGCCTTGGCCTCCCAAAGTGCTGGGATTACAGACGTGAGCCACCATGCCCAGCCAGGTTTTTTTGTTTTGTTTTGTTTTTTGTTTTGTTTTTTTAACCTCAAAGGATAAAATATTGTAATAAAGGACTATTGATAAACGTACAAAAATTCCCTAAAACAAATGCAAAGTATAAATAAAAGCCTTAAGTGCCTTTGATTGAAATTAATTTTCATTCTCTTTTTAAAAATGAGTCCAGCTTTCTCCAAGGACTCAACCCAAGGGTAATTTGTTACAAATTACATTGATCTTATCATGGAAAAGAGTCTACAAGAATTAGAAATGATTCTTGATGCTGACAGAATAGTGTTCATCCCTATTCTAAACATACTTGTTTTTAAAAATTGTAAAGCTCTCATGTTATATTCATGTGATCCAAATCTCTGAAGCCTTTCGATGTCAGTGAACTGAACTCTTGGGTGAAATAAAGTTTATTTTCTACATGTTAGTTTTGGTAGTTGCTATCAGGTACTTCAGTTACAGAGTTAATGAAATGAGGTTGAATTTGAACTGCATATTGCATTGCTCCAAAGCCAAACACACAAATCACTGTTCTGTTTTCTCTAACTCTGCTGTCTGAAGCCCAGGCAGCCCCAAGCTATGAAGGTTACTGATTATATTGAAAGGTGAGTGGATTTGACTTAAAATAACCAACTTTAAAGAGCAACACACATTCACATCACCCGTCTTTTTTGTGATTGGATAACAGTATTCAGACTTTCTTTTCAGACTTGATGTTCACTTGTTTTGATATCGCTGTTGACTGGAGTTGAGTCAATGCTGAAAATACTGAAAATCCCATTGGAGATGGTTAAAAACATACCTCTGCACAGAGGCTTGGCCCAGGAAAACCTTTAGGATTGCCTGGAATTCTTGAAGTTTGTATGTGCAGTTGTAGAATCTTTGCTACTAAAGAGTAGGAGATTGATATATAAACCATCTGCTTTCTAGGAACTAAAAATCCTGAAATGCCTTTCATTTAGTCAACCTTGATCATTTTAAAAGAAAAATAGAACTGAGTGCAGCACTATGAAACCCTATTTGAATAGCATGAAAGGGACTTATTTGGCTATAGAACCACACAAGAAAACTTTTCTACATTCTGTCATGGAGGCAGGGGTGGTGTATGAGCACGTGTACACAGCCAGAAGATGGGGGCATTTCTGTGACTTGTGGAAGGACCAGAGGTATCAGAAATCAGTGTGAGGAAGTGAGGGGATTACCTCACACAACACTCTGATACATGACCAGCTGCAGGAGGAGTCACTCGCTGCCAGCATATGGATTCTTTTTGAGGATGGTGATTCAAATGGGCTCATCCCTGCCTGCATTGTCACGAGCTATGAGTAAAACATAAATCTGTTACGCTAGCCACAGTGAATTGAAGCAAAGATTGAGGCCCCTTTATAAACAGGATCATATCCTTTCGCAAAAAAATGCACACATGCTCAGACCCTCATTCTGGCACAAAATCCCAGGGCGAGGGGCAGGGTATGAATCCCTGAAGCCTCAGTTAAAACTCCTAATGCTGGAAAAGCTGACCATCACAGAAGCGACTTGGTAACCATGTCCAGTTGTAGAGCATTATAGTGAGAGATCAAAAGCCGACCCAATTGTGCACTCTCCATTGTGTGAGGGAAACAAAAAGAAGACAAATTACCTGCCTGCCCTTTGATTGGAGGTAAGAAGTCTGTTGTGTGTTATTCCAGCTCTGAAGCCCTGGGACCAGGGGGAATTGAACAGTGATGAGGAAGTTTCCCATCCTTCCCCTCCTACCTACTATTTGAACAATAAACTCCTATCATTGCAGGTGATGGGTATAGGATTCCTTCTTGTGACCTTGAAAAGCCCAGCTAATTCAACTGCCAGGATGTGAGGCAGGATGTCCCGCTGGGGTTACTCAACAAACTGAGAAAGCCAGACTCTCCCCTCCCTACCTCCTCCCCGTAGCTTCACAGCAAAGATGGGACCAGCCCACATGCCAGCCCTTATCCTAGATACTGATTGTCTTTATTGCAAAAACCTCTTGTTTGCTTCTTATTGTAGGCATAGAAGTAGGTGGTTTCTGGGTAACTGAACTCTGAAATGAGTAATCCAGTAACTTGGAAAACAAGTGTCAACAAACATTGCCCAATAAAAGGCTATGAAGGTAGGAAATTGCATCTCAATTAGAACCTAGACAGACTCCTGGAATTTTCCAGATGTCCTTCAGTGCGCAATGTTTTTGAAAAGAATATTTGTCAAGATAAGTAACAACCAAAAATCACACAGGTCATAGGAAATAGAAATATCATGGTGATTCATAAAGATCAGGTCTAAAGGGCATTCAGGACACCACTGTTCCCCCACATATACACCGGTATACACCCAGTCTCACATCCGTGATACATAACATTAAGAGGGAATGAGGATTGTTTATGATTTGGATCAAAGTTCAAATCAAAAGGAGATTCCATAAAGAGGTTTTATGGAGAGAGACTTGAAGAAAATGGATAATCATTTTTCCAGGATAAATTGTCTTAAGACAGAGGATTAAGATAAGATTCTTGGCCAGGCACTGTGGCTCACGCTTGTAAACCCAGAACTTTGGGAGGCTGAGGCAGGTGGATCATGAGGTCAGGACTTCAAGACCAGCCTGGCCAACATGGCGAAACCCTGTCTCTACTAAAAACACAAAATTACCTGGGCGTAGTGGTGTACACCTGTAATACCAGCTACTCGGGAGGCTGAGGCAGGAGAATTGCTTGAACCCAGGAGGCGGAGGTTACAGTGAGCCGAGATCATACCACTGCACTCCAGCCTGGGCAACAGAGCTAGAATCCATCTCAAAACAAAACAAAACAGAATAAACAAACAAAAACAAGATTCTCTTTCATTTCTCATTTCTGGAATCGATAATTTTACGGAAAGTTTCAAGGAAGGGTTAAGGGAAGGCCAAGCAATTTTCTCAGCTGGATTATGGGGAAATTATTTTCTGTCTCCAGAAGAAACATGATCTCTGAAAAGTGATGTTAGATAACCTGTAGTTGCTTGGGTAGAAAACACTGAAGCTATCTGGAGTTGTTTGCTCTCCAGTATCCATAAAGCAGCAGTTTTCATAACAAGAAGCCTGCCTCTTCAAGCCAGACCTTGGCACTTGAGCTCTCATCTCCTTAGTACCTCACACATCCCACAATGGGCTCTCATCTCTCAAACCTTCTCAATTTCCCCAAACTATCTCCTTGTGCCCTCCAGAGTCACAACCTTCTCAGCAAAACTTCCTGCATCTTTAAACAGTTCTTTCACCACATGGTCCTAATGAAAACCTGGCTCCCTTTGGGGAACACAGTTTTTCCAGAGGCCTTCTCAAGCAGGCTGCTTTCCTCCCCCAATATCTTTGATAACCAGACATGGAGGTAGAGGATGATGGCCTCCTTGCTCCTTATTGTCACTTCCACACATTGTATCTCCCTCCCCGACAAATGCCCCTTTCTGAAGTTCTGACCTCAGACTCTACCACCAGACTACACTGGCCCTTCTTTTCATAGTCATGTCAATTTGTTGGGGTTATACAACAAAATTTGCTACTAAATTTGCTTCATTTGTTCAATGAAGCAAATGAATTGTTGAATTTTACCTCCAGGTTCACTGTCACCCTCCTGCCATCACTCTTAGAGATTTTAATATCAATGTAAATAACTCCTCCAATACCATGACCTCTCAGTCCAACAGCCTCTTCTCCTCCACGGTGCCTCCACTTCCCACTCCCATATAACACCCTGACTTTGTCATTACCATCACCTGCATCTCATCAGTGATCAATTGCAAGCATTCTATTCTCCAGTCATCTCCTTCTCTCTCTTATCTCCAAAAACAGTGAAACCCCACAAAATTCAGAATCCAAACTACCTTTCCAATATTCCCCTCCTATTCCATGTCCTAATATCTCTTCTCACCTAGTTTATATTACATGATCATAATTAGTCTACACTTGGCATCTCTCCTCAACTCCCTCATCCCCTCTCTGTCATACTTGCTAGGCATAACCCCAAACTTAGTTAAATCCAGTTCTCCCCCTATTGCATTACTATACCTGTGTAGCTGAAGTGGTTAAAAATATGACCATCCTCACCAGCTCCTCTTCAAATTCATGAATTTCACTCACATAAGGTATTTCCTGCTATCTGACTACCTTTCTGCCTGTCTGCTTTATTCATTCCCATCTCTTCTTTCAGAGCTCCCCAATTCATGTGTCAAACAGAACCAGGATGCCAGAAGATATTACTTTCTTTAGCCATCTGGGCAAATGGCAACCAGAACCCCTGAGCCATTTGCCTCCTGCCCCAGTAAACTTGGCCAGGGATCCAAATCCCCTCCTAGTTGTCACTCAAATATTCTCATTTTTTATGTGTGCCATGGCTTTAAAACGTTGGGGGAACTGTCTTAAGTGACAGTTCATATGTTATTCCCCTTAAATCTCCAGTAGCTTCTTTCCCATCCTCATTCTTAATTAATGACATTCTTCCCTTTACATTGATAACAACTGAGTCAATTGAAAGAAAACTTACAATTTTCTATCCCCACATCTACCAAGCTACCTTTTCTCCTACTTCTAGGAGTGACTTTCCATCCTCCTTACTAAAGGTGATCCCTTCTCTTGTTCCAAGCGTTCCTTCCCTCTCAACTATTCAGGGTATCCTGGAATGACTCTCAATTCTCCCCTGTTCTGCTGTGGGCGGATATACCCAAACTTAGAAGCTGAAGCTGAAGGAAGAGGCTGATGTATCCAGTTTCTTGGAAAGAAACATTTAATAGAGACTTAAAAACAGAAGCCATGTCTGTATCTCAGTGGCAGTGAGACAAGATGCTGGATCTCCACACTCTTACTTTCCATACCCCGGGCTTATACACCATAGGGAAAGGATATATATGTGCTTCAGAAGGGATGTATAGAACAATTGATTAAGGGCAGGATTTATGGTAAGTACATGCTCTTACACAAGGAACAGTAGATAAAATAGAAATCTTAGAGGCATTCCCAGAAAAGGGGTTAATCAGAAGTCAAAATTGTGAATTAGCCTCCAAGACAGAGTTGCTTTGGCCTCCACATACCCCCAGCTCCACCAAATGCCCCACCCCTTAATTTGTTATCTATATATCCACTATGCCAGTAGGATGTTACTTCTCTCACCTTTTTTGTGTTTTGAGATGGGGTCTCACTCCATTTCCCAGGCTGGAGTGCAGTGTCGTGATCAGAGCTTGCTGCAACCTCAACCACCGGGGCTTAAGCAATCCTCCCACCACAGCCTCCTGAGTAGCTGGGACCACAGGCACATGCCATCATGCCTGGCTAATTTTTTTTTCAGTTTGTAGAAATGGGGTCTCAAATTCCTGGGTGCTAGCAATTCTCCCAAGCCTCCCAAAGTGCTAGGATTATAGACATGAGCCACCGTGCCCAGAACTTTTACCTGCCTTGAGTTTCCCATCCACTTACCTCCCCTTTCTCTCCTTTCCTTTAGAAAAAACTCATGAAGGTCTATCCTCAGTCTCTAACATTTCTCTTCCCAATATCTTGAATCCTATTAAAATGCTCTTATAGAAGTAACAAATGACATTCATATTTCTATATCCAGTGGTAAACTAGCATTCCTCATTTTAATTGACCTACGCATTTAACTCCCTCTTTCTTGAAACACATTCTTAACTTGGATTTGAACACTATTCTCTCTAAATTCCCCTTTCCTATATCATCTCAGTCTCCAGCTCTTTTCCAAGGCCTCCAGAGATAGATTGTCTCAGGTTCTCAGTCTTTCTCTTCTACATTCATTCATACCCTAGATGATCTAATCTAGGAATCCTCAAACTCTAAAGTACCTACAGATCACCTGGGATCGTGACAATATCCTGATACTGACTCAGCAGTTCCGAGGTAGGGTCTGAGAGTCTTCAGTTCTAACAAGCTCCCAGGTGATGTTGATGGTGCAAGTAACAAGAATCTAGTTCACACTCGTGTTAAATACAATCTCCATTTTGATAACTTTTATAATTCTGTCTCCACTCTGAATCTTTTTCCTGAACTTCAGACTCAGATTCAACTGCTTGCTTGTCATTCCACCAAGATGTCTCAAACTTAATGTCTAAAATGCCCTAAATCCTTCCCATCCCACCAACTTCTCCTTCATTCTTCCCAGTCTCATCCTTAAAACTCCTCAGACTGAAATCTTTCACATCATCCTTGAGTCCTCTCCTTCTCCTACAGTATATACAATTCATCAGCAAATCTGGATGCTTCTGTTCCCAAGATAAATGCAGAGTCTGACCACCTCTCAGATATACCTTAGTTGCCATCTTAGTCCAAGCCGCTGTGGTCTCTCACCAGGACTATTACAATAGACTCCTAACTGGTCTCCCTGCTTCCATGCTCTACACTTTTCAGTCTGGTGTCAGTACAGCATCAGAGTCACCCTGCTATAATGTGCCTCCAATCACATCACTCTTCACTCAAAACTCCGAAGTTTTCCCTTATGACTTAAAGTAAAAGCCAGGGCTCTTACAGAGGCCCATATCATCTAAACCTCTTTTTCCCCAAGATTCACAGCACTTCCTTGCTGCTCCTCCAACATCCCAGCCATGATTCTGCCTTTACATTTGCTCTTCCCTTTGCTTCAAACACTGTTCAAGACACCCACACAGCTGACTTCCTCACTTCCTTCATGTTTCTGCTCAATTGCCACCATACTAATGACTTTTTGATGATGTTACAGCAAATAACCTAATTCTCTGCTTTGTCTCTTTAGTTACCATCTGCTATATATTTTTAACATTTACTTACTTTTGTCCTCATCCACTAGAATGTAAACTCCATGACACTGAGAACTTTGCCTTGTTTGCTGCCGAGTTCTTAGCACCTAGAACACATAGACGACCCTCAATTTGTTGAATGTCTGATTAAGAATTCTCGCTTGATGTCCCCTCCTCTTTTTTAATGAGCACCTCTGAAGTACCCTCAGGTGCCAGGCACCAGCCTACCGTTCTTGTCCCTGTTGACAGGCTTCAGTCTCCCCGGTCAAACTCCTGCCAGGCACCCCTGGTTTCCTGAGCATCGCAGTTCTTTCAGCCAGCCTGAAAAACCCAATAAAAAAATCCGTGCTTCTCAACTGGCTGCGTATTAGAATCACCTGGGATGCCTTTCAAGCTATCAGTGACCTAACCCCATCTTCCAAGATTCTTCTTTAATTGATTTTGGATGGAGCCTTGCACCAGTGTTTTCTCAAAATCTCCAGATTTTCGTCATGGTCATCCAGGTGCTTATATCTTCCATAAGCAGACCCTAAGGGCTGACAGATGGAAACACTGTTGATATACAAATATATTCCAGCTGAAAGGATTCAGAATATGTCATTTCAGAACATGCCACTTCGGCATATTGATCATTTTGAGCTAAAAAAAACTGAGAATCAGCCAATACAGGAAAAGCTCTTTACCGACTTCTCCACTAACTACATAAAATAAAATTCCCCCTTTCGTAAAGGAAATTTATATCTATAAAGGAAATGATCATGAGTAAAATATCTGTACCATGAAGAGAACTACTCTTTGGAAACATCTTTATCACCTAAGACACTTTTATCTGCACAACAAGGCAACATTTATTGATCATACATTTCCTCTCCTCGCCTTCCCAAAATTTGCCTCCACAACCCCGCAAAAGCCCCAAACCCTTATCCCTTTCTGTAGCTCAGGATAATATATAGGTCTCAATCATCTGGCTGCTTCCTTGAGTCTTACATTTTTGTGGGACTCCCATGTATACACACATAATTAAAGTTGATTTTCTCCTATTAATCTGTCTTATCTCAATTTAATTTGTAAACTAGCAAAATAAACTAAATGGGTAAGAAGTATGCATTTTTTCCTCCCCGACACTGCCAATGGTAAGAATTTCCCATGCCCTTTCCTTTTAGAATAAATGTTCTAGGCCAACCTTCCCCAAAACACAGGATATAAATGGCACAAGAAAATACGGTTATGTAGACAAATCAATTGAGAAACATTACATATGATATTCCACTCTTACAGAGTCAAAATGCACCTTTGCATACTAGAAACCTTGAGAGGTCCTGCAGTAACCTATAGTAGCCCACTAAACAGATCAAGAAACTGCAGATTTAAGACAATCTCACCCCTTGTTATTATACCTTTACAGACTTTGGGGTGTGTAAGATAGAATCACTTTGACATTAGCAAGACTATTAAAAAATCAAACACAGAGGCATAAGCCTGAATCTTAGTAGCTCTAGAAAACATGAGCTTTATCCTGCTGTGAGCATTCTGTTTTTCTCAGTAGATTTCTGCAGTTTCAGATCCCACGGGAAAGTACAGCAGGGCTGGTTGACTCTCTATAGAGAGGAAAACCTAACTAGGAAGTAGTTATCTGACTCCCTGTATGGGGCACTGTAAAATGACTTCCCTCTGATTAAAAATGAGCTAAGTTTTCCAATAAGTATATAAACTTTCTAAAGGTTCCAAATCTGGGAGTGCTGTGTAATTTCTGGGAAGATCCTTACCCTCTCTAAGCCTCTTAGTTCTTAGAACCTCCTTCACAGAGATTGTGTGAAGAACAAAATGAGAATTATACATAAAAGTTTCAGTCAATAATTTAGAGTTGTTTCAAAGAGTCATCCTGGAGGTAAAAGATCAGAAAAACTGAAAAATTCAGGAATTAATACTAAGCTAAAAGACAATTTCTAGAACAGCAAGGTGAGGAGCTCTGTGGACCAACTACCCATCAAAATAACCATTACTGGTAACAATTATCAATCATTTAAAGTCTCTGAAAATGGCCCTAAGCACATACAGCAAAAGCAGCAGCGTTTATTCCAGAAAATATACTAATCTCAGTAAGAACAAAAGTTTATGGCACTTCAGTCACAAGCTGCTCCCTCTTCCCTCCCCCAACTTGGTGTGATAGAAGCTCTACTCCAGGCTGATGTGGCCAAGATGATGGCATTCCCTCTCCCTTGAGTTTACAGCCTGTAACTGTACTATCACCCTGGGAAGTGCAGGTCAATAGCATTTCTTATCCCCTCAAGCCCCAGCTCTGTGTTGTAGTGGCTAAATTCCAGATGAGTGAAACTAAGAGGTCAGGGGCTCCCTTCCTGCCTGCAATCCCCCTTTGTCTTGATCTATTTTGTACTGCTATAACAGAATGCCACAGCTGGGGTAATTTATAAAGAACACACATTTGTTGGCTTACAGTTCTGGAGGCTGGGAAGTCCAGTATCAAGGGGTCAGCATCTGGTGAGGGTTTTTGTGCTGTGTCATCCCATGGCAGAAGGCAAAAGGGCCAAAAGAGAGCAAGAAAGAGAGAGAAGGGGGCCAAACTTGTCCTTTTATAATGAACTCACTGCCGTAATGGCATTAATCCATTCATGAAAGCAGAGCCCTCATAGCCTAATCACCTCTAAAAGGTTCCCCCCTTTTCTCTCTTGCCATCTCTGGGCCCTTCCACCCTCTGCTATAGGTTGACCTAGCAGGAATGCCTGTCAGATGCCCCAGAGGAGGTGACATCAGCAAAAATCATTACCTTAAACAAACTCTTGGAGATATTTTACAACATTGAAGTCACGAAGGATACAATGTTGGAAGCTGGTCCTAAATTAGAAAGGAGTATGACAACTTGCCCAGGCATAGAAAAGATGCTTTCTTCATATTGCAAGTTACATAACCAAAAGAAACCAAGTATTGCTCAAACTACTCTTGATAAGTAGTTTAAAAGAAACATTTTAATTCTCAGTGTTTCTAATGTTTTAAATTACTTACTAAATGTTTCACTATTTTTGTGTCCCTATTGTTTATAACCAACAGTAAGAAAGTTTTAAATTTTTAATATTTTTAAAGGTCATGGAACAATTTTTCCCCCATTAATTATTTAAATTATCTTGCATGGTGATTTTCATAGTGCCATATTAATGTGCAACATGAGGACTACCTATATTTGGGAAAAAACTGACAATGACGTTTATACATGGAGTGAATATTTGAGGATATTAAAGATGACTGTTTTTCTAGTTCTGGTAAAGGTAATATGGATCAGTTTCAAAAGAAAAAGAATGATAGAGAAAGCCGTGTCTTTTAGAGACACATAGAGCTAAAGTTATATGCTGTTTGGATTTGCACAAAATAATATAGGAGGGAAGCATGAGGGAGCATAGATGAAATAAGATTGACTGTGAGCTGATAACTATTGAAGTTCAGTGACAGGGGTGTGAAGTTTATTATACTCTATGTCTATTTTTGTATCTATTTGAAATTTTAAACAATTAAAATTTTAATCGACCAGAAAATGTAAAAGAATGTAATGGTCGTCTCAGGCTCACTTGGAATGTTTAACTTCTGTGGCTCAATAGCCTGTCAACATTGCTTGGTTCAAATGCAAATGCTTGGTGTGAGCTCCAAGCAGGAAGGAAGCTGTGTTTGTGTAAGGACACACTGGCTCCTGGTTTGGCTCCCCGAGGACACTGGAGTATCTGACCCAATTAGGAGATAAGAGAAAATAAAAATCAAATCATAATTTTTTCCTTACAAGAGGATTGCCTATGATGACAAATTTGCTCACACAACTTCTCTTTTAGAATATGAATAAGCCCATGGCACCTGCTGCCAATGAAAAGGCAAAGGAGAAGGGAGATAATTATATTTAAAATAGTCTTATTTTCAATTAGCTTATAGAACATTGACAAAAATTATGGCCAATCAATTGTGGCCAAATGTATTGATCCTTTCTTTTAATAAAACAGAGAAAGTTTATTTCTTTATATTATAATTTTTAGTAAATTATGACTTAAATTTCATAAGGATTAATTGCAAGGTAGATTTTTAAATTGCTTCTATAAGTATTTGTGTCAATATTTGTCAATTCAGTTTTGGTTTCATTTATCAGCACATCTGCCATTGCTGATAAAGATTGCTCCTTCTATTATTCCATCAGTGACAAAGGTGAATGGGAAAGAAGAGAGTTAAAGAGCAATTTGTGCCCCAAAACTATTCAGGCTTAATTTCTACTTTTCAAAATGGCTTAAAGATAAAATGTCTTTGAGATTCACTTACATTAGTATGTGAGGCTCTGTACTCATTTCTGTTGTTGGCACTGGCTGTCTTAACAATAAAACCAAATCTCCACAAGGTGGCAGTTTTTGAAGATACAATTGTACTTTGTGTACAGATTCTGTACTTCAATGAATAGAAGATGTATTGGAACTGAATCATAACTTTTGATCCAAGTAGCATTTTAGAATTAAGGCCAGCATTAGCATATTCACTTATAAAGTTGTTGACCACCTTTCATAATGTTCTTAACCATTTTACAACTAGAGAAACTGAAGCAGATTATTTCCCTGACGCCTTCACGGGACTTGAGACAGGGGTGCCTCATTTACCCATCCCGCCCCGTCTACCCCTTGTGGGAGGGAGCGTGCGAATGAATAAGTGCAGGAACCAGAACGAGCGAGTGCAGGAACCAGCCAACCGCTTTCAGGTGCCGGCAGTAGCAAACTCTGTGCGGGCCCAGCGGCGCAACCAGGTAGGAGTGCCTGAGAGCCTGAGGCCCAGAGGGTGTGTTGCAGTGCTCTTTCAGCTCTGCCGTCTGCGGAAGGCTTAAGTGTTAACAGCTCAGTGAGCTCTTTGCCTTTTCATGTGAGGCAGCTGCCCTCCACCAGCAAGGGCAAACAGCCAGTGTGACAGCCTTTTGTATCCATACTCGTGGCCTCCAAGCTCTTGTCTGGCGTCCAGAAAAAATGAGGTCACATGAACGAATTGAAGGATGGTAAATGAGGGATTTTATTGCTGATGAAAGTGGCTTTCAGTGGGAAATAGAGCTGAACAGGGGACAGGGCAGATAGGTAATCTTCCCCTGAAGTCTTGCCTTCTCCTCTCAGATTCTTCTCCAAAGTATGCTGTCAAGCTGTCGCTCTGAAGTCAAGCCACTTCTCTCCAATGTCCAGTTATAGTCCCATCTACCAACTGAGTCTGGGGTTTTTATAGGCAAAGGATGGGGGTGGAGCAGGCCACGGGTAGTTTAGAAAAAGGCAACATTCGAGTGGGAAAACAGGGATAGAAGTTCTCACTTTCGGTGGCAGTTTCAGGTTTTTCGGATTGAGGGTGGGGTTTCACCAGGGTCCCGCCCTTTTCTGCCTAGAATTTCTCTGCCCCCTGTCCCTATCAATACTGAGTGATTAAAGAGCAATTGAATATTCCCATTGTATGGAATTAAGGATAAACCCAAAATTTTGCCAAGACCTCTCCTTTCTCTGAGAAAGTACACAGGTATTGAGTCCCGGCTCCCTGTCAACTGACAATGACTTGGGTCTCTTAGCTCTACACACTGGGAACAGCTTCTAATTCCTAACCTAACAATTTGGAGTTCTCATGCTCCAATGTATTTGTCTTGCATTTGTAGGTTTTTTCACTGTATTTTTAAATAGGGAATTGTGATTGTCCACACCTGTTTTAACAGGTCAAACAGGTTTTTATATTGAGCTCTTTAAACCTCATTTTAAATTGTCTTCCACATAGTATTTGAGGTTCTTTCTTTAGTGAAGTACTAAAATATTTACCTTGGGGGTTTTATTAGCCTTTCACTCGAATAGGTAACAATTTCCCAACCATGGAAGGTCCCTGGTTACTGGAAGGAAGCATATTCATTTCAGGTTTTGGCTTTTTTTCCTCATAATGAAGATAAACAAAGTGAAACAACTAGGAAATAAATTAAGAAAGTGTGTGTCAGATAGGAGTGGGCATAGACAGGGACAAGTAAAGCCCCAAAATCAAGACTTCAATACAGAAAACAAATAAAAATAGAAAGTCTGTGGCTATAATAGTTTATTTTATTTTTTTAAATGGGAAAGAGGAAAGAAAATCTCATATGAGGAAAAATCAAGTGTAGGGATATATATAAGCTAATATATAAATGAAATGAATACCTGAAATGGTAAAAGGGACAGAAGCTAGAAATTTGTAATTTAAGGTACTTGCACTGATATGAAATGGAATATTGTTATTTAAAGGCACATAGGTCACTTGTAAATGTTTATTGCAAACTGTAGGGCAACCACTAAAAAAGTTTAAAAAAAGAAGAATTGCTATGTTAAGAAGGTGAGAAAATAGAATCCTGTAAAATGCTCAATAAAATTTAAAAAGGCAAAAAAATGGGGAAAGTAAAAATAGGAATAAAGAACAAAGGAAACAAACAGAAAACAGGAATAAATATGGTAGATATTAATCCAATTATATCAATAATCATTTTAAATGTCAAGAGCTAAAAAACAAAGATTGTGAGAGTGAATCAAAAAGCAAGACTTACATGATGTCTATAAGAAACCTAGTTAAATTTAAAGCCCCAGGTAGATTAATAAAGGGATGGATAAAGTTATACCATGCTAACAAAAGAAATCCAGTAAAGGAACTCAACAACAAGACACAACCTGATCAAAACACGGGCCAAAGACCTTAACAGATGCCTTGCCAAAAAAGATACACAGCTGGCAAATAAGCATATGAAAACATACTCCACATCATGTCATCAGGGAAATGCAAATTGAAATAACAATGAGATACCACCACAAAACTATTAGAATGGCCAAATTCTAAAACGCCGAGGACACCAAATGCTGGCAATGATAAGGAGCAACCACAACTCCCATTCGTTACTGGTGGGACTGCAAAATGGTACAGCCACTTTGAAGACAGTTTGGCAGTTTCTTACAAAACGAAACATCTTTTACTATATGATCCAACAATTGAACTCCTTGGTACTTACCCAAAGAAATTAAAACTTATATTTACACAAAAACCCACACACAGATGTTTCAGCAGCTTTATTGAAAATTGCCAAAACGTTGAAGCAACCAAGATGTCCTTTAGTAGGTCAATGAATAAACTGTGGTACATCTGACAATAGAATATAATTCAGCACTAAAAAGAAATGAGCTATCAAGCCATGAAAAGATACGGAGGAAACTTAAATGCATATTACTAAGTGAAAGAAGCCAATCTGAAAAGGCCACATACTGCGTAATTCTAAGTAGATGACATTCTGGTAAAGGCAAAACTATGGAGACAATAAAAAGGTCAGTGGTTGCCAAAAGTTAGGGGAGAAAGGGGAATGAATATGCAGAGCACAAAGTATTTTTTGGGCAGTGAAACTACCCTGTAAGATACTGTAATGGTAGTTAACTTGTCATTACACATTTGTCCAAACCCATGAAATGTAAAATACCAATAATGAACCCTAATATAAACTATTGTGTTTGGGCAATAATAATGTGTCAATGTAGGTTCATTGGTTGTGTTAAGGAAAAAGTGACTGAGGCAGGTGTCTTAATCGATAGAGGTTTGTTTAGCCAAAGTTTGCAGATGCACCCAGGAAGAACACAAGCCAGAGGAGCATCTGTGACCTGTGCTTTTCCAAAGAGGGTTTGGGAACTTTAATATTTAAAGAGTAAAGTGCAAACACGGAGAAGGAAAAGAGGATAGAGGGTAGGCAGTGAGGCAAATGGTTCTATTCAGGGGAGGCTTTGGTTAGTGTTCAGTAAATCCAAATTTTATAGGTAAAAAGAGGGAGTAAAGGAAAAGTCAATTATGTGTTCATTGCAGGGTAGACAGCACGATGATTTCTGGTCTTGCCCGCGTCCTGTGCCTATGAAGACAAGCTGGTAATTGACATCATCAGGGTGAAATTCAACATAACTCAGTTTTAGGGCTATTTTATAGGAGGGATATGTATCCTAAAAGATAGGGTCTCACAAGGATTTTCCTTGGGCACAATTGTGAGGGAGGTCATTTGGGGAGATATGTGGCCTTCTATCATTGTGGGAACCTGGTTTATGGATGAGGCTATCACACAAGATTGTGAAGTTACGGCTGTTAGGGAACAAAAGGAAGGCAATATTGAGTAATTCAGCTCTGAAGCTTAACTTGCCCTTTGGCATAGTGAGCTTGGGGTCTTGAAATTCTATTTGCTTTCACAGTTGTAACAAATGTACTACTTTAGTGTGGGATGTTGAATGGGGGAGGCTATCATGTATGGAGAAGTTATATGTGAACTCTCCATACTTTTTGTTCAATTTTGATGGGAACCTAAAACTGCCCTAAAAAAAATAAAGTTTAGTAATTTTAAAAAAAGAACTAGACTAGAACACGCTCTGAGACTGCCCTCTTGGGGTTACGTGTGAAAACAAACCTCTCCAAGAAAGAGAACACAGGGCCGGAGGGCCTGGCATTCAGTAGGGATCTGCAGTCCGTCCACCACATGCTAGCAACTGCACATTTCATGAAGAAGCTCAACAAGGAAGAAAAAAAGGAACTAAAGAAGCCTCATCAATTAAAAAGAGGGATTTGGACAAAGAAAATCCATGCAGGTGCCAACGCAGAAATAGTATTTTCGTTGATGAAGATTTTTAACTTACCAAGAGCTATGAGATAGCTACCACTTTTTGAATAAGCTTTAAAAGAAATAGATGGACACTTGCAGAATATAAATCTTTTGTGTTCTATAAGCCTCCATTTAAAAATAAAAATAACTTCAAACATATCCTAAGTAATGAAAGCAGGGACATGAAGAAACATTTGTACACCCATATTTATAGAAGCATTATTCACTATATCCAAAAAGTGGAAGCAAACCAAGTAGCCAGTGATGGATGAATGGGTGAGGAAAAATGTGGTACATATTTATAGAGTGGTCCCCCTATCCAAGGTTTTGCTCTCTGTGGTTTCAGTTACCTGTGGCACAGTATAATGAGATATTTTGAGAAAGAGAGAGACCACATTTGTATCGCTCGTGTCATAATATATTGTTATAATTGTTCTATTTTATGATTATTGTTGTTAATCTATTACTGTGCTTAATTTATAAATTAAATGTTATCATATGTATGTGTGTATGTATAGGAATAAACACAGTAATCAGGTTCAGTGCTATCAGTGATTTCAGGCATCCATTGGGGGTCTTGGAACATATTCCCCAAGGATAAGGGGGGACTACTCTATAATGAATATTATTCAACCTTAAGAAGGAAGAAAATTGACCCATGTTGCAACATGGATGAGGCTTGAAGACATTATGCTAGATGAAATAAGCACAAAAATACAAATACTGTATGATCCCACTCCTAGGTCCTTCGAGTAGTCAAAATCAGAGACAGAAAGTAAAATGGTGGTTGCCAGGCATTAGAGGAAAGATAAATGCGGGATTATTGACTAACGGGTAAAAAGAGTTTCAGTTTTGCAAGAAAAAAATTCTGTGGAAGGATGATGGTGATATTTGCACAACCATGTGAATGTACCTAATGACACTGAACTGAACTTTAAAATGGTTAAAATGGAAAATTTTATGTTATGTATATTTTACCATAGTTTAAACAGATAACTAAAAATGTGTGTTCTAATTCATGTGAATTCTCAAAAGAGGCTATATCTAAAAGACAGATTCGTGTTTCATGTTCCATGAAGCTTAGAAATTGGAGTGAGAGACTGATGAAACATGACAAGTGAACGCATCTGAAAACAACAAAGTTTCACACAAATGTATGGATTTTATTGACAAGTGATATTTTCTTACAGTAATAAATATAATGCAGTCTTCTTAAGAGTCAGTTTGGAGTTGAGAAGGCAGTGTACCCTTGATGGAAACAGTCAGACTGGTGGTACCATCTTCTTCAGAACTGCATCTAAGAGGCTGTGCTGGCTGGGAATCATACAGCTGTGGGCAACAACTGCATCAGCCCCAAGGCTTCCCTCCAGACCAAAAGGTGATTCATGGCCCCTGGTTAATATCACCCTAGGTTCTCCCCTGTCCCAGTTTTAACATAATATTTCATAGAAATACTAGTGCCATAAAAAGTCAATATTTCAAATATAAAAATTATTTTATACAAATGTAATTCATAATCATTCTTTTAAAATACAGCATTGTTATATATGTTTGAAACATTATTAAAATAAATATTTCCTAGAGAAAAAATTTTGCTTCACAAAATTATAAAACAGAAGCATATAAAACTAATTCATGATTGGTGCTTCTTCAGTGTGTCTCTCATTCTCTCTTAGTGTAGACAGCATGAAGTACATACATCTAGCCTGAAAACATACCACCATCAACCTATACATCTAAATGCTTGGACTTCATGTGTGTCTACCCACAGTGCCCATGGCCTATCTACTTACACACCCTCTACCTGGAGCTTCTGTGGAAAGAAGGGCTGTCCTGTGACAATTTGCACTAACATACTTTTCCAGCTAAACTCTAGTTCAAAGGTCTGTGAGCTTGTCACTTTCTGGAGTTGGGAAAAGGCATATCAACTTCTTCATCAAGGGAACCATCCTGTCCCCTGTGAAAGATTATAACAGCCCTTTCCCAGGTAAGGGATGTATTGTGATTATCTGAAATATTGAGATTTTTGGTAGACCTGGACAATACTAACCCTGATTTCCAGGATCTGGAAGTTCTCTTTCCTGACTGCTCACTAGATGTTGAATGGGGCATATTTTGATGTGCAGTCTTGTGGTTCCTGTGGTATTCTAATACTTGCTTGGAAATGAGATAGTTGGAATGCTTAGCAAACAATATAGTTGTGTTTCTAAACATCATGGGGAGAGGAGAGAAAAAGGAATACAAGCTTATATAAACCGCTGAAGTTTCCAGTTATCATTACTTAATCATAACCCTAAGAAGTATGATTTCAGTTCTTCTCCAACACTACAAATTAACGAGTTTCACTAGACAATAAGCTGATCAACTAGGCTGATTGACATTTAGAGCTGCCTTTCCAATTACTAGCACATGGCAAGGGTTTTCAGGAAAATCTGGCTTGCAAAACACAAGTGGTAAATCTTCAAGGATTTGAAGTACCTTTCACACAATTTGACTATTGCCAGGAAGCCATTTATCAAGACCCATATCAGTGTCCTCAATTCCCCTTACCAAATGTTTCTTTTTTAAAAAAAAACTTAATTCATCCTTGTTTTCTGAGGCAGAGGTAACTGTTCCACGAGCTCCAATTCCATGAGGTGACTGTCCCACGAGCTCCAATTCCATGAGCAAATGTCCCATGTCAACATTTATGCTGCTCTCTAAAGCCTTGTATCTTGCACCTCTTCTTCTGTCTCCTCTTTCAGAGCAGCAATCTGGGGCTTAGACTTGCACTTGCTTGAGTTCCGGTGGGGAAAGAGCTTCACCCTGTCGGAGGGGCTGATGGCTTGCCGGAAGAGGCTCCTCTCGTTCAGCAGTTTCTGGATGGAATCGTACTGCCGCACTTTGTTCTCTTCTATGACCTAGGGAAATGGCTGTTAGTGAGATCTGGGACAGAAGGCAGGTCAGACCAGAGCAGGGACAGAAACTGGCACAGGCTCAAAGGAAAATAAAAGTCAAAGAATGCAATGTCCAGAGCCTTGCATTTTGAACAATCAGGTATGTCACATTTAACTGCTGTGTCCTTTTGCTCTAAGGAGGTTCTACCATCTGTGAAATTAGTTGTGATTTTCTACTCAGCAGCTGGAAGATTCTTCAGGGAGGTTTAGTAGAACTGAAGTTGCTTTGAAAACAAAATATTAGGTCCCTTATAAATTACCTAGAAAATGAGCGTAAGTCTACAGCACCATAAAGAGTTGAGCCTCTTCCACAGTGATCTGAAGCTTAAGAATTCCAAATTGGTCAGGATGTGCCTGAGTTTAATACACCTCCTTGGCTTGTTCAGGTTGAGCAAATCCAAGATCAGACAATAGAGGACTTTACTTAGATTCTTGAACTTGTCCATGGCAGGGCAAGAGGTTGTGAGTCTGCCCCCCTAATTTGTTACTTCAAGCTTAGTGATAATCATGGTAATAACAAGCCTTCAGTAAGGAAACCATTTACCTCCAGGAGGCTCAAAAGCCTGAACAGAAATGACGTGATACATCATCCTCAGAACTTCCTTGTGACTAAACCATAGGGAATTTGTAAACATCACTTGAAAGAAGCTGTGACAGTTTTGTTTTGTTTTAATAAAGACAGATGGGGCCTCACTATGTTGCCTGGGCTGGTCTTGAATTCCTGGCCTCAAGTAATCCCCCCACCTCAGCCTCCCAAAGTATTGGGATTACAGATGTAAGCCACTGTGCCTGGCCATGTGACAGTTTTTTTAAGAACAGTGAGAAGGTGGTTGAGAAAGGTACTACCTGAACCCAAATCATGGCTAGAAAAATGAAATGTGCCTCTCAACTTTGTCATTAATACCATAAATCAGACTGTAAGACAACTAGGCCTGTCCCAGACCACATCCATGGGACATTTAGTTATTGAAAGAATCACAGGGACCTTTTTTAAAATCTTAAACAGTAGAGTATTTTGTATGACTTGGTCCCCAAATAAAGGGCTCAAAAAGTATATATATCCTATTTATAAACATAACTTAGTAATATGCTGCCATTTTAGATTTACTATATTTCAACCTCACCACATGGCTCAGATCAAAGTGAAAAACTTGTGCAGCTATTTTGAGTAAAGCTGGATGGCTGTATGATACATATTTTTGAAAAGAACTTGTACATTGTTGCAATTTGCAGGAACTATCACATGTGAGATTGTTATCAAGAATTACAAGGGCAATGAGATCTTAAGTAAAGTTATAAAGACTCACCAAAAATTGTTGGCATTCCAGCATTGCTTCTATCCTGTGTTCACAGAGAATTACTGTGCAATCAGCAAATGCTTGTTTTAGAGTTCTTCTAATTATTTGGTATGTTCTAGAAAAGAAAGAAAATACCACACATAATATCACAGAACAGTAATGATCTGTATTTACCTTGATAATATGTCTATTGTTCTATTATCTCTTTAAATTACTTATTTCTTTAAGTTCTTTTCACATAATGTTGATATAGCGTTAGCCACAATCAGCTTTTCAACCATGGGGTAGACTCTAAGTATCCATAAATAAACAGGACAAATATTTCAAAGAAACTTTAATAAATGAGTACATTTTTCATTATGTAGAATCACCAGTACTTCTTTATTTGGGGCTATAAACATGCTTATGGTATAAATGGGATACAAAGGCAAATCATAAGGATCAGATTAGGCCCATGTATTTAAAAGCTTCATCATGTGTTGACAAGGGGGAAGAGTTTGTATGAAACTAAAAACTATCTTCGGAAGAAAACACAAGACTCTTAGCAAGGAAATATGCATTTATGCTCATTTCCACTGGGCAATTATTTCATATCTTGGGGGAGACCCCCACACGCAGACATGACAGCCTAATAGAAATATGTGTCACCATGAAGCAGGCATAATGATTCTGTTCCCACTGTGCTATTAAGTAACAGAACATCTGAAACTCACACTGGATCCAAATGAGCACTGGGTTCATCAAGCAGCAAGATCTTCGCCTTACTGAGAACAGATCTAGCCAAGCACATCAACTGCTTGTGGCCATGGCTTAGGACACAGCCCCCATCCACAAGGACAAAGTCAAGCTTCCCAGGAAACTGTTCTATCACAGATCTGAGCCCAACCTGCAGTTAGAGAAGATAGTTCAGATACCACAGAGTTAAAAACACTCAAGCAGTTGACATTCTAAAAATAAACACAGGAGTTCTGAAAGCTTATGTTTTTCATACCAATCCCTCTACCCCCACTACCTGCCACCATTTGAATTGATTGAGCAAAAGTCTATTTACAACCTTGACAGCTCAAAAGAATCAGTCTATAACTTGTTTTATCTTTGTACTTCATTCATTAGGAAACTTTCAATGAGTGTCTATTACGTGCCAGGTATCCCAAAAAGTAGTAAGAAAACAATACGTGGCACATGGCTCTTGTGAGGCTCAGCGTTTATAAAGGTGTACATAAATTATTCCAACACAACTGAATGCATGCTGGAAAAGATAATATGTATACATTGCAGATATGCCCTCTAGTATGACATCTTATGTAGACAGAAGATAGAATGTAGCATAAAGGATGGAGGTATGACATCATCCTTGGTGCTACCTCCCATCTTCTACTCTGTCATGACTGAGGACAAAAGATAGCATAAAATAGTCAACTGTGGGGTTTTTTAAATTACATATGGAAAATTGCTATTCATCTCTTGAATTCATAAAAACTAACTGTAACAAATAGGTAAAACTATGAAGTAAAAAATACTGGAGTTAAAATAGTGGTACAACACTAGGAGATATAAAGCCTCTTAGATATTGGGGTAGAATATGAGGGCTGTATTAGAGTCAAAGGCTTTTTTTTTAAAGCTAGACAGTAAAAGTAAAGTTTGAAAATGCAAATGAGATATAGAAACCCATTCTATAAAAATATGACAAAGTTATTGAAGTATTGGATCTTATCAATTATTCAAATAAATGTGCATTAAATGTTTATTTTTGGCAAGTACTCCTGAGTGTATGAAGGCCAAAGAGATATACAGATGATTGTCTCCTGCCCTTGAGAAGTCTAGAATTTAGTATGAGGAGGTAAGATGGGCTCCACCTGACTGTAATATAGAATGAGATAATGGCTCAGAAAGAATCTTATGATTTCAGAGATAAATTCAGAAATGGCCCATAACACTGTGTTTGTTCACAAAAAATTAACTGTGTGCCCATCACACGACCAGGAGATTTTAAGCCTCTTTGATATTGGGGTAGAATATGAAAGTTGTGTTAGGACCAATGGCTTGTTTTTTTTTTTTTTTTTTAGCTGGACAAGAAACAAACAAGCAAAAAACATTTGAAAGTATATTGCAGATGATACTCCTTTCCTTGGTTGGTTTCTCATTAAAGTAATCTCACCTTGTAGAAATTCATTAAAGTTTGAGAAGGGTTTCTGGTATGGCAGGAAATGTAAACACATTTATTAGACAAGGGGGACTACTCTGATGTATCCCCGAAGACTCAAACATAAAACTTAGAAATACAAGTGCTGAGAATATGAATAAAGGGCACTGGGCAGGGAGTTAGAGGACCTGTGTCTTTCTTTGTGCCTTCAACTTTTTTATTGTTTCAGTCTATGAAGCTGCTATGGTCTATCTTTTTTAAAAAACAAAAACAAAATCCCTCCCTTGTTTCTGGGTTCTCCTTTAGCTATCATTCAACATCTGCCCATTTAGTCATCTAGAAATCTCAAGAAATTAATGTGTATCTGTCATCTCTACTGCTTCCCACCACAAGAATTTTCCTTTCTTAAAACATCTATTCCTTGGCTTGAGAGAAACCACACACTCTATGGCCATTTCTTCCTATTGTCATGTGTGAACAACTCTCCCTCTTCCTGCCCCCTTGAATATTAGTCTTTGTCATTTCCAACTCTCCAGACTCTCCTCTGAGATCCCAGTCATTTTCAGGGTATTGATGACCACCTATAAGTTAATAATTTTCAAATGTTTATCTCCATCCCTAGAATTCTTCCAACTACTTTTTAAATCATTCTCCTCCTTACCAACTCTATTATAGTGATCCCAGTCTGGGTCATCATCATCTCTTAAGAATCATCCTACAAATCTCAATTAGTCAAATTGCAAGTCCACCATACAAACACCCCAGGGATCTTCCTAAGATGTAGGTTTGACCATATCATTTCTGTTTTAAATCCTATGGTAGTTCTCCTCCTGGTGGAATAAAATCTAAGATCTCTCACCTGGTGTATGAGGCATCCAAATGGAGCCCCCTTCACTCTTATTCCCAGCAGAACCAAACATCTTGTAGTTCCCTAAACACCTTGATGCTCTCAAGTGATGCCATTGCTGAGCCTGACATATCCTTCTGAATATCCCTGATCATCTCTTAAGCCATTCAACCAGGCACCTAGTGATAGTAGTATTTGTGCAAGTTCCCTCGTTAGACTGTAAGCTTCTTGAGGGTAAAAACGTGCTCTTCAGCTCTGTGTTCCTAATGCCAGTCCTGGGTAACTGTCAACCTCAACAATTCATTCATTTATCAAATATGTACTGAGCTCCTAGAATGTGGGTGGCCAAACAAAACAGAGTTTTGATGAATGATAAATGAATCAAAACTTGAGGATGAATGAATGACTGAGCACTGGCTTAAGCTCTGCCATTGTAAAATGTTATCTAAGACATATCACTTTGCATGTGAGTATTCAAGATGCTATAAATTTCTCACAAAATCAAATTATAAAATTAAAATTTCCCTAACACTGATAGAAATGTTAGTACTTTAGATCAATCAGCAGTATTTGAGGGTTTTTTTTTTTTTTTTTTTTTTTCAGTAAAATTAACCAGCAAGAAAAGGTCTGGCTTAAGACTGCAGCTCTAGAGTCAAACACAATCAGCTTTGAATCTGCCCTCCTCAGCTCATTTGCTGATGATATCAGGCACATTATTTTAAGTCTCATTTATCTCATATGTAAAAAAATGGAGAAAATAATAATATTGATGTCAAAGGGTTGTTACAAGGATTACCAGAGATAATTTGTGGAAAGCGGCTCCCACAGAATATGGCACATGGTAAGTACCTAATGTACAGTAATTATTAGTATTATTGGAGCCTGGGCAACTCCAAGGACATGGGCTCAGGAACTGAAACACTACCTTTGTGTGACAACAGCTTTGTAAAAATTTTCCTTCACAAGTTGCCTTGGGAACTAAGCTAGCAGGAAGTACTGCAATACTGCGAAGTTAGTGATGGCCATAGTAACAGGGTGGAGATTTTGGTCAGAATGCAGTATGCTCCCTCTAGATTCACACCAGTCATATACTAAGTTCCTAAGGCCGTACTAGGAAAGCTATTTGACTGTCTTAGACTTTGCACTTGTGGCAAAGAGCTGAGCAAAGTATGTTTTTCCCCAGATGAAATTCTTTATTAGAAGTAAACAATTACATAAATTTATATATAACTGTCAATATTTAGAGAACAGAATTTTTAAAATGAATGACACTAAGACTGACCAACACAGGGGACATTTTGCAATATTCCTATCTCACTGTTTTATTCACTGTGAAGTATAGTAAAAAGCTTTTTAGAATCATCTTCATTAGAGAAAAGTCAACATAGTTAATAAAACTTAAAATTGAAGTCAGTAAACATTTAAGAAATTTATTAAGTATCTATTTTCTGCCAGACATGCTAATAGGTTTTGGTGAGATAATGGAAAGCAAGATAGATTAGTAATTGTTTTTGAAAAGTACAAAGTTATTGTTACCAATCACATGTGCTGATAAGAATTCTCCTACGGATCTTTTGGATGTAAATGACTGCTTAGTCATATATTCTTTCAACTGGCTCTTAATGAGAGTTTATTAAATTCTAGGTACTCTGACAGACCCCAGATTCAAAGATGAGTAACAGGAGGCTCTGCCTTAAAGGAAATTATGGTCCAAAAGGGGAGAAAAATAGTAAGTGGAAAATTACTGTTCAAAGAGATAAGCACTATGGGCAAAAAACAAACAAACAGGAAATTGCTAGAGATCATCTGATTTAGTGATCTGTGGCAGCAGAATCCTTTATCCTTTAAATATGTATATATATGTATATATGTATATATATATGTGTGTGTATATACACACACACACACACACACACATATATATCCCCAATATAATCTTTCTTTCTTCCTTTTTGAGACAGAATCTTGCTCTATTGCCCAGGCTGGAGTGCAGTGGTGCGATCTGGGCTCACTGCAACCTCCGACTCCCAGGTTCAAACAATTCTCCTGCCTCAGCCTCCCAAGTAGCTGGGATTACAGTGCCTGCCACCATGCCCAGCTAATTTTTGTATTTTAGTGGAGAGGGGATTTCTACATGTTGGCCAGGCTGGTCTTGAACTCCTGACCTCAGGTGATCCAACCGCCTCGGCCTCCCAAAGTGCTAGGATTACAAGTGTGAGCCACTGCGTCCTGCCCCCAATATAATCTTGTTAATACTATCATTAGAAACCATTTTTCAATAAATTAAAAAAAGTACAAACTTTAGCTCAGTCCTGTCCAAACTAAGAAGACTTCAAAATTACTAGAATCTAAAGTTTTCCAATGATTTTCATTACAACGTAGCATTAAAAATAAATAAATGAAAACATCAACAGTTTGTAGATATAAAGAACTTTAGGAAAAAGAATTTTCCAGCTTCATGCTGATGAGCTAATAAATAGTATGTACTTCCCAAACTGCTGTGAAAAAAGAAGAAATTTTGTTTTGTAACATGTTAAACTAAAAAAAAAAAAATGTCTAAGAGTTTGTAAAGGATTCAAAATGTTGACTTTTGCTATTGCTGTATTCTGGAATGTTATTATGGAGCAAGAGTTTGCTCTTGTGACAGAGAAACATGAAAAAAAATCATAAAAGTGAATTGTGGTTTTACTGAATAATCCATAAGTGGCAGTTATAAAAATAGATACAGTCAACTCCTTTTGATACTCTGTTTGCTACTCTGTAGATTTTTCAGGGTAAATTTTCAACTTAAAAGGCCACTATTTCTGCTATTTAGCTTGTTTTCTAAAATAACTAACCTTACTATCAATGAGTAAGGATGGAAACTATTTTATAAGTATTGAAAAAGCAAACAATTACCCAAAAAGCCTTCAGTCCAAAATCAACAGACATTGTACTTAGATTACAGACAACCCTGAGATAGCCCACAGGGGTGATGCAGCTCTGCTCCTGCATCTGCCAGCTGTCCCAGTCAAGGCCCTCAGACATC
Source organism: Homo sapiens (assembly GCF_000001405.40). Lineage (NCBI taxonomy): Eukaryota > Metazoa > Chordata > Mammalia > Primates > Hominidae > Homo > Homo sapiens. The sequence goes on along the minus strand of NC_000007.14, from coordinate 117,659,555 downwards.
TCAAGGCTCTGAGTCCTCATTCTAAAGTGAGGATGGTAATACCTGCTGTGTATCAATCACAAGGCTATTTCCATGATCTATTACATATGAAATGAAAGAACTCCTTATTCATTCAACCAATATTTATTGAATACCATCCATGTATGCAAGACTACTCTAGGCACTGGAAATACAACAATTAATAGGATATAATCCCTGACCTCCAGGAACTTCCACTCCAGTGGGGGACATGGACAAGTTAAAAGGTAAATCTCCAGCCAGAGTGAGAAATGCTATGAAAGGGGTGGAGTTATAGGGTACACCTAGGAAACCGAGACCTGGAGTGTCAAGGCAGATTTTTGGAAAGAAGTGATGTGTAAGGAGAGGCCTGAAAGATGGTAGAAGGAGGCAGTGAAGGGCTGGGGGAGTTTCCCAGGTAGAGAATAGCAAGTGAACAAAAAAGCCTCTGCAGAACAGAAAGCACATGTGCTTTAGAGAACCAAAGAAATTCAGTATAACTGAATCATGGGAAGTAAGGGGAAGTTGGGCAGTGAGTGTAGAAAGCCAAACAAAGACAAAATCATGAAGGACCTGGTAAGCCACCTTAAGCAGTGTGGACTTAGTCCAGAAGGCATTAAGGAGCCATATGAAGGGAAGAAACAAGTGATCAGATGTGGGGTTTGGAAAGATCACCAGAGCTGCAAAGAGCAGAATGAACTATTGGGGGTCAATGAGGGAAATGAGCCAGGAACCTCAGAAATTTGTGCAAGTGTTAATAGTGGTGTCAGGTGGAAATGAAGAAAAGTGAATATATTTCAGATACTCCCCAGGGACAGCATTGACAGGATGTGACATGTGGGTACCCGTGGAGGAACTTGAGAGTGAAAGATGAGTCCCAGGTCTTGGCCTTGGGAAACTGGAGGATGGGATGCCATTCAGTGGAATTAGGAACACAGGACAGGTATGTGGTGGGGCAGGGAAGGAACTCACTTATTGACATAAGGTGCTTTTCATGTGCTGAGATATCAGGTGGAAAGCTCTGGGAATAGGCAGATAATGGAGGTCATCAAAATAGAGATATTAATTAAAGCCAAAAGGACACATGAAATTTCCCAGGGAAACTAAGTAAAGTGAGACAAGAACTAGGATTCTGTCAGACACCATTTAAAGGATGACCAAGTGAAGTCCAGATTAAAAAAACATGATTATAGTTACTTTTACTTAGTACCCATATTTGCCAGGCACTGCGCTGGGCCCATTTTACATGTAAACTTGAAAAGTC